>NC_000023.11:151445302-151748333 GCF_000001405.40 Homo sapiens
ATTTTTTCAGCAGACGTTGATAATGTGAGTTATTTGTTTCATTTCATCTAAGGTGTTAAATTTATGGACATGGATTTATCTGTAGTATGCCCTTATTATCTTTTTTAATTCCAGTGGGATCTACATCGATATCTTGTCTTTCATTACAGATGTTGGTAATTTGTGTCTTTTCTGTTTTTTCTTGGTCACTCTTGCTTGCAAGAGGTCTATCAATTTTATTGATTTTTTTTAAAGAATTAACTTTTAGCTTCATTGGTTTTTCTCTATTGTTTTTCTATGATATTGATGGATTCTTGCAGTTATCATCTTTTAAATTTTATTTTCCTTGGGTTTAATTAGCTATTTTTACTCTGATCTTAAGGTGGAATCTTAGTTTATCAATTTGAAACCTTTCTTCTTTTCTAATATATGCATTTAATGCTGTAAGCTTCCCTCTAAGCATTGCTTTATCTTCTTCCACAAATATTGATATGTTATACCTTTATTTTCATTTTGTTGAAATGTTTTGTAGTTTCTTTTGAGACTTCATTTTGACCCATGGTTATTTAGAAGTGCATGGTTTAATTTTTAAATATTTGGAGATTTTCTAAATATCTTTCTATAATTCATTTCTAATGTTACTCTGGAATATACTTTCTATGATTTCGATGCTTTTAAGTTTAAAGCTTGTTTTGTAGCCCAGAATATGCTCTATCTTGCTGAATATTCCATAAGCACGTGAAAATACACATGTAGTCTGCTGTTGTTGGGAGGCGTGTTCTGTACATATCAATTTAGTCAGTTTGGTTGATAATGTGTTATAGATATTTTCTATTCTTAAGAATTTTCGGCTTGCTTGTTCTACAAATTACTAAGAGTGTTGAAGTCCTCAACTATAATTGTGGATTTGCTGTTTCTCCTTTCAGTTCTGTTGGTTCTTGCTTCAAGTATTTTGAGGCTATGTTGTTGAATGCATACATCCTTAGGATTGTTACATCTTCTTCTAGAATTGACTCTTTATGCTTCTTTGTACCTGATAATATTCCTTGTTCTAATTCTATCATGGTAGGCAGAATAATTAGCTCCCAAAGAAGTCCATTTGGTAATGTCCGGAACCTGTGAATATGTTAGGTTGCATTGCAAAGGGGGATGAAGGTTGCAGATGGAATTAAGTTTACTGACCACCTGACCTGGAGATGGGGAAGATTATTCTTGATTATCTGGGTGGGCTCAGTGTAATCAAAAGGGTCCTTACAGGTGGAAACAAAGGGCATAATAGAACCAGGGAGATGGTGTTGTGAGAAAGACTTGGTCCAGCATTGCTGGCTTTGATGATGGAGTAAGGGGACAAAAAACAAAGAATGTGGAAAGCCTTTAGAAGTTAGAAAGGGTAAATAAATGGAATCTTCACTACAGCCTTCAGAAAAGAGCATGGTAGCCAGAACAATCAAGCAAGAGAAAAAAATAAAAGGCATCCAAATTGGAAAAGAGGAAGTCAAATCATCTCTGTTCAATTATCTCTGACAATATGATCTTATACCTAAAAAACCTTAAAGACTCCTCCAAAAGACTTAAATTTGATAAATAAATTTAGTAAAGTTATAGCTTACAAAGTCAATGTACAAAATTCAGTGGCATATATATACACCAATAACTATCAAGCTGAGAACCATACCAAGAAGGCAATCCCATTTACAATAGCTACAAAAAATAAAATACCTGAGAATATATTTAACCAAGGAAATGAAAGATCTCTATAAGGAAAACTACACAATGCTGAGGAAAGAAATTATAGATGACACAAACAATTGGAAAAATATCCCATGTTTATGGATCAGAAGAATTAATATCATCAAAATGACCATACTACCCATAGCAATCTACAGATTCAATGAAATCCCTATCAAAATACCAATGTCATTTTCACAGAATTAAGAAAAAGAATCCTAAAATTCATGTGTAACCAAAAAGAGAGCCTGAATAGCCAAAGCAATTCTAAGCAAAAAGAACAAAGCTGGAGGCATCGCATTACCTGACCTCAAATTATATGACCAGACCACAAATTAAAATATTATTTTGTTTATATAGTAAACAAAACAACATGGTACTGGTATAAAAACAGATACATAGATAAATGGAACAGAGTAGACAACTCAGAAATAAGCCACATATCTAGAGACAATGGACCTTTTGCAAAGTTGGCAAAAATATACACTGGGGTAAGGACACCTTTTTCAATAAATGGTGCTGGGAAAATTGGATTACTATAAGCAGAAGAATGAAACCAGAGCCCTATCTCATATCATATACAGAAATCAACTCAAGATGGATTAAAGACTTCAATGTAAGACCTGAAACATAAAAATACTAGGGAAAACTCTTCTGGACATTAGTCTAGACAAATAATTCATGACTTAGTCCTTAAAAGCACAAGCGACAACAACAAAAATTGACAAATGGGACTTAATTAAGTTAAAAAGTTTCTGTACAGCAAAAGAAATAATCAATAGCATGAGGAGATAACAAGCAGAATGGGAGAAAAGATTTGCAAGCTATGCATCTGGCAGGAGACTGATATCCAGAATTTATAAGGAAATCAACTCATCAACAACAACAAAACAACCCTATTAAAAAGTGGGCAAAGGACATGAATCAACGGTTTTCAAAAGAATTACACAGAAATGGCCAACAAGCATATTAAAAAATGTTCACCATCACCAGCCATCAGATAAGTACAAATTAAAACCACAAGGAGATCATTTTACACCAGTCAGAATGGCTATTACTAAAAAGACAGAAAAAAAACGTGTTGGCAGGGGTGTGAGGAAAAGAGAAAGCTTATGCACTGTTGGTGGGCAAGTAAGTTAGTACAGCCTCTGTGGAAAACAGTATGGAGATTTTTCAAAGAACTAAAAATAGAACTAACATTTGATCCAGCAGTCCCACTACTGAGTATCCACCCAAAGACAAATAAATAATTATATAAAAAAGATACTTGCACTTGTATGTTTATCACAGCACTATTCGCAATAGCAAAATGTGGAATCAATTTAAGGGTCTATCAGTGAATTATTGGACAAAGAAAATGTGGTGCATATACACCATGAATACTCTTTAGCCATAAAAATGAATGAAATCATGTATTTTGCAACAACATGTATGGAACTGGAAGCCGTTATCTTAAGTGAAACAACTCAGAAACAGAAAGTCAAATACTGCATGTTCTCACTCATAAGCAGGAGGTAAATAATGTGTATACATGGACATGAGTGTGGAATAATAGTCACTGAAGACTCAGAAAGGAGGGAGGGAGGAAGTGGGGTGAGGGATGAGAAATACTCAATGGATGCAATATACACTATTTGAGTGATGGTTACACTAAAAGCCCAGACTTCGCCACTAAGCAGTATATCCATGTAGCAACACTGCAGTTGTACCCCTTACATGTATACAAAGGCAAAAACAAAAAAGAAACACAACCTTACAAACCCATTGATTTTAGCCCAGAGAGACCCATTTTGGACTTCTGACTCCAAGAACTGTAAGATAATAATTTTACATTTTTTAGGCCACAGATTTGGTGGTAATTTGTTACAGCAGCAATAAAAAACTAATACATCTATTTTGATTATAAGAGATACCGAGGCTATTTTTTTTCCATAGGTTATTGGGGTACAGGTGGTATTTGGTTACATGAGTAAGTTCTTTAGCAGTGATTTATGAGATTTTGGTACACCCATCACCCAAACAGTATACACTACACCATATTTGTAGTCTTTTATCCCTCAACCCCCTCCCACTCTTTCCCCCCAAGTCCCCAAAGTTCATTGTATCACTCTTATGCCTTTGCGTCCTCATAGCTTAGCTCCCATGTATCAGTGATAACATACGATGTTTGGTTTTCCATTCCTGAGTTACTTCACTTAGAATAATAGTCTCCAATCTCATCTCGGTCACTGCAAATACTGCTAATTAATTCCTTTTTATGGCTGAGTGGTATTCCATCATATATATATTATATATATAAATTATATATTATATATATTATATTATATATTATGTAATTTATATATATTATATATTATGTAATTTATATACATTATATATTATGTAATTTATATATATTATATATTATGTAATTTATATATATTATATATTATATAATTTATATATATTATATATTATGTAATTTATATATATTATATATTATGTAATTTATATATATTATATATTATGTAATTTATATATATTATATATTATGTAATTTATATATATTATATATTATATAATATTATCTATATTTTATATATTATATTATATAATATATTATATATAACATTATATAATATATTTATATATAACATATTATATAATACATAATATATATAACATATATAATTATTATATATGCTATATACTATATCATATATAATTATTATATATGATATATACTATATCATACATAATTATATATACTATATCATATATAATTATATATACTATATCATATATAATTATATATTATATTTATACTATTATTTATTATTATATATTAATTATTAATTATTATCCATTAATTATATATTATATTATATATAATTATAATTATTATATATTATATTATATATAATTATAATTATTTTATATTATATATAATTATAATTATTATATATTATATTATATATAATTATAATTATTATATATTATATTATATATAATTATAATTATTATATATTATATGTTATACATATATGATTATATATAATTATTATATATTATATATTGTACATATATAATTATATATAATTATTATACATTATATATTATACATATATGATTATATGTAATTATTATATATTATATATTATACATATATAATTATATATAATTATATAATATATAATATATAATTATATATAACTATATAATATAAATAAAATAATTATATATATAATTATATATTATATATAAATATATTTATATATATCACACAGTTTCTTTACCCACTTGTTGATTGATGGGCATTTGGGTTGTTTCCACAATTTCACAAATGTGAATTGTGCTGCTATAAACATGCGTGTGCATGTATCTTCTTCGAATAGTGACTTCTTTTCCTCTGGGTAGATATGCAGTAGTGGGATTGCTGGATCAAATGGTAGTTTTACTTTTAGTTCTTTAAGGACTCTCCACACTGTTTTCCATAGTGGCTGTACTAGTTTACATTCCCACCAACAGTGTAGAAGTGTTCCGTGGTCACCGCATCCATGCCAACACATACTGTTTTTTGATTTTTTGATCATGGCCACTCTTGCAGGAGTGAGGTGGTATCGCATTGTGGTTTTGATTTGCATTTCCCTGATCACTAGTGATGTTGAATATTTTTTCATATGTTTGTTGGCCATTTGTATATCTTCTTTTGAGAATTGTCTATTCATGTCTTTAGCCCACTTTTTGATGGGATTGTTGGTTTTTTTCTTACTGATTTGTTTGAGTTTGTTGTAGATTCTGGATATTAGTCCTCTGTCAGATGTATAGATTATGAGGACTTTCTTTCACTCTCTGGGTTGCCTGTTTACTCTGCTGACTGTTCCTTTTGACACGCAAAAGCTCTTTAGTTTAATTAGGTCCCAACTATTTATCTTTGTTTTTATTGCATTTGCTTTTGGGTTCTTGGTCATGAAATCCTTGCCTAAGCCAATGTCAAGAAGGGTTTTTCCAATGTTATTTTCTAGAATTTTTATAGTTTCAGGTTTAAGTCCTTAATCCATCTTGAGTTGATTTTTGTATACGGTGAGAGATGAGGATCCAGTTTCATTCTCTTACATGTGGCTAGCCAATTATCCCAGCACCATTTGTTGAAAAGGGTGTCCTTTCCCCACTTTATGTTTTTGTTTACTTTGTTGAGGTCAGTTGGCTATAAGTATTTGGGCTTATTTCTAGGTTCTCTATTCTGTTCCACTGGTCTATGTGCCTATTTTTATACCAGTACCATACTGTTTTGGTGACTGTGGCCTTATAGTATAGTTTGAAATCAGGTAGTGTGATGCCTCCAGATTTGTTCTTTCGCTTAGTCTTGCTTTGGCTATGCAGTTCTTTCTTGGTTCCATATGAATTTTAGAATTGTTTTTTCTAATTCTGTGAAGAATGATGGTGGTAGTTTGATGGAGATTGCATTGAATTTGTAGATTGCTTTTGGCAGTGTGGTCATTTTCACAATATTGATTCTACCCATCCATGAGCATGGCATGTGTTTCCATTTGTTTGTGTCATCCATGATTTCTTTCAGCAGTGTTTTGTAGTTTTCCTTGTAGAGGTCTTTCAACTCCTTGGTTAGGTATATTCCTAAGTATTTTATTATTATTATTATTATTATTATTATTATTATTATTATTATTATTATTTTGCAGCAATGGTAGAAGGGGTTGAGTTCTTGATTTGATTCTCCGCTTGGTCGCTGTTGGTGTATGGAAGAGCTACTGATTTGTGTACCTTAATCTTGTATCTGGAAACTTTGCTGAATTCTTTTATCAGTTCTAGGAGCTTTTTGGAGGAGTCTTCAGGGTTTTCAAGGTAAACGATCATATCATCAGCAAACAGTGACGGTCTGACTTCCTCCTTACAGATTTGGATGTCCTTGCTTTCTCTTGTCTGATTGCTCTGGCTGGGACTTCCAGTACTATGTTGAAGAGGAGTGGTGACAGTGGACATCCTTGTCTTGTTCCAGTTCTCAGAGGGAATGATTTCAACTTTTCCCCATTCAGTGCTATGTTGGCTGCAGGTTTGCCATACATGGCTTTTATTACATTAAGGTATTTATTAGATACTGAAAGATCCCTTGTATGCCGATTTTGCTGAGAGTTTTAATCATGAAGCGATACTGGATTTTGTTGAATGCTTTTTCTGCATCTATTGAGATGATCATGTGATTTCTCATTTTAATTCTGTTTATGTAGTGTATCACATTTATTGACTTGTGTATGTTAAACATTCCCTGCATCCCTGATATGTGATCCACTTGATCATGGTGGATTACCTTTTTGATATGCTGTTGGGTTTGTTTAGCTAGTATTTTGTTAAGGATTTTAGCATCTATGTTCACCAAGGATATTGGTCTGTAGTTTTCTTTTTAGATTATGTCCCTTCCTGGTTTTGGTATTAGGGTGATGCTGGCTTCATAGAATGAATTAGGGAGGGTTTCTTCTTTCTCTATCTTGTGGAATAGTGTCAAAAGTATTGGTACCAATTCTTCTTTGAATGTCTGGTAGAATTCTGCTGTGAATCTGCCTGGTCCTGGACTTTTTGTTGTTGTTGGTAATTTTTAAATTACCATTTCAATCTCACTGCTTGTTATTGGTCTGTTCAGGGTATCTAATTGTTCCTGATTTAAGCTAGGAGGGTTGTATTTTTCCAATAATTTATCCATCTCTTCTAGGTTTTCTAGTTTATGTGTGTAAAGGTGTTCATAGTAGTCTCGAATGATCTTTTGTATTTCAGTGGTGTCAGTTGTAATATCTCCTGTTTCACTTCTTAGTGAGCTTATTTGGATTTTCTCTCTTCTTTTCTTGGCTAATCTTGCCAATAGTCTATCAATTTTATTTATCTTTTCAAAGAACTAGCTTTTTGTTTCATTTATCTTTTGTATTGTTATTTTGTTTCAATTTCATTTCGTTCTGCTCTAATCTTGGTTATTTCCTTTCTTCTGGGTTTGGGTTTGGTTTGCTCTTGTTTCTCTAGATCCTTGAGGTGTGACCTTAGAATGTCAGTTTGTGCTCTTTCAGTCTTTTTGTTGTAAGCACTTAGGGCACTGCCTTTGCTGTATCCAGAAGTTTTAGTAGGTTGTGTCATTATTGTCGTTCAGTTCAAAGAATTTTTAAGTTTCCATCTTGATTTCATTTTTGAACCAATGATCATTCAGGAGCATGTTATTTAATTTCAATGTATTTGCATGATTTTGAAGGTTCCTTTTTGAGTTGATTTCCAGTTTTAGTCCACTATTAGTTTGTTAAACTAAAACAAGTGGCTGTTAGTTGAGTTTTATTCACTCAACAAATGAGTAGCTGCTCAGGCACTGTTGTGGGGGGTTGGGATATATCAGCAAACAAAACAGGCAAGGATCCCTGCCCTCATGGGGCTTCCATCCTTGTTGGGCATGGGAGGGCAAACAGCAAACAACAAAGAATAAATATAATAAGGTGTTTGTGATATGATAGAAAAGAGAAAAAAGGGTTAGGTGAAAGATCTTTGAAGTACTAGCAGAGGTGGAGAGTATGGTGAGGGTTATAACTTTCATCTCTGAGGTGCTTACTAGCTTTTAAAATCTGATTCTATAGTGTTTATTCACTTAATAATCATTATCATAGCAATTTAATATTAAAATACTTGTCCACAAATATATTTTAAAATTTATCATTTTTTAAGATATCTTTTGAGCATGCAATCTCTCCGGTGCCCTGTGCTCTCAGGGTTTGCAGCACTATTCACAATAACCAATATATGGATTCAACCTAAGTGTCTATCAATTGATAAATGGATAAAGTATGGTACATATACACAATGGAGAGCTATTCAACTATAAAAAATAATGAAATCTTATCATTTGCAGCAACATGGATGGAACTGGATATTACAATGTTAAGTGAAATAAGCCAGGCACAGAAAGACAAATATCATGTTTTCACTCATATGTGGAAGCTAAAAAAGTGGATCGCATGGCAATAAAGAGTAGAATGATAGATACCGGAGGGTAGGAGACTCACCTAACACATAAGGACTCACATAAACCTAAAGTAAAGGGGTGGAAAAAGGCATTTCATGCAAATGGACACCAAAAGCGAGCAGGGGTAGCTATTCTTATATCAGACAAAACAAACTTTAAAACAACAGCAGTTAAAAGAGACAAAGAGGAACATTATACAATGGTAAAAGGCCTTGTCCAACAGGAAAATATCACAATCCTAAGCATATATTCACCTAATACTGGAGCCCCCAAATTTATAAAACAATTACTAATAGACCTAAGAAATTAGATAGATGGCAACACAATAATAATGGGGGACTTCAGTACTCCACTGACAGCACTAGACAGGTCATCAAGACAGAAAGTCAACAAAGAAACAATGGATTTAAACTATACCTTGGAACAAATGGACTTAACAGATAGTTACAGAACATTTCATCCAACAACCACAGAATATACATTCTATTCAACAGCACATAGAACTTTCTCCAAGATAGACCATATGATAGGCCCGAGCCTCAATAAATTTAAGAAAATTGAAACTATATCAAGCACGCTCTGAGACCACAGTGGAATAAAACTGGAAATCAACTCCAAAAGGAACCTTCAAAACCATGGAAATATATGGGAATTAAATAACCTGCTCCTGCATGAGTATTGGGTGAAAAATGAAATCAAGATGGAAATTAAAAAAATCTTTGAACTGAATGACAATAATGACACAACCTACCAAAACCCCTGGGATACAGCAAAGGTGGTGGTAACAGGAAAGTTCATAGCCCTAAACGCCTTCATCAGAAAGACTGAAAGAGCTCAGGCCATTTTTGTGTTAGTATTTGCAGTCTTTTTCTATCTGTTTTGCTCCAAAGCGTTTTTCTTTGTACAAGTGAGAAATCAGTTTCAAATGATGGTTTACACATAGAGGTGATCTTTGCCTTTGACTGACTCTTAGAATTTGACTTGGGTTTACATGTAGAGGTAGGTGATCTTCGGTCACTCTTTAAATCCACTCTATGGATTTGCCTATTCTGCAATAAATGGAATCCATATGATATATGGCTTTTTGTGTCAGTATTCTGTTTTCAGGGTTCATCCATGTTATAGCATGTATCAGTACTTCATTCCTTTTTATAACTGAATACTATTCCCTTATATGAATATACCATATTTTGATTATCCATTCACCAGTTCATGGACATTTGAGTTGCTTCCACATTATGGCTATTATGAATAATGCTGCTATGAACATCTATGTACATGTTTTGTGGGGATATATGTTTTCAATTCTCTTCAATTGCTAGCTTCAATTACTGTAGCTATGAGTAGAATTGCCAGGTCACATGGCAGTTCTATGTTTAACTTTTTGAGGAACCGCCAATTGTTTTCCAAAGTGGCTGCATCATTTTACATTCCAACCCCTATGTGTGAGAGTTGTAATTTCTCTACATCTACAATAACACTTCTTAATGTTTACCTTGGATTATAGATATCTTTCAGAGGGTAAAGTGGTATCTTATTATGGTTTTGATTTGTATTTCCCTAATGGCTAACTATGTAGATCATCTTTTCATGTTCTTCTTGGCTATTTGTGTACTTTCTTTTAAAATTCTATGTCTATTTAAATTCTTTGCCCAATTTTTATTGGATTATTTGTCTTTTAATTTTGAGTTGTAGGAGTTCTTTATATATTCTGGATGCTAGAGACTTAACAGATATATGACAGGCAAATGTTGTTTTCCCATTCTGTTGGTTGTCTTCTCGCCTTTTTGATAGTGTCTTTTGAACATAAAAGTTTTAAATTTTGATGAAGTCCAATTTATCTATTTTTTTCTTTGGTTGCTTATAGTTTAGGTATCATGTCTAAGAGACCATTGCCTAAAAGGCCATTGCCTAATCCAGGATTACAAAGATTTATACTTATGTTTTCTTCTGAGAGTTTATAGCTTTTGCTCTTACAGTATAAGTCTTTGATCCATTTTGAGTTTTTTTTTAATATTGTATGTGATAGGGATCCAACTCTATTCTTTTCCATGTGGATATCCAGTTTTTCCAGCACCATTTATCCAGTTTTTCCAGCACCACTGCTGAAGACACTACTCCTCTCTTATTGTCTGACATTGTCACCTTTGTCAAAAATAAGTTGATCATAGATGTATGGGCTTATTTAGTCCGTTGATCTATATGTCTGTCCTTATGTCAGTACCTTATGTCAATAGGTAACTTTGTAGTAAGTTTAGAAGTGGAAAATGTGAGTCCTCCAAATTTGTTTTTCTATTTCAAGATTGTTTTGACTATTTTGGGTCCCCTAACACTTCCATATGAATTTAGGGTCAGCTTGTCATTTTTGCAAAAAACAAAAAAAGTGAGGCTGGAATTTTGATAGGGATTCTACTGAATCTGTATTTCAATTAGCGGAATATTGCCATCCTAAAAATATTAATTCTTTTAATCCTTAAAAATGAGATATCAGCCGGGCGCGGTGGCTCACGCCTGTAATCCCAGCACTTTGGGAGGCCGAGGCCGGCGGATCACGAGATCAGGAGATCAAGACCATCCTGGCTAACACAGTGAAACCCCATCTCTAATAAAAAAAAAAAAAAAAAAAAAATTAGCCGGGCATGGTGGTGGGCGTCTGTAGTCCCAGCTGCTCGGGAGGCTGAGGCAGGAGAATGGCGTGAACCCAGGAGGCGGAGCTTGCAGTGAGCCAAGATCATGCCACTGCACTCCAGCCTGGGCAACAGTGCAAGACTCTGTCTCAAAAAAAAAATGAGGGCCGGGCGCGGTGGCTCACGCCTGTAATCCCAGCACTTTGGGAGGCCGAGGCGGGCGGATCACGAGGTCAGGAGATCGAGACCATCCTGGCTAACACGGTGAAACCCCGTCTCTACTAAAAATACAAAAATTTAGCCGGGCGTGGTAGCGGGCGCCTGTAGTCCCAGCTACTCGGGAGGCTGAGGCAGGAGAATGGCGTGAACCCGGGAGGCGGAGCTTACAGTGAGCCGAGATCGCGCCACTGCACTCCAGCCTGGGCCACAGAGCGAGACTCCGTCTCAAAAAAAAAAAAAAAATGAGATATCTTGGCCAGGCATGATGGCTCGTGCCTGTAATACCAGCACTTTGGGAGGGCCAAGGCAGGAGGATCACTTAAGCCCGGAAGATGGAGACCAGTCCTGGCAACATAGCAAGACCCCATCACTACAAGAAATAGAAAGCTAACTGAGCATGGTAGCCCGTGCCTATAGGAGGCTGAGCTGGGAGGATCGCTTGAGCCTGGGGGCTGAGGCTGCAGTGAGCCATGATCATGACACTGCACTCCAGCCTGGATGACAGAGTGAGACCTTGTCTCAAAAAAAAAAAAAAAAGTCTTTTACCATTTATTTAGGTCTTTAATTTCTTTCAGCCATGGTTTATAATTTTCAGTGTGTACGTCTTGCAGTTCTTTTGGCAAATTTATTTCTGAGTGTTTTATTTTTGTTGAAACTATTGTGAATGGAATTATTTCATCTCATTCCTTGGTTGTGTTAATTCTACTGTTGAGTACATCAAAGGTCTTCATCTCTGTTCCTGTTTTTCATTTCTACCATTTCCATTTGATTCTTTCTTTTTTTATTTCAATAGGTTTTTGGGGAACAGGTGGTGTTTTGTTACATGAAAAAGTTCTTTAGTGGTGATTTCTGAGATTTTGGTGCACCCATCACCTGAGCAGTGTACACTGGACCCAACGTGTAGTCTTTTATCTTTCACTCCACTCCCACCCTTTCCCTCAAGTCCCCAAAGTCCATTGTATCATTCTTATACCTTCATGTCCTCATAGCTTAGCTCCCATTTATGAGTGAGAACATGTGAAGTTTCTTTTTTCATTCCTAAACTACCAGCAATCCCACTCCTCAGTATCTACCCAGAGGAAAAGAAGTCATTATATGAAAAAGATACTTGTACATACATGTTTATAGCAGCACAATTTGCAACTGCAAAACTATGGAACCAGCCCAAATGCCCATCAATCCATGAGTGGATAAAGAAAATGTGGTACATATATACCATGGAATACTACTTAGTCATAAAAAGGAACAATAAAATGGCATTTGCAGCAACCTGGGTGGAATTGGAGATAATTTGATTCTTTCTTACAATTTATACTTTGCTGGATTTTAAGCTCTGTCAAGAATACAGGTAGTCAACAAATCTTTGGACTCTTTCTGTCATGATCACTAAGGTACCCCAAGCACATAGCCCATTGTCTCGTAAGTACGCAATGAATAAATATTGACTTGAATGCAGTAGAAATTTGAGTTTTTCTTATAACCTTACAGAACCTGGAGGAACCCAGGGTCAATCCTAAGGAGTCTTGACCTTTTCTGGAATGGGGAAGGCAGACTAAATTAGGGCTTCTTAACCATCCATAGGGAAGAACCAATTGAAAACTAACACAGGAATAGAAAACTAAATACCATATGTTTTCACTTATAAGTGGGAGCTAAATGATGAGAACACATGAACACATAGAGGGGAACAACACACACTGGGGCCTATCAGAGGGTGATGGGTGGGAGGAGGGAGAGCATCAGGAAAAATAACTAATGGGTACTAGACTTAATATCTGGATGATGAAATAATCTGTACAAGCCCCTATGACACAGTTTACCTATGTAACAAACCTGCACATGTACCCCTGAACTTAAAACAAAAGTTTAAAATTTTTTTCTAATCATCACAAATGCTTTTCAAAATAAAATAAAAATAAATTACTATAAAAATGAAAAAGATATACAAAATACAAACTCATCTTTTAATTATTCAACAGACATAAAAGTATTCTGTCAAATTGCTATATACACGTATCAAAGCTTATTTTCAATTTCTATGCCTGCCTTATTATACTGGAAACCAATATTTTTGTGTACTGGCACCAGTCTGTGGACCACACTTTGAGTAGCACTGGGTTGAGTAATCTCTGGGGTCTACAGTGTGGATTGCCTTCTCACAAGCATTCCAGGACACTGAGTCAGGTAGTTAAGGACAGATAAGACCAACAGCATCCTACAGAGTTCAAGTTACTAAATTCCAGAGTGTACTGGGAGTTCATCTAGAAAGCAGTACTGTTGAACAGAAAGCTTACAATTTCCATATGGGCCAACATGTTATGCATTACTGACTGGGGCATCTGGGAGAAAACCAGAGCTCACACAGGTGTCTTAACTAGAGCACTCATATTAACAACATGCATTTTTGCTTGTACTAATATATTAGGGGAAACACTGTTTTGCATTATGTGAAACCTACTACATAGAGCTAAAATTCAAATTAACAGCTGCTATTCCAGAGCAAATTCACCCACCCAAAATGTCTTTGCCTCAATTTTCACACATTTCCTTTATTAAGTATCACACTTCAAAGTCATTCAGTGTTTTATTATTATTTTCCAGGATAAATTTCCTCTCCTTTCTCTTTTGTTTTTTTCTTCTTGCTTGATGGATATTAGAAGCTTAATCGCAGAACATACTTGCAGCATCAACTCGGTGTGACTTGTGGCACTAGATGCAAACACAGACACCAAAAAGCATTTTAAAATGCATTGCACTTCCAGGGAGAAGTACTTCATAAAGGGAAAAGAGAGGCATTTTTACTCCAGGGTGCACAATGACCCCTTCTCAATCAGGCAAGGCACATGGAAGCCCAGCTGTCTTGAGAGGAGGCAGATAGAGCCCCTTTATCCTTGAATGACTCCAAGTACCAGTGTTTGTTAATAATTGTCAACAATGTTTGGCTTTGTTTTTTCAATATTTTTAATTTTTATCTTAGAACCAGAAATATCTTTTTCTCTTCACTTCTGGGTCATGACTGTGCAAAATACTGGGGAAAATATTCATAAAATAGGTAATAAAATTTTCCTAATGGGAAGAAATGTACTTGGAGTCTACAGTGCTGACTTAAGAAACATGTTGTTGAAGAATAGGGCAAAATTCTGGCCGGGCGCGGTGGCTCACACCTGTAATCCCAGCACTTTAGGAGGCCGAGGCGGGTGGATCACTTAAGGTCAGGAGTTTGAGACCAGCCTGGCCAACATGGTGAAACACCATCTCTATGAAAAATACAAAAATTACCCAGGTGTAGTGGCACATGTCTGGAAATCCCAGCTACTCAGGAGGCTGAGGCATGAGAATTGCTTGAACCCAGGAGGTGGATGTTGCAGTGAGCTGAGATCACGCCACTGCACTCCAGCCTGGGCAACAGAGCAAGACTCCATCTCAAAAAATAAAATAAATAAAATAAAATAAAATAAAATAAAATATAAAAAAAATCTTATGGATTGAATTGTGACCCCTACTCCTTAAATTCATGTTGAAGTCCTAATCCCTAGTACCTCAGAAATGTGATTTTATTTGGAGATAGGGTCTTTATAGAGGTAATCAAGGTAAAATAAGGTCATTAGGGTGGGCCCTAAGTGAATATGACTGTTGTCCTTATAAAACAGGGATATTGGGACCCAGATACAGAAGCACATAGAGGGAACAAATGCTAGGTGCTGTGGAAAAATCAGCTATTAATATAGATGTGTCCCTGTCCTTCAGAGAACTTCCAGTCTGCTTTTGGGGACTGAAATGAAAACTTTGCTGCAGTGAACGGACCAAACTCTGGCCTTTTATTAAAGATTCACTTATTCATTCATCTATTCATTCAACAATTCATTCCTTCAGTACCAACTCTGTGGCATGCACTGGGGATAGAATGGTAAATAAGGCCCCTCTATCCTCTCCCCTCTAGGGGAGACAGACAGTAAACAAACAATGATGAGAGACCAGGAGGGATACACAAAGGATGGATACTTTGTGCAGGTTGGGGCAGCAGGGAAAGGTGGTGGGTGGGGCATTGAAGGCCAAGTTGGGACCAGAAGGATAAGTAGGAGTTCACCAAGTAAAAGGGGGATGGGAATTACAGGCAGAGGCGGGGGTTTGGGAGGTGGTTGTCAAGGCTTTCTCTCAACATTTGGTTGCAATATGGGCAATCTGGTTTCCTGGGACACCAGCCTGCCTGAGTGGGAAGAGCCCTTAGAAACTCTGGTTTTTAGAGGAAGTCTGAAGCCATGCAGATGTGATAATGCATGAAGTATTTGAAGAACATACATGTCATCTAATCTGGCTGGTTCTGGGATGTTGGGAGCAGAAAAGAGGAATGTGAGTGTGTGTGTGTCTTCTTCTGTCTTAGGGAGATGACTTGGTATTGAGTTTGGAAAGGCAAATTGTAAAAGGCTTGCCAAGACTTGAATGTCAAGTTAACAAGTTCAGGCCTTATCCTGAAGGTTGTAGGGGGATAGTTCTTTGAAAGGACAGACATGTATTTTAGAAAGGGAAAGCTGACTATATCTAGAGTATGAATGGATTGTCCAACTAGTTTAAACTTTGTGTTCTCTTCTGGAACATACGCTCCATGGGAGGAGGAACTGGGTGTGTTTTGCTTATCATTGAATCCTCAGCACAGTGCCTAGCATGTACTAGAGCCTCACTAAATACTGTTTGAATAAATGAATGAGTGAAGTTGCTGAAAGTGTTCAGACAAGAGATGGTACAAGGTTGAACTATGCAATGATGAGTGTTTCATGTGATATTAAGGATATAAAATCAATGGAACCAGACAATCAAAATGGACGTACACTGCTTAGTGCTGGATAAGCATTCAGTAAGTAGTAGCCACTATTAGCTTTGTATCCATGGTGAAATCTAAGCTAAGGTTTCTGGCTTGGGGTTCTAGGAACATGTTGGTCCTCAGTACTCACCAACAGTGTGGGAGTGGGTGAGCACGGAAAGGAAGATAATGAATTTAGTTAGACAATGAATTCGAGGAACTGTGGAGATTATTGGCAGTGATGATCCAGGAGGCACTGTAAACAATCCTTAGGTATTCTGTCCTACTATTAGCAGGGTACCATGTGGCAACCAAGGCCAAACAACATAAATGCAAATGCCACTATCATCCTGAAGGCTTGGATTTAATTTGGGTCCTGGGCAGTGTGGCTCTCAGGAGCCTATGGTCAGGAGAGGCTCTCCATAGGGTTAGGGTTAGGATAGATGAACTTGCTGAGATTTGGGGGAGTTTGAGAATTTTTTTGACTCGAGCTTGGAAAACAGAGAATGATGATGAGGATGAACAGTCAGTGTCATCAAGAAGAGGTCTACTGAGTAGGCTTACTTATGGTCCAGGTTCAGCAGATTGACGTCCTGCCTCTTCTAGCTCTCAGGACATGAGGAAGAACAGGTACATGACACCTAGGTCTCCTTTTGCTCTTTGAAATAGCTGAAGATTTTTTAACAACTGCAAATATCTAGATTGGATTTCAATCTGATGGTGAGCAAATAGTTGAGTCCAGTCAAATTATGTCTTCTTTCTTCCTGGCCAGCTGGCTCCCCCTGGTCACTATTCCCCTTCTCACCCCTAGCAGGCCCCACCTGCCAACCCACCTGCCCAGCTGCCTGCCTGCCTGCCTGTATGTCTTCCCACCCACCTGGCTGACTGGCTGCACAGGCTCTCAAGTGCCCTCAGGCTGCTTCAATTCCAGTTGGCATTGGCTGCCTAGACCACAAAAAGGATTCTTCTTGTAGTAATTTACTTTCAGTCTCCCAGTGAAAAGAAAAGTCACCCAGTAAAGATAATGTTGTCAATGTAGCCAATTCTGCTCTTCATAGTTCCTGGGGATTTAGTGAGAATGGATGGTGTTTTAAGAATCACCCAACTGTTTGAGCCCAGGATGGACGGCCTGTTCCCCTGGGGCCTCTGTGAAGCCCACTCTGGGGAAGAGATGAGGTAATCTAACTGGGAAAGAGGATGGCCAGGCTGGGCAATGCAACCCTCCTCTCCATCGGATACTGATTTTATTTTCCACCTATCAAGCATATTTCCACCGTTTGCCATTGGGTAGTCAACAGTGGAGAGACCCAGACTTTTCCCAAGCCGTGGAGGTTGGCTGGGCATGTGAGCACCCTACTCTGATTTTGGGCACACAAGGTAGGTGTACCATTAGTGGTCATGACCAAACTGAATCCTACTCTTAAATCAAGTGCTGGGCTCACTTATTAGCTCCTGTCCTTAGATTTTTCTGGGAAGATGTCTTTGCTCAGCTTTTAGCAAAATACTGCCGGGGAAGTTTGAAGTGTGACTGGTACCTCTTCTGGCTAGCTGCTCACACTGAATTCTGTGGAGGAATCCTTGAGCCTGGAGATATCTTAGCTCTTGTTCTCATTTATCTCATCGGATAAAATTTACATTGACTACATTACATTTTTAAGGTAGTTTGGCTGCCACTACCTCATTAAAGTGCACAATAATCCGGTGACAGCCACACAGAGCAAGAACTGTCACCCCACTTTATGAAGGAGGAAGCTTAAGCTTAGAGAGGTGAAACAAGTGGCTCCAGGTGAAACAGCTCAGAACTGCCTGAACTGAGACCTGAACTTAGATTGTTTACTTCCCAGGTCAGTACTTCTTTCATTCCCTCACACTAGCAGGCACTTAGTCTATAGGGGATCATGTGAAGCTAGCAGACAAATGACATTCACAAGCGTCATAATGGGGGAGGGTGGCAGCTGAACTAGGCTTGATGTTTTGCTGTGCTGCATTGCAACTTTGCCCAAGTGGTATGGGGTCAGGCTGCTTTGATTTTTAGTTCTTCAAGAGGTTCTCTTCTGTATAATATTGGTGCCTACTACAGATCGGCTAGCCCACAAGCATGCACTCTAGTCTTGGAAATTCAAATCAGAGTACTTTGATTTTCACAAAGAAAAACTGATTTATTTTATATCTAGAGTTATAGAATTTCAGAGCTGGAAAGTAATTTAGATTATTAATCCAATTGCCTCAATCAATGGGCTAGGAAACTGAGGCTCAGAGGAGAGTAAACTAGTCACGGACACAGCTAGTTAATAGCAGAAATGATCTGTAGGGGTCATGACCTCTCTTTAGTTTTCAGAAGGTTTTCCTTGTCAATCTTCATCATTGGGAGTAGGACCCACAGTAGATCTGGGTGGGCTCTGAGGAAGCTGCCCATTCTATTTACTTTTTTACTCTGGGATTCTTTGGACTTAGCTGCATGCAAGTGAGATGGCTACTGATGAATCAGAGGGAGGCTTTAGGATAGGGTGGGGGAAGAAGACTGTTAGTAAAGCTCATGGAGTCAGATCAGACTAGGCAGGAAGCCGGGACCCACCAATTAGGTGCTTTGTGACTTTGGACAAGTGACAACCACAGTTGTGACTCTGATCCCTCCCTTATCTATAAGATGAGCATAATACCCACTATTGGCAATAACAAATTAGGGAACAGCGTATTTATATCTATATATATACACACATATGCACAGATATGTGTGTCTATCAAAATACATATTGATAGATAGATAATGCATAGAGAGACATTCCTGTTTACAAATGGACAGCCCACAAAGTTCATGAGACCAGATCACTGTTGTCATTGTTACCATCATCCTCCATTTCGCAAATAGCACCAGAAATCAGGCAGCATTAGCATCAGTACTGAAATCCAGCTATGGGCTGGGTCTGTACAAATATAATATGGTTAACCGTCAGGGCTGTTAGAAGGACTAAGTGAAGAAAATACAAAAACATACATGTCTCAGAATTTGGCACAGAGGAGACCTTCAGAAAAGTGTGGTGAGCCAGACATTTGTGGAATGAACTGAAGAAAGTGCTGAGTGCAGCAGACAGTCCTCTCAGTGGCCAGTAACACTCATGTGCTCAGATTAGTAGAACAGGGGTATTGTACTGGTGTTTGTGGAAAGCCCCATAATCTTCATAACTGTGGGTCTCTGGGCTTATATCTAAGGTCTACAATGATTGGTGAGTAGAGCTAAGAGGTAATAGCACTCAAGTCAAGGGTTCTGCAGTGGCAACTAGTTGAACATGGCTGACAAGTATGGGCACAGATGTGGCCTGTTTCTATTTTCCTCCTATGACTTGGCAACTTATTTGACTGAAACTAGGAGCACAGGTGGCACTGGGACCGACTGGAATCTTCCTGGGTTCTGTGTCCTCAGATTGGTAGATGACCATAGTAGTTACATAATGGTGGAACAACAGAATTCCAATAGCTCAGGGGCAGGAAGGATGAAAGTAGCCAAAGCTCTCAGTGCTGTAGACAAAATAGCCTAAAGCTTCTGTGAAGTCACCTGCCTGTGGAGGAATCAACCAGACCTAGCTGGAGTCTCAGAACTGGGGTGTGTTGTATCACTTATGAAGTGAGTGCTGCCTCTGCCACAAAGTTCCTAGCCAAGGGCCTGGCACAGAGAAGGTGCTTAGGAAATATTTGGTGAATGAATCCAATTGGAGATCCATGGGTTATTGAGGACCCCGAAAAGCTTTTGTTTATGTGGGTTATATCACTACTTAACATTATAAAAATTAAAACAAAATTTAAATGTATTTCTTTATTCACTTAGAAATAAAATTTTAATGAAAATAATTATATTTTCCAGAACAAAAGTAGTGGGAAGAGTGGTATTGTTTTATGTATTTGCAAATCTCTAACATCTGGCTTAATAAAGACAACTGGAGTTTTCTACCTGTTTCACCTTCAATATATTGTGCTATCACATGTCATGTAGCCTCTTGAAAACTCCACTAGTACCTTCCTGAAAGAAAAAATTCCAAATAATGAATTAGTGTTATGAAAATTGTCTTGATCTAGTGAACCTCCTTAAAAGGGTACAGACACCCCCAACAGTCTGCAGAACTGCTCCTTTAGGGCATAGATCTAGGAGTATAATCTCTGGGTCATTGGGTATACACATTTTTTACCTTTAATATTACCTAAATATTTCCAAATCACTCTCCAAAGTGGCCGTACCAACTTACACAATCTGCAGCAGTATTTGAGAATTCCAGTTTCTCACCTCTGAGTCAATTTGGTATTATCAGACTTTTAAAAGTTTGCCAATCTGAGGGGTATGTTTTTAATTTGCATTTCCCTGCCTACTAGTGAGGTTGAACAACTTTTCATAAGTTTATTCAGGTTCCCTCTTCTGTGAATTCCGTTTCTACTTTTTGCACAGCTTTTAATATATATGTTTATTTCAGTATTGATTTATAGGAGTTCTTCATAAATTCTGCATACTAATCCATTGTGAGGAATAAGTGTCCTAAATACCTCTTCAATTACATTGCTTTTATTTCCCCTGATGTCCTCTGATGCACGACAATTTTTAATTTTAATGTAATCAAAATAATCAATTTTTATGCATTATTCTTTTTGAGTTTTACTTATGTAATTTTTTTTGTGCCCAGAAGTCATAAAAAATATTCTTATAAAATTTCTTCTGAGTTTTAAAGATTTTATTTTTATAATTAGTTTTTTTATCTGCCTGAAAATTGACAAAGATTTTGGTAAGATGTTAGGGAAAGATGTGCTTTTACGTTTTTATCTTTTTATAGAAAGATAACCATTCATCCAAGGATTATATACTGAATGTGCTGTCTTTTTCCCTACTCATTTCCATATATGTGAGGAGCTGTTTCTAGAGTCTCTGTTTTGTTTCATTTGTAATGAGTTCTCTTGCATTGTTTTTCTTCTTCAAAATATTTTGATTATTCTTAACACTTTACTCTTAAAAATTTTTATGAGCCACATAATACATACAAAAGGGTATATAAATTATTTGTGTACAGTTTAAATTATAAAATGGACAGATAGCTAGTCCCTTGGAAATCCCTATAAACTTCTACCATATCACATCACTCTTCATCTCTCAAACTACAAGCTAGCTATCCTTAATGTTAGGTTAAATCATTTATCTGCTTTTCTTTATACCCTTACCAACTGTTGATGTTGTTTAGGGTTGTCTGTTCTTTAATCTTATATAAATGGAGCCATATTATATTTTCTCTTGTGACTTGCTTCTTTTGCTGTTCATTATGCTCCTGAGATTCAGCTTTGTGAGATGCCTATGATTATAGCTCATTCATTTTCACTGCTGTCAAACTATTGTGTATTCTACTACTAATGGGCATTTGGGTCATTGTTTCCAGTTTACGCACATTGCAAACACTACTTCTGTGACTCTAGATGAACATATGAAAGAATTTCTCCAAACTAAGGAATATATGGATGGATAACCTGCAAACAATGGCCCAAGTGCCTATTAGTAGTAGTAGACTATTAAATGCAGGTCACTTTGTATAGCTCCTGATATTAAAGGGAATGATTTTGAATTTTCATCATTAATGATAATATTGCTATGTTTTATTTTCCTTTTTTAGATGCCATTTATCAAATTAAAGACGTTTTATTCTATTCCTAGTTTTCCAAGATTTTATATCATGAATCAATTTAAAATTTTGTTGAGCGTTGCTCATACATCTTTTTAGATGTTTAGATTATATGGATTATCTGTGTTACTGAAGTGAATTACGTTATTTGATTTTCTAACCTTGAATGCTGGGCTAAACTTTACTGGGCCATATTTTGCTTAGGATGTTTACACCTCTGTTCACGAGGGATATTCATCAGTAGTTTTCCTTATTATGTCTGTCGGGTGTTGGTATCAGAGTACAGCTGGCCTCATAGAATATGTTGGGACTTACTTCATCCTGTTCAATTTTGTGAAATCATTTGTGCAGAATTGGAATTACACCTTCTTTTATGTTTAGGTCGAATTCTCCAGGTAAGGTATCTGGGCCTGTAGTTTTCTTTGTGGGAAGGTTTTAAGGTTGAATTCAAATTTAAAAAAATATATATCCAAGTTGTCTATATACCTACCTGGCTATTATATCAGGTATATATTATATATCAGATATATCTATATATTATCTATATTATATATCAGGATATATATATATATATATATATATGTTTATTCAGATTATCTTTTTTATATCTGTAGATTCTGGAGTGATGTCCCTTCTGTTATTCCTGATATTGGTGATTTGCGTCTTCTTTTTTTCCTGATCAGTATGGCTAGGTTTATCAATTACACTGATGTTCTCAAAAACTAGCTTTTGAATTTTTATTAGTTGTCTCTATTGCTTTTGTGGTTTTCATTTTATTTATTTCCACTCTGGTTTTTTATTATTTCCTTCCTTAGCTTACTTTTGGTTTTATTTACTCTCCTTTTTCTGGTTGTTTAGTGTAGAACTTAAGAAACTTCTAATACAGATCTTTAGTTGTATTAATTTCCCTCTGAATATTGCTTTATTGCCATCTCATAAATTTTGCTATAATGTATTTACATTTCTTCCTTTTATTTAGACAATTATCTTTTGAAAGGATTTAAATAATTTGAGAATGATGTGCATTTATGCACATAATTACTATTTCTAGTGCTCTTCATTTCTGCGTGTAGATCCATATTTGCAACTGGTATCATTTTCCTTCAGTCTAAAGGATGTCCTTTACTATTCCTTATGATGTTCTTTTGACTTTTGTATGTCTGAAGAGCTCTTTATTTTACCCTTGTTTTTGAAAGAAATTTTCACTGGATACAGAATTATAGGATGACAGTTATGTTTTTTACTCAAGACTTTATGTTTAAAGCATCACTGATGTCTTGTTTCCAATGAGAAATCTGTTGCCTTTGTTTTTCTTTATTGTATTTTCTTTTTTTTTTTTCCTTTATTTTCTTCCTCTGTACATAACATGTCTTTTTTGTCCTCTGGCTGCATTTAGGATTTTTGTCTTTATCAGTTGCTTTGAGCAACCTGGTTCTGATTTGTGTGGGTATAGTTTTCTTCATGTTTCTTGAACTTGGGCTCCGTTGAGCTTCTTGGTTCTATGGGTGTATAGTTTCATCAAATTTGGAAAATTTTTGGTCATTATCCCCTCAAATATTTTTTCTGTTCCCTCCATCTTCTGTGGACTCCATTTCACATATATTAGGCTGCTTGAAGTTGTCTCAGAGTTCACTGGTTCTGTGTTCTTTTTCTTTTCTTTCTTTTAGTCCTTTTTTCTCTGTGTTTTAGTTTTGGATAGTATTTATTCCTATGTCTTTCAATCTTCTGCAATTTCTACTCTGCCATCAATTTCATTCAGTGTGTTTTTCGTCTCTGACACTGTAGTTTTCATCTCTAGAAATTCAACTTAGGTCTTCTTTTATATCTGACATGTCATTACACAATGTGTTCATTCTTATCTGTACCTTTTTGAATATATAGAATACTGTTGTAATAACTGTTTTATTCTCTTTGTCTGATAATTTTAACATCTGTTTCATTTTGGGGTTGGATTTGGTTAATTTTTCTCCTCATTCTGAGTCTTTTATTTTTTATTACTTCTTTGCATGTCTGGTAATATTTCATTAGATGCCCTGCATAGTGTGTTTTATCTTGTTGTGTGCTGCATATTTTTTTAAAAACAGCTTATTGAAGTATAATTCACATACCATATAATTCATCCATTTAAAGTATGCAATTAAATGGTTTTTAGTCTATTCACAGATATGTGCTACATAACCATAGTCAATTTTAGTACATTTTCATCACCGTAAAAAGAAGCCTTATATCCTTTAGCTATCACCTCCTATCTTCCCATTACTACTCCCCTTCCCCCCAGGCCATAAGCAACTACTAATCTACTTTCTGTCTCCATAGACTTACCATTCTGTGCTTTCAAATGACTGGAATCGCATACTGTGTGGATTTTTGTGACTGGCTTCTTTCACTTACTATTAGTATATTTCATTATATAGATATAACATATTTTGTTTATCCATTCATCCATTGGGTTGTTTTCACCTTTTGGCTACTATAAATAATGCCACTGTAAACATTCCTGTACAAGTTTTTGTTTGAGTATATATTTTCATTTCTCCTGGGTATGTACCTAGGAATACAATTACTGGGTCATATAGTAACTCTATGGTTAATTGTTTGAGGAACTGCCAGACTGTTTTTCAAAGTGGCTCCCCATTTTCTATTAACATCTGCAGTATGTGAGGGTTCTGATTTCTCTGCGTTCTTGCCTATAACATTCTTGTTATTCTCTGACATTTATTCTAACTATCCTAGTCGGTAGGAAGTGGTATCTCATTGTGGCTGTGATGTACATTTCCTTGATGACCAATGACGCCAAACATCCTTTTATGTGATTATTAGTCATTTGCATATCTTCCTTGGAGAAATGTCTATTCAGATCATTTGTCTAGTTTTAAATTGTGCTGTATGTCTTTGTAAAAGTTATTTATGTGTTCTAGATATAAGTCCTTTACCAGTATATAATTTACAAATATTTGCTCCCATTCTGTGAGTTACCCTTCCATTTTCTTGATTGTATTTTTTGAAGCAAAAAAGTTTTTAATTGTAATGAAATCCAATTAATCTATATATTTTTGTTGTTAATGCTTTTGTTGTTGTATTAGTCCATTCTCACACTGCTATAAAGATACTGCCTGAGACTGGGTAATTTACAAAGAAGGGACGTTTAATTGATTCACAGTTTCCCATCGCTGGGGAGGCCTCAGGAAACTTACAATCATGGCAGCAGGCAAGACAGAGCAAAAGAGCGAGGAAGTGCCACACTTAAAACCACCAGCTTTCATGAGAACTCCCTCACTATCATGAGAACAGCATGGGGGAAACTACCCCCATGATCCAATCACCTCCCACCAGGTCCCTCCCTCGAAACATGGGGATTACAATTTGAGATGAGATTTGTAATCTCAAACTACAGCCAAACCATATTATTCTACCCCTGGCCCATGTCATTTTCACATTACAAAGCTAATCATGCCTTCCCAACAGTCCCTCAACCTCTTAACTCATTCCAGCATTATCTCAAAAGTCCAAGTCCAAAGTCTTATCTGAGACAAGGCAAGTCTCTTCTGTCTATGAGCCTATAAAATCAAAAGCAAATTAGTTACTTCCAAGATACAATGGGGGTTCAGGCGTTGGGTAAATGTTCCCATTCCAAGTGGGAGAAATTGGCCAAAACAAAGGGGCCATAGGCCCCATGCAAGTCCAAAACCCAGCCAGGCAGTCATTAAATCTTAAAGCTCCAAAATCTCCTTTGACTCCATCCAGAGCACACTGATACAAGGGGTGGGCTCCCAAGGCCTTGGGCAGCTCCACCCTTGTGGCTTTGGAGGGTACAGACCCTGCAGCTGCTTTCATGGGCTGGTGTTGAGTGCCTGGAGCTTTTCCAGGTGCACGGTACAAGCTATCGTTGGATCTACCATTCTGGGGTCCTGAGGATTGTGGCCCTCTTTTCACAGCTCCGCTAGGCAGTTCCCCAGTGGGGACTCTGTTTGGGGGCTCCGATTCCACATTTCCTTTCTGCACTGCCCTAGTAGATGTTCTCCATGAGGAGCCCCTGCAGCAGAACATCTGCCTGGACATCCAGGTGTTTCCATACATCCTCTAAAATCTAGGCGGAGGTTCCCAAACCTCAACTCTTGACTTCTGTGCACCTGCAGGGCCAACACCACGTGGAAGCTGCCAAGGCTCAGGGCTTGCAACCTCTGAAGCCACAGCCCAAGCTGTACCTTGGTCCCTTTTAAGCACAGCTATAGCTGGAATGGCTGGGATGCAGGGCACCATGTCTTGAAGCTGCATATAGCAACTATTTTTCCCTCCTAGGCCTCTGGGCCTGTTATGGGAGGCACTGTCTTGAAAATCTGTGAAATGCTGTGGAGATATTTTCTCCATTGTCTTGGCTATTAATATTTGGCTCTTTGTTACTTATGCAAATTTCTGCAGCTGGCTTGAATTTCTCCCCAGAAAATGGGTTTTTATTTTCTACCACATGGGCAGGCTGCAAATTTTTCAAACTTTTACACTCTGCTTCCCCTTTAAACATAAGTTCGAATTTCAAACAATCTCTTTGTGAGTATATATAACTGTACACTTTCAGGAAAAAAACAGGTCACCCCTTGAATGCTTTGCTGCTTAGAAATTTCTTCTGCCAGAAACCCTAAATCATCTCTCTCACCTTCAAAGTTTCACAGATTTCTAGGGCAGGGGCAAAACGTTGCCAGTATCTTTGCTAAAGAATAGTATGAGTGGCCTTGGCTCCAGTTCCCATTAAGTTACTAATCTCCATCTGAGACCACCTCGGCCTGGACTTCATTGTCCCTATCACTATCAGTATTTTGGTTACAACCATTCAACAAGTCTCTAGGAAGTTCCAACTTTCACTCCTCTTCCTGTCTTTTTCTGATCCCTGCAAACTCTTCCAACCTCTGCCAGTTACCCATTTCCACAGTCACTCCCACATTTTCAGGTTATATTTATAGCAGTACCCCACTACTTCGGTACCAATTCTCTGTGTTAGTCTGTTCTTACACTGCTGTAAGGATATACCTGAGACTGGGTAATTTATAAAGAAAGTACGTTTAATTGACTCACAGTTCCTCATGGCTGGGGAGGCCTCAGGAAATTCACAATCTTGGTGGCAGCGAGAGAGAGTGAAAGAGTGAGGAAGTGCCACACTTGAAACCATCAGCTCTCATGAGAACTTCCTCACTATTATGAGAATGGCATGGGGGAAACTGCCCCCCATGATCCAGTCACTTCCCACCAGGTCCCTCCCTCGACAGATGGGGATTATAATTCGAGATGAGATTTGGGTGGGGACACAGAGCCAAACCATATCAGGTGTCATACCTAAAACTGCTTTGCCAAATAAATCCAAGATCATGAAGATTTACCTGTATGTTTTCTTGTACATATTTTATATTTTTAGCTCTTACATTTAGGCTTTTGATCCATTTTGAATTAAACACGTTTTATATGGTATGAAGTAAGTATACAACTTCATTCTTTTGCACGTGGCTATCCAGTTGTCTGAGCAACATTTGTTGAAAATACTATTGTTTCCCTACTGGATAATTTTGGCACCATTGTTGAAAATCAGTTGACCATAGATAGATATATAGGCTTATTTCATGACTGTCAATTCTATTGCATTGACCTGTATGTCTATCCTTGTGCCACTACCATACTGTATTGATTACCATTGCTTTGTAGTATATTTTTAATTAAGATGTGCATTTTACTTGGTTGTTTCTTTTCAAAATTGTTTTGACTATTCTGGATTTCTTGCAATTCCATATGATTTTAAAATCAGTTTGTCAATTTCCACAAATAAGTCAACTGGGATTCTGATAAGGATTGCTTTGAATCTGTAGCTCAAATAGAGAGCACTGCCTGCTTAACAATGTTATCTTCTGATTCATGAACATGGAATGTTTTCCCATTTATTTATGTCTTTAATTTGTTTCAACAATGTTTTTTAGTTTTCAGAGTATAAGTTTTGCACTTGTTTTGTTAATTTTTTTCCTAAGCGTTTTATTTTATTGATGCTATCGTGAATGGAATTACTTACTTAATTTTATTTTTGGATTGTTGTTTACAAATATATAGAAATACAGTTGGTTTTTGTATATTGATCTTATACCTGCAATCTTGCTGAACTTTTTTATTAGGTCTAATAGTTTTTTAGTGCATCCCTTAGAATATTCTATATGTAAGATGATATAATTGGTGAATACAGGTAGTTTTATTTTTCCCTCGCCAATCTTAAGGCCTTTTATTTCTTTTTTTGCTTAACTTCCGTGGATAGCACCTCTAGTGGAATGTTGAATAGAAGTGGTAAGAGCAGACATCCTTGTCTTGATCCTGATCTCAGGAGGGAAACATTTACTAAGTATGATGTTAGCTATTTTTTTAAAAAACTTTATTTTTAGAGCAGTTTTAGGTTCACAGCAAAATTGAAAGTACAGAGAATTCTCATGTACCCCCTGCTCTCACACATGCACAGCCTCCCCGACTATCAACATTCCCCACCAGAATAGTACATATGTTACAATCAATGAATACATTGACACATCATTATCACCTAAAGTCCGTCATTTACATTAAAGTTCACTCTTGTGTTGTATATCCTGTGGGTTTTGACAAATACATAAAGCCACATATCTACCATTATACTGTCATACAAAGAGTTCCACTGCCATAAAATTTATCTGTGCTCTGCTTATTCATCCCTTTCTCTCCCCTAAGCCCTGACAAGCACTGATCTTTTTATTTTCTTCATAATATTGCGTTTTCCAGAATGTCATATAGTTGGAATCATATAGTATCTATCCTTTTCAGATTGGCTTCTTTCACTCAGCAATATGCATTTAGGGTTATTCCACATTTTTTCATGGCTTGATAGCTCATTTCTTTTTAGTGCTGAATGATATTCCATTGTCTGGATGTCCACAGTTTATTTATTCATTTATCTACTGAAGGACATCTAGGTTGCTCCCAAGTTTTTGGTAATTGTGAATAAAGATGCTATAAACATTTGCCTGAAGGTTTTTGTGTGGACACAGGTTTTCAATTCATTTGGGTAAATACCTATGAGCACAATTTCTGGATCATATGGTAAGAGTATGTTTAACTTTGTAAGGAACTGCCAACTGTCTTTCAAAGTGGGTGTTCCATTTTGCACTTCCGTCAGCAATGAATGAGAGTTCTTGTTGCTCCACATCCTTGCCAGCATTTGGTGTCATCAGTGTTCTTGTCATTATAGTGGTGTGCAGTGGTATCTCATTGTAGTTTTGATTTGCAATACTCTAATGACATATGATGTTGAGCATCTTTTCACATGCTTATTTGCCATCTTCTTTGGATATAACTTCTTTTTTTTTTTTTTTTTTTTTTTTTTTTGAGATGGAGTCTCGCTCTGTCGCCCAGGCTGGAGCGCAGTGACACGATCTCAGCTCACTACAACCTCCACCTCCCGGGTTCAAGTGATTCTCCTGCCTCAGCCTCCTGAGTAGCTGGGATGACAGGCGCCTGCCACCACGCCTGGCTAATTTTTGTATTTTTAGTAGAGACGGGGTTTCACCATCTTGGCCAGGCTGGTCTTGAACTCCTGACCTCGTGATCTGCCCGTCTTGGCCTCCCAAAGTGCTGGGATTACAGGCGTGAGCCACCACACCCAGCCTGGATATACCTTCTTTATGTATCTTCTTTGATGAGGTGTCTATTCAGGTATTTTGCTCATTTTTAAATTGCATTGTTCATTTTCTTTTTGTTGAATTTTTAGAATTCTTTTTACATGTGCAATGTATTACCTGGATATATTGCGTGATGCTGAGGTTTGGGGTACAAATGATCGTATCACCCAGGTGCTGAACATGGTACCCAATAGGTAGCTTTTCAACTCTTAACTCTCTCCCTCCCCCAAGTAGTCTCCAGTGTCCATTGTTGCCATCTTTATGTCCATGAGTACCCAATGTTTAACTCCCACTTATAAGTGACAACATGCACTATTTGATTTTCTGTCCCTGCATTAATTCACTTGGGATAATGGCCTCTAGCTGCATCCATGTTGCTGCAAAGGACATAATCTCATTCTTTTTTATGGTTACTTAGTATTCCATGGTATATGTGTGCCACATTTTCTCCTGGATAGCAGTTCTTTTTTAGAGATGTCTTTGCAAATATTTTCTCCCAGTCTGTGGCTTTTCTTCTCAGCTATGGGTTTTTTTTGTAGATGCTCTTTATCAGGTTAAAGAAGTTTTCTTCTATTCTTAGTTTGTTGTGTTTTTATCATTAAAGGGTGTTAGAATTGTCATGTTTTTCTGGATGTATGGAGATAATCTTATGATTTCTTTTATTCCATTGGTGTGATATGTTACTGTGATGGTTAATTTTATATGTTCATTTGACTGGCTTAAGGGATACCCATATAGCTGGTAAAACATTATTTCTGGGTGTGTCTGTGAGGGTGTTTCCAGAAGAGAGATTAATATTTAAATCAATAGACTGAGTAAAGAAGAATCATCCTCACCAATGGGGGTGGGCATCATCCAATCCTCTGAAGAACTGCATAGAACAAAAATGTGGAGGAAGAGTGAATTGGCTCTCTTTTGGAGCTGGGCCATATATTTTCGTTGGCCCTTAGACATGAGAGCTCCTGTGTTTTCGGTCTTTGAACTCCAGCTCTTATACTAGTGCCCCTTACCTCCTCAGGCCTTTGGCCTCAGACTGAGGGTTTTATCATTGACTCCCTAGTTTTCAGGCCTTCAGACTCATACTGAATTATACCACTAGCCTCCCTAGTTCTCTAGCTTGCAGATGGCATATCATGGGACTTTTCAGCCTCCATAATTATGTGAGCCAATTCCCATAATAAATCTCCTCTTACATATATATGTTGATATGGTTTGGCTGTGTCCCCATCCAAATCTCATCTTGAATTATACTCCTATAATTTCCACATGTTGTGGGAGGGATCTGGTGGAAGATGGTTGAATCATGGGGACGGTTTCCCCCACACTGTTCTCATAATGGTAAATGGATCTCATGAGATCTGATGGTTTTATAAAGGGTTTCCACTTTTGCGTCTTCCTCATTCTCTCTTTGCCTGCTGCCATCCATGTAAGACAGGACGTGCTCCTCCTTGCCTTTTGCCATGATTGTGAGGCTATATTAATTGATTTTCAGTTAGTGAACCAACTTTGCATTCCTGGGATAAATCCTACTTGGTCATGGTAAATGCATATGTTGCTGGATTCAGTTTGCCTATATTTTACTGAGTGTGCTGGATATTTTTTCCATTCTTGTAAATGATCTTGAACTTTTTTCATAGTAAACAGTTCTATCCTATCAGATCTTTCTTTAATATTTTAGGAAGGAATAGGGCAGCATTTGTTGTAGGGTTAGTTATTTCCTACTACTGAGGCAAGGCCCTTCAGAATGCCATATGCCCTGTGAATCATGAGATTTTCAGGCTGGCTGGTGGGAACTAGCTCTATTCCCAGCCCTATGTGAATTCCAAGAACAGATTCCTTGAATTATTTGGGAGATTCCTTCTCTAGCCTTCGCTAGTTTTATTATGTGCATATGTTGATTAGTGCTCTGCCAAATGCTCAAGAGAGACTCTCTAAGAATCTCCCTAATTCTCTCTGTGCATGTCTTCCTTCTTTGGTGCTCTGTAAGGCTAACTTCAGCTGCCTTGGTCTCCTCACATTCTCAGCATCTTTCCTCATTTTTAGGGAAACACAAAATAATTGTGGTGTAATGGAAAAAGAACTGGGCTGACAGTGAAGAGACCTGGTCTCTCTAGGCTCTGCCATACCATTACCTTACTGTGTGACTTTCCCCTCTCTGAGCCTCAGTATTCCTGTGTTTAACAAGAGGAATGCTTTAGATGATGCTTCAGCTCTAAAATGCCTGACAACTTACATGTGTCACATGCTTCACAATTTACAAATAACTCTCATGTATTTTCTCCTGTTTTCCTCCTTTAGATAAGTCTGCATGGTAGTCAGGGTAAGAGTCTTGGTCTTTTACAGGGGAAGAAACTGAATCTCAAGGATGTGGTATCACAAGCCTAATAAATAGTGGTATTTGGACTCAAATTCAGGTTTGTCTCCTGAAATCCAGTGATATTTCCACTTCATACTCTAGATCTGATGATACTGGAGTTTCATTTGTTCACTCAACTCATACTAATTGATCATATATTATGTGTTCTAGGCTCTGTACTTTTGGGGCAGTAGGCAATTTCAAGAATATCCCAGTAGGCCGGGTGCAGTGGCTCACACCTGTAATCCCAGCACTTTGGGAGGGTGAGGCAAGTGGATCACCTGAGGTTAGGAGTTTGAGACCAGCCTGGGCAACGTGGTGAAACCCCCGTCCATACTAAAAATACAAAAACTTGCCAGACGTGATGGCACGAACCTGTAGTTCCAGCTATTCGGGAGGCTAAGGTGGGAGGATCACTTGAACCTGAGAGGCAGAGGTTGCAGTGAGCTGAGATCGTGCCACTACACTCCAGCCTGGGCAGCAGAGTAAGACTCTATCACACACACACACACACACACACACACACACACACAGAAGTCCCAATACTCACCAGAAAACAGCACCAACAACATGAGCCAATTCTTGAGAAGGATGCTTTTGAATTAACAGACAGATGGTCAGGAGAGTTTATTCAGTGTGGTACAAAGCCCCTCTTTTTTTTTTTTTTTTCTTCCCATTTCAACTAAGATACCAGCAGAACTAGCCCAACCCAAATAGACTTTTTTTTTTTTTTTTTTTTTTTTTTTTTTTTTTTGATAGGGGTGGTTATTTTCAAGTTCTGGGCTTGCTCAGTATGGTATTTCTTTCCCCCCTCTTGGAGGCTCTGCATATGCTGAGCAGTTTTCTTATTTTACAATTACGATTTGGAACACATTTGATGTTGCAGCACAGATACGTCACTGGTATTAAACAGAGCCACTGTTGGCAGCAGCGGGGCTAGACCTTGATGTAAATCAGCCAAATGTCCCTGGGCCTGCCACTGTGACTCAGAGACCTTTCTGATATTCTCTTACAGGCTTTGCAGCAGATTTGTGGCGGTGATTTTTCCCAACTCTCCAAATTGCACAGTTCCTCCTTCCATGGCACTCAGCCTGCCACAGCTCATAAGAGCCTTTATAAAGACCATCTGGGAATCTGGCATTAGGAAGTTTCACACAAAGGATTGTTCTTGCAGGAGTTCATTCAATTATTCAGCAAGTATTTGTTGAGTACCTATTTTGTCCCAGGTAGTATTCTAGGTAATTGAGATATATCAGTGAATAAAGCAAATACAGTGAGATATATCAGTGAATAATAGAAATATAGCAGTGAAACTTATAGTCTAACAAGAAAAAACAGATATCAAACCTGATCCTGGCCAGGTGTGGCAGTTCATGCCTGTAATCCCAGCACTTTGGGAGGTCAAGGTGGGCAGATCACTTAAGTTCAGGAGTTTGAGACCAGATCGGGCAACATGGTGAAATCTCATCCCTGCAAAATATACAGAAAAATTAGCCAGGTGTGGTTGTGCATGCCTGTAGTCCCAGCTACTCAGGAGGCTAAGGTAGGAAGATCACCTGAGGTTAGGACTGTTCAAGGCTGCAGTATTCTATGATAGTGCCACTGCACTTCAGCCTCAGTGACAGAGTGAGACCCTGTCTCAAAAAAAAGCCCCCTCAAACCCCAAAACCTGAATCATATATTAATTTTATGATAATATGTTAGAAGGCCATAGTGTTTATAAAAATGAAAAAGTAGAACAGGGCAAAGTAAATTGAGAGTACAATGTATGTGGTGAGGGGGATATGATGAAGTTGGGACAGGATGCTATATTAAATAGGATGGTCAGGATAGGTCCTATTGAGAAAGTGACATTTAAAGACTTGAGGGAGTTACCCTTAGGAAATTCTCGGGGAAGAGGGCAACATCAATGCAAAGGTCCTGAGGCAAGAGTGAGACTTGCATGTTTGAGGAACAGCAAGGATACCAGTGTGGCTAGAACAGAGAAATCAAGGTAAAGTGGTAGAAGAGGATTAGACAGGTAACTGGAAAAGGGATAAGATAATATAAGGCTTTACAGGACATTTGAAGGATTTAGGCCTTTTCCTTTGAGTGAAATCAGAAGCAAAGGAGTGACATGATCTGATTTAACATGTTAAAATGATGTATTTGGCTGCAGCATTGAGAATATACTATAGGGGTCAAGGGCTGAAGCAGCGAGACCCTTTAGAACGTGAATGCAGTAGTCTGGGTGGTAAGAGATGAAGGTGGCTTGGACCAGGGTGGTAGCACTGGAGTTGGTGAAAAGTGGTAAGATTCTGGATATATTCTGAAAGTAGAACCATCAGGATTTGCTGACAGATTGTTGTCATGTGAGAGAGGTGACAAGTTTGATGCCAATGTTTTTGGCCTAACCAACTGGAAGAATAGAATTGCATCCAATGAGAAAGGGAAGGCCATGGGTAAGGCAGATCAGAGCAAAAGGTTAATAAATTAGTTGTAGACTTGTTTAGTTTGAGACATCTACTTGATCTCCAAATGGCGATATCAAGTTAGCAGTTAGATAAGTCGGAGAATGGAAAATAAATCTTGGCTAGAGGTGATTGAGAATTAGTAGTGGGTAGGTAGTATTTAAACCCATGAGACAGGATGAGATTACAAATGTAGTGAAAGTAGAGAAGAGGTTCAAAGACTTTTTCCTGGGGCACCAAAAGATAAGAAGATGAAGATAAACTGAACAGTCCTATATTTATTAAAGGCATTTTCATATTGGAAAGAAGAAAAACTGTCACTATTCACAGATGACATCATTATCTACACAGAGAGCCCTTAAAAAATCTATTAAAAAACCTACTAGATCAAATGGTATTTCTGTCTTTAGGTCTTTGAGGAATCGCCACACTGTCTTCCACAATGGCTGAACTAATTTACACTCCCACCAACAGCGTATAAGCATTCCTTTTTCTCTGTAACCTAGCCAGCATGTAATTTTTTGACTTTGTAACAGTAGCCATTCTGACTGGTGTTAGATGGTATCTCATTGTACCATTAGACCCAGCTATCCCATTACTGGGTATATACCCAAAGGAATATAAATCATTCTAACTGGGTATATACCCAAAGGAATATAAATCATTCTATTATAAAGGCACATGCACATGTAAGTTCACTGCAGCACTGTTCACAATAGCAAAAACATGGAATCAACCTAAATGCCTACCAGCGATAGACCAGATAAAGAAAATGTGGTACATATACACCATGGAATACTATGCAGCCATAAGAAGAATGAGATCATTTCCTTTTCAGGGACATGGATGGAGCTGGAGGCCATTATCCTTAGCAAACTAACACAGGAACAGAAAACCAAATACCGCATGTTCTCACTTATAAGTGGGAGTTAAATGATGAGAACACATGGACCCATAGAGGGGAAGAACACACACTGGGGTGTTTTGGAGGGTGGAGGTTAGGAAGAGGGAGAGGATCAGGAAAAATAACTAATGGGTACTAGGCTTAATACCTTAGTGAGGAAATAATCTATGTAACGAGTCCCTGTGACACAAGTTTACCTATATAACAAACCTGCACTAGTACCCCTGAACTTAAAATAAAAGTTAAAAAAAACTAGAACAAATTTAACAAAGTTGTAAGATAAAAGGTCAATATACAAAATGAATTGCATATGTATAAACTAGCAATGAATGATTGAAAACAAGTTAACAAAAATAGTATGATTTATAACAGCACTCAAAAACACAGGAAATATTTATATATAAATCTTACAAAATATGGTAAAAACTATAAAATATTGAGAAATAAATAAAACATCTAAGTAAATGAAGACACATGCTTTGTTCATGAATTGGAAGACTCAATATTGTTAAGATGTTAATTCTACCTCAATTTATATATAGATTCAACACAATCCCGATAAAAATCTCAGAAGGATTTTGTCTTTTTTTAAAAAAAAGGAATAACCAAACTGATACTAAAATGTATATGAAAAGGCAAAGACTCTAGAACAGTCACACATTTTTTGAGAAAGAACTAATTTGGTAGAATCACACTAACTGGCTTTAAGACTTACAATAAAGCTGCAATAATCAAGACGATATAGCATTGGTAAAAGATAGCATTGATCAGTGGAACAAGATATAGTCACTAATGGACACACATATAACCATTCATTTTCAAAAATGGTTCAAAGATAATGTAATGGAAAATCATAGTGTATTTAACACTTGGTGCTGAAACCACTGAATATTCATGTACATAAATATTCACTTCAACCTCAAAACATATACAAAAAATAAGACAAAATGGATTATAGACCTAAATGTAACAGCTATAAGAAAGAAATTTCTAGAAGAGAACCTGATATGGTTTGGCTGTGTCCCCACCCAATTCATCTTGAATTCCCACATGTTGTGGGAGGGACCAGATGGGAGGTAATTAAATCACAGGGGCAGGTCTTTCCCATGCTGTTTTTGTGATAGTGATTAAGTCTCACGAGATCTGATGGTTATTATAAGGGGTAGTTTTCCTGCCAAGCTCTCTTCTCTTGTCTGCTGCCATGTGGGACCTGCCTTTTACCTTCCGCCATGATAGTGAGGCTTCCCCGGCCATGTGGAACTGTGACTTCTCCGTTAAACCTCTTGCCTTTGTAAACTGCCCAGTCTCGGATGTGTCTTTATCAGCAGCATGAAAACAGACTAATGCAGAACCTAAGCTAAAGTCTTTGTAACCCTGAGTTAGGCAAAAATGTCTTATATATGACACCAAAATCATAATACTTTTACAGAAAAAAAATTGATACATTAGACCTCATCAAAATTTAAAACTCTATGAAACACACTATTAAGAGAATGAAAAGACAAACTATGGACTTGGAGAAAATATTTCAAGACACTTTCCTGATAAAGGATTTGTAATCATAATATATTTTTTAAAACTCTCAAAGCCGAATAATAAGAAAACAAATACGCCAATAAAATATTCAAAAATATTTGCAGAGACACTTCATCAAAGAAGATATTTGGATGGCAAATTAGCACATGAAGTGATGTGCTCAGCATCATTACTCATTAGGGAATTGCAAATTAAAGCCACAACAAGATACACACCTATACTAGTAGTTAATAAACTGTAATTCTACATCTTGAAAAGGAAGCAGAGCAACGGGAAATCTCATAGATTGCTGGTGGGAATGCAAATGGTACCACCACTTTGAAATACATTTTGGCAGTTTCTTGTATAGTTCAATCTGTAGTATCTATACAACCCAGCAATCCCACTCCTAGGTATTTGCTAAAGAGAACTTAAAACTTATGTTCACACAAAACTCTATATGTGAATGTTTGTAAAGTCTTTGTATATAATTTTCAAAACTAGAACCAACACAAGTAGTCTTCAACAGATGAAAGGATAAACACATTGTGGTACTTTCATACAATGGAATGCTCTACCAAACTATAAAGGAATGAACTACTGATATACCCAACCACACTGATGATTCTCAAATGCATTATGCTATGTGAAAGAAGCCAGATACAAATGGCTACATACTGCATAGTTTAATATACATAGCATTCTGCAAGAAGAAAAACTAAGGGGACAGAAAACAGACCAATAATTGTCAAAGGGTGGGAATACTGGAAGGATTTGACTACAAAGAGGCACGAGAGTATTTTTAGGACTGCTTGAACTGTTCCATATCTTGATCGTAATGGTAGTTACACAACTATGTATTCATCAGATATCGGGACTATACACTAAAAAGGATGAATTTTATCATAGGTAAATTATACTTCTGAGTTGAAATATTATATAGCCTATTCTTCAGGTTGCTGGAGTTAAATGAACATAAATGAAGTCAATGAACATGAGGCAGTGTTTGTAGTAGGAAAGACCAATTGCCTTTTTTGCATTGGGTTTCTGTTCCTAGGTGTCTTACACAGCAGCAAAAACCCTGTATTTCAATTCCAAGCGCTAATACTTCAAAGTGGTCACCAATCCTGGCCACCACTGTTAAATGTGCAATGTAAAATTATCCCAGACTCTGATGGTTTTGGTGAGGAAATAGAATGTGGATTAAAGCAGTCACACAAAGCGTTTGGCAGTATAGGTATACTTGAAGTCCTGATAAATGTTTCTTGGGTTATTCCTTTCTTTCTCATAGGGTCTGCACCTCTGTTCTATGTGTAACAGAGGGCAGCTTTGAGCTGTGGCCCAATGGAAAATGGAAAATTCTGGAAGGATTTTTGAATGTGCCTATTGTACAAATTTAGCCAAACAGACTTTTCTTGACTTTTCTAAACAGTTTGCTCCAGTTTGCCTCTGTGGGCTTTTGTTTAGATAGCAGCTTTAGAGAATTACAGCTTCCAGCCTCAGACCTCCAGATTCTATCTTTGCACATGCTGAAATTAGTCCCTGTTATTTTAGAGGCTTCACCTTGAAAATTCCCTCAGATGTCCTATGGGGCCCGTTGAAAGGAAGCAGCCTGCTTTGGCCTCTGCTCTCCTGCTCTCTCTTGAATTTACAAAGTTCCAAGCAAACAAAAGAATTATGGCACCTTATCAGGCACAGAGGAAGGCTCTACATTTGTCCCAGGTCCTTGTGGCTCCCAGTTCTCATTATTGGCTTTGACAGAAACTTTAGAAACTTTCAGTGGGGCCTAGCTAGACAATAGTCCCTAATCCATCATCATTAGATGGATTACAGTAGAAGAAATCAGCCTTAGACTCCAGAGTTGCCTGTAGCTTATCTTAATGGCACAAGAGCACTGAAATTCATGTCTCTAATTAGCCAGCCATATGGTTTTGCTGCATACGTGAGCCCTACCAAACACAGTCAATGAAAGTTTATGGGCTTGTTTCCATTCAGTCCCCAGTGTCATCTGCCCTTTCCCACCTCTGTACCATTGCTGTTGCTGTTCCCTCTACCTGCAATACTCCCTCACTCCCAACCTTCCTAGTAATGCCTGTTGAAATTTTCCTATTCTTTAAGGACAAGTTTCCAACCCTTCTCTTCTAAGAAGTCACCCCAAGACTTTGCCCAGAAACACTCCCTTCACTGCCCTTCCTGAGTGATACATATGTTTCTGTCTTAATGTTCCATCTGGACCATAAGTGATGTGAGGAAAAAGACAAGGTCTTAGTCATGTCTATTCATATCCACACCTCCCCGTCCTCCACCTTCAACTCCACATCTCATCTCTGGGTCTACCTGCTCAGAATGGCCAATCAGAAAATGTTTGCTGACGTGGAAAGCCAGAATTCAGGATGAGCAAATGACTGAAATTCTACTTTCTGCATTAGCCCGTGGGAAATTAGACAGGTTTGGAATGTGTGCCATGTGGCATCCAAATATCTAATATTGTTTTGAAGTGTTTAGAAGTTTAATATATAAAGCTCAGTCATAATTAAGACTTCAAAACTCTATAGATTAATTCCATTTCCACATAGGAAAAAAAAAGCATCAGCAAACAAGCATGAATGTCTGCCTGAATTCAAGAAACTTGTGGATCCTGATTGTTTAAAGAAAACTTCAAAGCAGAAGGCAACTGATCAGTATTTAACTCAAAGAGTTCATTTGATTACAGGTAAGACACACAATTCCCTGTATAAATGGCAGCAAAAGCTTGCATTGTCAATTAGAGAAAGGAACACAAATCTGGAAGTTGAATTCATACCTTATCTGATTTGAAACCTGAATTATTTACTGTTGAGATTTATATGAGATTAGATTTCTCTGCTTAAACACTAAATCAAGCTTAACAGGAAGAGATATTGCAAATAAACAATGTTCTCTGAAACGGTGTGTTTAATATTTTCATTAAATGGAAATCTAGCTGAGCTTTTTATTGCAGACATTGATAGCTCTATAAATTTTTATGAGATATGCACTAGAATTAATGCAACCTTATTAAGAGGGCTTGCTCCTTGCTGACTTAGGGATGCAGCATGGATTACAAAGGTCTGAGTTAGCACCCAGGAAGGTCTGGGTTCCAGTTCCAGCCCTGCTACTGACTTGAGCAAGTCTCTTCTCCTTCCTAGGTCTTGGTTTTTACATCCAGAGATAATTGATTTATGTTTTTATTTTCTTTCAGCAGACCTTGGGCAATGAAGTAAAGATAGTTAAGTTGCAGTTCTCCCACTGTTTTTTTGTTTGTTTGTTTGTTTTTTGTTTTTTTGAGACAGAGTCTTGATCTGTTGCCCAGGCCGGAGTGCAGTGGCGCGATCTCGGCTCATTGCAAGCTCCGCCTCCTGGGTTCAAGCAATTCTTCTGCCTCAGCTTCCCGAGTAGCTGGGACTACAGGCCCGCGCCATCACGCCCAGCTAATTTTTATATTTTTAGTAGAGACGGGGTTTCACCATATTGGCCAGGCTGGTCTCGAACTCCTGACCTTGTGATCCGCCCGCCTCGGCCTCCTGAAGTGCTGGGATTACAGGTGTGAGCCATCGCGCCTGGCCTCTCCCACTGTTTCATGTTATTATCCAGTATTTCGGTTGTTCTCAACCACATCCTATAGTTTTTAAGAATACTAAAAACTTAAAGACTGACACGGCATCAATACTTTTAAAATGTCTCTGGCATTTCCTCTCTCTGGATACATTAACTTTCGCATCAATTGCGACTAGTCAGTATTAAAGCCAAACAAGAAAATGTTGGACTTTTCTCAATTTCCTCAGTTGCATTTGTTACTACGGAGAAACATCTTTGAAAGTATTGTATTAAAGCAGCATGCCTTAACTTTCTCATTCTCCACCTGTGCCTTGAATTCACTGTTTAATGCATGCCTCTACCACGTTGTGGCAGTGAGGAATCAAGAAGATGCAGGCATCAAAGCATGCTTGGAAATTGGATTGCCAGCACTCAGAATCTGGTGAATACGCCACTAACATCAGCAGAGATCTATTTTTGTGGGCCTTGACACGATATATGATGCCCTCATGTCTTGGTACCCAGCGAGCATGGCCTGGTCACCGAGATTTGGAACAACATCTAGTTTTGGCACATAGACAAGTCATCCAGATGTCAGAAGAAATTACTTACCTTTCATCCAGATGGTTTGATTTCACGTACCTGGGCCTTATTGAAGTGAGGTTTATTCAATTTGAAGGGCCCATTTTGATGCTTTGTGTTGATTGGCTAACCAGAGACAGTTTCCTTTGTGGGGTTGAGTGTTGAGTTGGGAATCTCACTGTAAGTGAATAACTTATGGAAACAGAAATCTCATGCCTGATGAGTTAGCCCTGCTGTTCAAAGACATGCTTCTCCATCTATCTCTTAAGCACTAACATTATTACATTTACAGGATCTTAGTGAGATTCTCATCTGCTTCAAGAGGGGAGGTAAAGGTGAAATGATTTTCTTTTTAAAACCTGGGTTACTGCTCAGGTTTTAAAGTTGTCAAGTTGCTACAAAGTTGTCAAGGTTGGCCTGTAATATTAGCAATTTTGAGTACAAAAATAAGCAATGACATTTTATTTCCTGGAATTATGTTGACTTTGGTGATGAAAAATGAACATTTTCTTTGGAATTACAAATCCACAGTTTAGATTTATAACTGTCCTTCCCCTCTAATATCTTTTCTTTTAATCAATGCTATTCTTTCAAGAACTATCAATAAAATTACTGAGAAAATGAGGGAATATATTCCACCTTCTCCATCTTAAAAACTTTCATGATAAGGAAAGTTGGTACCTGATACAAACACAATAAGAGAGATGACAGTCCATTTACGCTAGCCACTTCAGAAATCCGTGTTGGTTATTTTTTGTCAGTACAGCTGAAACTGCTTACTGAAGTATTGATCTGATTATTCTTTTATGGAACAAAATCTAAAATGTTATCTATTTTTATGTCGGAAACTCACTTGAGCTTTGTTCTGTTTTGAACTTTATAACCTACTTTAAAAATTAAATTCCTTTCCTTCTGTATGTCTTGATATGGTCTGAGGCTCAAACCAACTTGATATTTATTTTTGCTTTGAACAATATGAATGCAAAGTGATATTACTATTGGTGCTATTACTTTATTTTTATTTATTTATTTTTTATTATACTTTAAGTTCTAGGGTACATGTGCACAACATGCAGGTTTGTTACATATGTATACATGCACCATGTTGGTGTGCTGCACCCATTAACTCGTCATTTACATTAGGTATATCTCCTAATGCTATCCCTCCCCGCACCCCCCACCCCACAACAGACCCTGGTGTGTGATGTTCCCCACCCAGTGTCCAAGTGTTCTCATTGTTCAATTCCCACCTATGAGTGAGAACATGCGGTGTTTGGTTTTTTGTCCTTGTGATAGTTTGCTCAGAATGATGGTTTCCAGCTTCATCCATGTCCCTACAAAGGACATGAACTCATCCTTTTTTATGGCTGCATAGTATTCCCTGGTGTATATGGGCCACATTTTCTTAATCCAGTCTATCATTGATGGACATTTGGGTTGGTTCCAAGTCTTTGCTATTGTGAATAGTGCCGCAATAAACATACGTGTGCATGTGTCTTTATAGCAGCATGATTTATAATCCTTTGGGTATATACCCAGTAATGGGATGGCTGGGTCAAATGGTATTTCTAGTTCTAGATCCTTGAGGAATCGCCACACTGTCTTCCACAATGGTTGAACTAGTTTACAGTCCCACCAACAGTGTTAAAGTGTTCCTATTGCTCCACATCCTCTCCAGGTGCTATTACTTTCTTTCATCGAATTCAACAAATACTTGTATTACTAGCAAGGTACCAGGCGCACTCTGTGTTGTCTATGGTGTGCTGCCATATTAGCCTTAAAAAGGAGGCAGGCTCCAAGAACCCCAGGTATAGCACTTTGATTTCTAGCTCCCACCATCCCTGGGATTTGAGCACCTCCATCAAGTGATCTTCTCTGCCTTTTTAAAGACTCAAAAACTCTTTGGTTTAGATTGATTACCTTGTAGGTTATCTACAGCAACCTTCCATGTGAGTCTCTATCTTCCTTCCACATCTCTGACACATGATAGCCTCTACTTATGAGATATAGAGGAACCAATGGGCCTTGGCTTTGCAGTCAGACAGACCTTGGGCTGAATCATGGACAGGCTCCTCTACTTGTCTGAGCTTCAGTAAAAGAAGGATGATAACATCTCAATTCCAGGGTTGTCATGATGATTAAATGCACAATCAAGATGACTCTGGGTGAAGACTCAGGGGCCTCAGTGACAGTGCTGAGTTCTGTTCTTCCTGAAGGACAGTCTTCCTCTCCTCCTAGTTGAAGTCACTGGTTCCCAGATACTGGGACTCACCCTGTTACTTAGGAAAATTGGAGCGACCTCAGGTCAGGCTCTTAGCGTGTTCTGCTGCTAGTTAGTTTGGCTTCTGGTCTCATCTTCATCCTGCAGGACTTGCCTTTGTCTTCATAACTTGCCTTGCATTTTAGTGTCTCCAACCCTAACCCTGTCCTGGGGCAAAGTGGCTGAGAGCCTGCCTCCGCCCACCCTAATGCCCTCACACCAATTTCCCATTGGCCTGTGCCTTTTTGTGCCAACCTTCAGATGTCAGAGGCAAAATGCCCCACTAGCTCCCCAGACTCCCACGTGCTCATTAGTCATATGCAGTGGCTCTCTGCTGCCACCCATCTCCCATTTTAAGCAGTCACCCCTTGAAAGGAGAGGTCAGAGCAAAGTTCCTCATTTCCCCTCCCTTGTTCCAATACCATGGCTTCCCTTAACTTTCATGAAATATTGCTGCAACATGTCTCAGAATTAAGTTTGGGAAATATATTCATGTATTTTCAGAATAAAAGGGAAACTCTGCAAAGTTCAATTGAGTATTATAAAGTGATAAGATTTTTCTTCCAAGGCTAAAAATATCTGGTTTCTCTTTTATTTAGTCTAAAATCCAGTGAGCATTCACACATGTGATAAAGACCTACTGTGTGCTGGGAATTGTGTCTGCCACAGTACATGCCATGCCACAGCAAGGCATGGGCTCTGCCCTCCAGAACCTTATGTCTGGTTGGCGAGAAGGGTGACTATGTGGGAAAATACTCAGAATCATCCCATATATGATAGTAGAAGTCTGTCTCATTTGGGGAGGCAGGGAACGGGATTCAAAGGAGTGAGGGGTGACTTCCACATATGGGGATCAGAAAAGGCTTCGCCCTGCACACTTGCACCAGGGGCCTATGCACTGGACTTTGGCCCTAACCACACCTTGAACTCTGCTGGGAGGCCTTTGAAAAACTGTACCTTCCCTGCATCCAACTCTCCATAGGGTCATGGCTTCTATACATGCCCAAGTTTCTCAGCTTAAACAGCTGGATAGCCAGGGCTGTCCTTTAAATGGGACAGCAAGTTTGTTCTTCAGGGAAACAGTATGTTTTGGGAACGGTCATTTCTGAAGTGCATCCAATGTAAGGAAAACAGTGTTTTCTCCCTTTTGTTTCAACATAGGAACTGGAAATGTTAAAATATATCAGGCTGATTTTTAGAAAAATCAGTACAGTGGGCTCTCTGTATCATCTATGAATTCAATCAACTATGGATTGGTTATTTTTAAAAACAAAAAATAACAATACAACAATAAAAATGGATCATGCCTGTAATCCCAGCACTTTAGGATGCCAAGGCAGGAGGACCTCAGGAGTTCGCAATTAGCCTGGGCAATATAGGGAGACCCTGTCTCTACAAAATAATAATAATAATAATAATAATAATAATAATAATAAAGTAGCTGAGTATAATGGTGCATGCCTGTGGTCCCAGTTACTCAGGAGGCTGAGGTGGGAGGATCCCTTAAGCCTAGAAGGTCTGTGATTACACCACTGCACTCCAGCCAGGGCAACAGAGTGAGACCCTGTCTCAAAAAAGTAAAAAGTTGACATATTTAAAAATAATAAAATATATCAATTATTTACATAGCTTTACATTGTATTAGGTATTATAAATAATGTACAGATGATTTAAAGCAGGGATGTCCAATCTTTTGGCTTCCCTGGGCCACTTTGGAAGAAGAATTGTCTTGGGCCACACATAAAATACACTAACACTAATTATAGCTGTTGAGGTAAAAATAAAAATCACAAAAAAAACCCTCAATGTTTTAAGAAAGTTTATGAATTTTTGTTGGGCTGTATTCAAAGCCATCCTGGGCCACAGGTTGGACATTCTTGATTTAAAATATACAGGAGGGGCTGAGGCAGTGCCTCATGCCTGTAATCCCAGCACTTTGGGAGGCCCAGGCGGGCGGATCATTTGAGGCCAGGAGTTCAAGACCACCCTGGCCAACATGGCGAAACCTGTCGCTACTAAAAATACAAAAATTAGCTGGGTGTGGTGGTGCACACTTATAATCTCAGCTACTAAGGTGGCTGAGGCAGGAGAATCACTTGAACCTGGGAGGCGGAGGTTACAGTGAGCTGAGATAGTGCCAGTACACTCCAGACTGGGCGACAGAGTGAGACTTTGTCTCAATAAATAAATAAATAGTATACAGAAGGATGTGCATAGGTTATGTGCAAATACTATGCCGTTTTGTATTAGGTACTTGAGCATCCCCAGATTTTGGTATCTATGGGAATCCTGGAACCAATCCCCCACTGGTGCTGAGGGATCAGACTGTACATCTGATTACCCAGTGTCTCCACCATGCCATTGGAGTCTGTTCCTCCAGTTACAGTTGAGAAACAAGTGAGTCTCGTGGAAAGGTGAGTCTGCTGTGGATATGTGTAAGAGAGGTAAAAGGTGTTCTGATGAGTGGGATAAAAATATGTGTTGGGGGCGGGGAAGTGGAAGAGCGGAGACTCAACTCTAGCCTCCTTACCTCTTACTATTGTGTAACCTTGGGTGAGTCTCTTAAGTTCTTTGAGTCTCAGATTCTTTTATTTAAAATGACAGAAGAAAAACTATAGTCCTATCTCATAGGGAGGAGGTGTGGAGTCATACATCTCGAGTTCCTGATACAGTGCTGAGCACAGTCTGTGCTCAAGAATTAGCATGGTGAGCTCTGGGACAGACAAGAAACAGCCCGGATAGAAAAGGAGAATTTAACCTAAGTCCTCTCCAAACATTTTGGGTTTCAGAATAGTTGACAAAGCTAGAGGCAGGAAATCTAGGCAGGACAGTTAACCTCTCCTGTTCTCAGTTTTTTCATCTGCTAAATGAGGATTCTTTTTTAAAAATTGAGTTATAATTCACATATCACAAAACCCACCCTTTTGAAGTATATGATTCAGCGTTGACAGTATATTAACAGTTGGGCAACCATCCCCACAATCAATTTTAGAATATTTTCATCAATCCAAAAGGAAATCTGTATCCATTGGCAGTCACTCCTCATTCCCACTCCCATCCCTGCAGCTCCTGGCAATCACTAATCTGCTTTCTGCCTCTGTGAATTTGCCTATTCTGGACTTTTCATAGAAATGGAATTATACGATATGTGACCCTGTGTGCCTGGCTTCTTTCACTTAGCAAAGTGTTTTTAGGTTGTAATATATATTATGTCATTCCTTTTTACGGCCAAGTAGTATTCCATGTTATGGATATACTACATTTTGTTTATCTGTTTACCAATTGATGGGTATTTGGGTTATTTCCATCTTTTGGCAATTATGAATAATGCTGCTATTAACATTCAGGTACACGTTTTTGTGTGGACATTGCTGGGTCATTTGGTAATTCTATGTTTAAGTTTTTGGGGAACTGCCAAACTGTTTTCCAAAGCAACTGCAACATTTTACATTCCCACACTCAGTGTGTGAGGGTTGCAATTCTTCACGTCCTTACAACACTTTTTACTGTCAGTCTTATTTAATTAGTGGCTAAATGGGGATTCTAATTCTTGTTCTTTTGTGAGAATTATAAAAAGATAATTATAAGGAAGATTTTAGAAAACTATAATGTGTTCACCAAGTAGAAGGTACTAGTAAGAAATAACTCTAACTTCATAGCTTGGGTTTTCCATGAATGTTCGGTTTGGGGATTTCTTTTGTGAACAGTAGGGAACTGGGTCAGGATTTAGAGGAAAGAAGTATTTTTAGGAAGATTCATTAGGCACTGGTGAAAAAAATTCTGTAGCTATTTGAGAACTCAAATAGCTTTACATCAGCTGTTTGTGCATGTCGGTGTAATTGGTAAGATTCTCAAAATGACTAAAACAAAAGTAGCTTAATTTTTCCAGTGTTGTTATGAAGTGAACAATATTGAAAATCATGTCCAAAACCAGGCCCTTAATTAAATTTTCTGCTCTAGGCCCTGCCAAGCAAGTCTTGGCATATGAGAAGGCTGTGCTTTTTTTTTTTTTTTTTTTTTTTGGACAGTTTCGCCCTTGTCACCCAGGCTGGAGTGCAGTGGTGTGATCTTGGCTCACTGCAGCCTCCGCCTCCTGTGTTCAAGCAATTCTCTTGCCTCAGCCTCCTGAGTAGCTGGGATTACAGGTGCCCGCCACCGCACCCGGCTAATTTTTGTATTTTTAGTAGAGACGGGGTTTCACCATGTTGGCGAGGCTGGTCTCAAACTCCTGCCTCAGGTGATTCACCCACCTCGGCCTCCCAAAGTGCTGGGATTACAGGTGTGAGCCACTGCGCCTGGCCGGCTTTGCTTTTTATACACTGACTGCATTGTTGGCATTGACTAGAAGTGAAGGCCTTTGCAGAATGGTAAAGAGCTCTTCACTTTTTAAAAGCTATTCGACCTTAGGTAAGTCACTGACCCTTTTTCTTTCCACATACATTTGCTATGAACCTTAAATAAGATAATGCCTATGAAAGCACCCAGCACTAAGCCAGGGACAAAGTAAGCACTCAGTAAAGGGAAGAGTTTTCCTCTGGTCATTATCAGCCTGACCAGTAGCCCATTTACCCCAGTGGACCTTGGTTAGGGCTAAACTTAGAAGGAAGGATCTGGTCTGACCAAAGATTATAATTTATTATTATATTCATTATTATTATTAATAGCTTTGTTGAGGTATAATTGACATACAGTAAACTGCACATGTTTAAAGTGTACAGTTTGATAATTTTTGACACATTTATACATCCGGGAAACCATCATCACAATAAAGATAGTGAACACATCCTTCTCCTCAAATTTTCCTTGTTCCTCTTGGTCATCCTTCACTCCTTCTCCTTCCCACCCCCAGTTCCCAGGTAAACACTACCTGCTTTCTGTCGCTATCGATTAGTTTGCATTTTCTAGACTATTATGTAAATAAAATCATACAGTGTGTACAATTTTTGGTCTGGTTTCTTTCACTCAGCATAATTATTTTGAGATTAATTCATGTGGAACATATCAATAATGTGTTCCTTTTTATTGCTTTTTTATTGTGGAGTAGTATTGTATGCTGTTTGTATGACCATACCACAATTTATTTATCCATTCATCTGTTAATGGACATCTGTAAATGTTTTAGTTTTGGACTATTACACATAAAGCTGTTATAAACATTTGTATACAAGCCCTTGTGTGAACACGTGCTTTCATTTCTCTTTGATAAATACTTAGGAGTGGAATGGGTAAATCATATCATAGATGTATGTCTTTAACTCTGAGAAACTACCAAATTTTTCCAATGTGCCTGTGCCATTTTACGGGCCCATCAATTGGGTGTGAGAGCTTCACTTCCTCTACATCCGTGTAAGCATATGATGTGATCAGTCTTTTTAATTTTAGCCATTCTAATGACGGTGTAGTTTATGTCATTTTGGTTTTAGTTGACATTTCCCCAATGGTCTTGGGCATCTCTTCATGTGCTTATTAACCATTCGTATATCTTCCTCGGTGAAGTGTCTGTTCAAATCTTTTGCCCAAGTTTTTAAAAATTGGGCTGTTTGGTTTTTGTTATTGAGTTTTCAGGGCTCTTCAATATGTTTAGATACAATGTCTCTACCATATATACGGTTTTCTTCCTATATATGGTTTTCTTCCTATCTGCTGCTTGTCCTTTAATTCCTTTAACAGTGTCTTTCAAAGAGTAAATGTTTTTAACTTAGATGAAGCCCAGTTATGAATTGGGTTTTGATGTCACATCTAACAAATCTTTGTCTAAACTGAGGTCCCAGTGGTTTTCTCCTTTAGTTTCTTCTAGAAGTTTTATATTTTTAGGTTTTACATTTAGGTCTGTGATCTCTTTAATATTTGTATGTAATGTGAGGTATGGGTAATAAGAGGTTTGGGGGATTTTTTGCGTATCTATATCTGAGTTTTCTAGTACCATTTGTTGAAAGTACCTCTTGCTCTACTGAATTTTCTTTGCACTTTTTAAAAAATTCATTTGTCTATATATGTGTATCAGTTAGGGTTCCCCATAGGAGCAGAACCAGTAGGATATAGATATAAAGATATTTATTATGAGGGATTGGCTCATACAGTCATGCAGGCTGAGCAGTCCCATGCTCTGCCAACTGCAAGCTGGAGGCTCAGGAGGGCCAGTGGTGCAATTCTAGCTCAAGCCCAAAGGCCTGAGAATCAGGGGAGCCCATGATGTAAGTCCCAGTCTGAGTCCAAAGGCCTGAGAACCGGGGATGGGGGGTCAATGGTGTAAGTCTCAGTTCAAATCTGAAGGTCCAAGAACCAGGAGTACTAATATCCAAGGACAAGAGAAGACGAATGGCCCAACTCAAGCAGAAAGAGCAAATTCTCCTTTTCTCTATCTTTTGTTCTATTCAGGCCCTCAAAAGATTGGATGATGCCCACCCACATTGGTGACGGTAGATCTTCTTTACTCAGTCTACTGATTCAAATGCTAATCTCTCCTGGAAACACCCTCACAGACACATGCAGAAATAATGTTTTACCAGCTATCTGGACATTCCTTACCACAGTCAAGCTGACACATACAATTAACCATCACAGTATGCATCAGTGTATTTCTGTACTCTCCATTCGGTTCCACTGACCTTTATGCTGGTACCGCATTGCTTTGACTGTTGTAGCTTTATAATAACCTCAAATGAGGCCCTGTTCATCCTGTAAATTTATTTTTTTCTAAAGTTGTTCTGGTCTTTTGTATTTTCATTTGAATTTTAGGATCATATTGCCAATTTTTACAAAAACACTGATGGGATAATGATTGAGATGGTGTTGAATCTGTAGACCAAGTTAAGAAGACTTGGCATCTTAACAATATTGAGTCTTCTGACCTATGAATGAGGGCGATATCTCCATTTATTTAACCTTTCTTTATGTCAGCAACATTTTATACTTTTCAGTGCATAGATCCTTCACTATATTGTTAAACTTTTGTCTAGTATATCATTTTAGATGCTATTGTGAATTTTTAATTTCACCACTTGATTGGTCATTGATACCAATAGAAATAAAATTGATTTTTGTATATTGATTTTGTACTCTGCAACATTGCTAAATTTACTAGTTTTAGTAGTGTGTCATCTGCAAATAAAGGCAATTTTACTTATTTTTTTCCAATTTGGAAGCCTTTCATTTGTTTCTTTCCTAATAATCCTGTTGAATAGAAGTGGTGAAAGCAGACATTCTTGTCTTATTCCCAATCTTAAGGAGAAAGCTTTCAGTCTTTCCCCTTTAAGTATGATGTTAGCTGTAGTGTTTTGTACCTTGCCATCATCAGGTTGAGGAACACTTCCTTTCTATTCCTGATTTGTTGAGTGCATCATGAAAAGATCTGAATTTTGTCATTGAGGTGATTATATATATATTTCCCTTTAATCAATTAATATGGGGGTATTACATTAATTGATTTTTGGATATTAAACAAATCTTGCATTTCTGAGATAAATTGCACTTGATCACGGGGTATAATACTTTTTACAGTTTGCTGGATTTAGTTTGCTAGTATTTTGTTGAGAATATCTGAGCATTTATTCATAAGGGCTATTGGTCTGCAGTTTTTCTCTCCTGTGATGTCTTTTATTTTGGTTTCAGGGTAATAGTACCCTCAAAGAATAACTTTGGGAAGTGTTCCTTCATTTATTTATTTATTTATTTATTTATTTATTTATTTATTGAAGAGTTTCTGAAGGATTGCTGTCAATTCTTCCTTAAACATTTGGTAGAATTGAGGAGTGAAGCCATCTGGCCTTGAAATTTCCTTTCTGAGAATATTTTAAACTGCAAGTTCAATTTCATTAATGGTTATAGGGTTATTTGGGTTATATATTTCTTCTTGAGTGAGCTTTGGTAGTTTGTGTCTTTCAGGAGTTTGTCTATTTCCTATAAGTTGTCAAATTTATTGTTGTACATTGTTCATATTATTTTCTTATAATTTGATTATCTGTAGAATCTGTAGTGATATCACCATTCTGATTTCTGCTATTGGTTAATTTGTATTTTTTATCTTTTTTTCTCATCTCTCTTGTTAGAAGTTTATCAATTTTATTGTTCTTCCTAAAGAATCCCCTTTTGGTTTCATTGATTGTCCCTACTGTTTTTCTATTTCATTGATGTTGCTGTGATCTTTATTTCCCTTTTTGTACTTTCCTTGGGTTTCCTGGGCTCTTCTTTTCCTAGGTTCTTAAAGGAAAAGCTAAGGCTGTTGATTTGAGACATTTCTTTTCAAATACAGGCATTTAGTAACATAAGTTTCCTTATAAGTACTGCTTTGGTGTCATCACATAATTGTTACGTTATGTTCTCATTTTCATACTGGTTAAAATATATGATCATTTTGCTTTGGTTTCTTCTTTGCCCCATAAGTTACTTAGGAGTATATTACTTAGTTCTCCAAATATTTGGGTTTTTTTTCCAGATATGTTTCCCTTATTGATTTCAAATTTAATTTTATTGTGGTCAGAGAACAAACTTTGCATGACTTAGACTTTAAATGTATTGAGATTTGACTTACAACCCACAATATTATGTATCTTGATAAATATCTCATATGCATTTGAAAATAGTGCAAATTCTGATGTTACTGGGATTATTCTGTAAATGTAAATTAGGTCAATTTAATGGCTAGTGTAGTTCAAATTTTCTATGTCTTTACTAATTTTCTGTCTACTTGTTTTTTCACTTATTGAGAGAAGGGTATTGAAACCTCTGACTATGATTATGGACTTGTCTACTTCTCCTTGTGGTCCTATCATTGTTTATTTCATATATTTTGAAGCTCTCTTGTTGGGGGCATAAAAGTTTAGAATATTTTGTTCTCTTGATTGACAACTTTATTATGAAATGACTTATTTGTTCTTGATGATGTTTTTTCCTCTGAAATCTACTTTGTATGATATTAATACAGCCACTCTGGCCTGTGGCTAACTCTATCGTTCCTTTCTTCCAGGGACAAAAACCTGAATGAGACGCCTCTACCCAGGGAGGGACTGAAATTGATCACAAAGTGTCTCCTCCAAGAAGCTGGAAGCTTGTTAGAACTATTCATGAAAAATAATTCTATGAGTGTTTTCCTTTAAGGTAAGTTCTATTTCTTCAGAAGGACAAAACAAAACAAAACAAAACAAAACAAAACAAAAGGGTAAGGAAGAGGCAGGGCCCCCTCTCAACCAAAGTCCAGAAGCCCTCTGAAGGTGAGTGACCCACCCAGGCTCCTCCTCATCTACCCCTTGACTCTTCCCTCCCAAGACGCCTTACCCTGTCCTCGCCTGGCACAATCCCTACCCCAGCCTGCACCCTTTATTGATGAAACCCCCATTCCCACCCCTCCCCCATCCTCTTCCCCAAAACCAGTGCCCTTCTGTGATCTCCCTGTTGTCCTTCCAAGTTCCAAAGACAACCTGGAAGGGAAAAGGGACCCTTCGAGAAAGTTCCAGGAAAAAAACCACTCCCAAAAAGACTACCACTTCAAGAAAACCTGAGGAAGGGAACGGGCCAACACTATCCAGCCACTATGACCAGCTGAATAGGAAACTCACTCAAAATGAGCCATAGCAGGACCGAGTTAGCCAGGAGACCTCCACAATCTCCAGCGTCTCCCTGGACAGCCAGTAATTTCAAGGCAAGTTCAGAGGCCTAGATCTATCTGAGAGGTCTCCAGAGATCTGACCCCAAAGAACTAGCTAGCAGGGTCTAGGATACATTCTATACCCCACAGGGTACGCCCCATGGTGATGAAAATAAAATGAATCTGTTGTAAAATGATGTGAGTGTCTTCATGTTCTAGGATGGTGGGGAGGGAGGAAGGAGGGAAGAGGTGGTGTGTGGACAGGGAGGGAGGTGGGTGTTGCGGGGTTGGGGCCAGAAGGACAGGTCCACAGTTAACCAGACATGGAGGGATAAGGACTAGGTTAGCACTGAGCACTGAAGACAAATTTCCTCCTTATCACTATCTCACTAGTAAGAAAGTAAAAGGCCTGGTGTTTTCGCATGTATTTGCAGGGGGTAGGGGTAGGTGAGCAATATCAGCTTATAAATTGCCAGAACCTAGATGGTGTGATATATGTAGGATGATAGTATCAACTCTCTAAAAAGGGAGACAAATATATCACCTCTAAGCCACCTACCTCATAGTGGCGTTTCTTGCATCCTGCCCTATGCTGGAAACAACTAAAGGGCCTTCAGAGGGTCCAAAAATCTCATTCTACTAAAAGCTGATGACAACACCCCAAAGGACTGAAATAATGGTGTTTGGAGGCTACAGACCCAACACTGATTAGCCCACTTTGTTGTCAAGAAAATTTTTGATAGAATAGTTGGCTACTCAGGGCAGGGCAACAGAAGTAGCTTGCCCCTGGTGCTTTGGGGAGAATTTAATAATATGTAATGCTTATGTGGGAAAAAAAAGGGAAATCTGAAATCAGTGATATAAATTTCTATCTTGTGAAACTACAACTATAAAAAGTAAATCCAAAGCAAACAGAATGCCAAAGTAAGGAAATACTAAAGAGCAGAAATCAATGAAATTGAAAACAAAATTATTAGGGAAAAAAATCACTGAAACAAAAAACTCTTTCTTCCTTTCTTTTTTAGTGACAGGTTCTCACTCTGTCACCCAGGCTGGAGTACAGTGGTTTGATCATGATTCACTGCAGCCTTGAACTCCTGGGCTCAAGCAATCCTCCTTCCTCAGCCTCCTGAGTAGCTAGGACTACAGGTGCATGCCACCATGCCCAGCTAATTTTTTAAAAAAAGATGTGTACAGATGGCATATGTTACCCAGGCTGTCCCCAAACTCCTGGTGTTAAGCTGTCCTCTCACCTCAGTTTCCAAAATGCTGGGATTGCATGCATGCATTACCACATCTGGCCAAAAAGCCATTTCTTTATTAAAAAAAAATCGGTGAAATTGACAAACCCCTGGCCAGACCAATGGAGAGAAGACACAAATTACTGATGTCTTGAATGAAAGGGAGGCTATCACTATAGATGCTATAGACATTAAAGGGATGATTAAGGAATAACATGGACAACTCGATGCTCATAAATATAACAGCTTAGATAAAACAAACAAATTCTCTGAAAGATACAAACTTAGAGAAATCACTTAAGAAGAAAGAGGCAACCTAAAAAGTCATATTTATATTAAAGAAATTGAATTCATAGTTTAAAACCTTCCACAAAATAAAACTTCAAGTCCAGATGATCTCATTAGCAAATTCTCCCAAACATTTAAAGGAGAAATAATACTCCATCACACAAATTCTTCAGAAAATAGAAGAGGTGGAAATTCTTCCAAACTCATTTTATCATCAGTACTAACCTAATTACCAAAATTAGACAGTCATTACAATAAAGAAAAACTACAGACCAGTATTCCTCATGAACATAAATGTAAAAGTTCTCACCAAAATACTAGCAAATTAAATTCAACAATATATTAAAAGGATAATGCATCATGACCAAGTGAGGTTTATCCTGGAAATACAAGGCTGCTTCAACATTCAAAAGTCAGCCAATATAGCATACTAAAGAAAAAAATCACCCAGTCATATCAGTCGATGCAGAAAAAGTATTTGCCAAAATCCAATAACCATTTATGATTTAAAAAAAACTATGCAAACCAGGAATAAAAAGTAATTCCTACATCCTGATAAAGAGCATCTATAAAAATCCTAAAGCTAGTATCATACCTAATGATGAAAGACTGAATGCTTTTCCTCTAGATAGAGAACAAGGTAAAGATGTCTGCTTTCACCACTCCTATGCAATATCATACTTGAAATCATAGCAAGTGCAATAAGGGAAAAGAAAGAAAATGCATACACATTGGAAAAGAAGAACTAAAACTGTCTCTATCAGGAGACAGCATCACTATCAAAGTAAAAAATTCCAACAAAATCTAAAATATATCCAATGAAATCTTACGCGTACTCAGTTTGAGAGTCACAGTGCAAGGTCACAGTGTAAAAGGTCTTCATATAGAAATTAATTGTATTTCTATATATCGGCAATTCATATTTGAAAATTTACATTTTTATTAGCTTTACTAAAGTACAATTGATATACAAAAACTGCACGTTTAATGTATACAATTTGATGAGTTTGAATACATGCATAAACCCATGAAACCATAACCACAATCGAGGTAATAAACATATTTATCACCTCCAAAAGTTTCCTTGTGTTCCACTGTGTCTTTTTAATTAATGTGGTAAAATTATCTAACATGAGATCTATCCTCTTAAAAATTGTAAAGTGCACAAAAGGCACTATGCTGCGCGACAAATCTCTAGAACTTATTCATCTGCATAATTGAAACTTTATACCTACTGAGCAGCAATACCCCTTTTCCTCCTCCTTCCAGCCCTTGGCAACCATCATTCTATTCTCTGCTTCTATGGGTTTGACTATTTCTAATACTTAAAGACCTAAAAAATGGAAATACATACTCTAGTTATGAATTGGAAGACTCACTATCATTAAAATGTCAATTATCTGCAAACTGATCTATGGATACAGCCCCAACAAAATCACAGGTTTTTTTTTTGTAGTTATCAACACATTGATTTTATGATTCATATAGAAAGACATAGGAAATAGAATAAAAATGAAATTTTGGAAAAGAAGAACAAAGTTGGAAAAGTCATACTACCTGCTTGTAAGACTTAATATAAAGCTAAAGTAAACAAACCAGTGTGATGTTGGTGGAGGAACTGACCCATAGATCAACAGGAAAAAAAAATAGGGAACCTATAAATAGACCCACACACATACGAATAATTGATTTTTGACAAAACTTCAATGGCAATTCAATGGGGAAATAGTTTTTTCAACAAATAGTACTTAAACAATCAGACATCCATATGCAAAAAAAGAACTTTGACTTATACCTCAAATCTCATCACAAGTTAGCTCAAAATGGATCATAGACATAAATGAAAAGCATAAAATCATAAAATTCTAAATTAAAACATAGGGGAAAAATCCATTTGGCCTTTGGTTAGGCAAAAAGGTTTTAGATATGCCAAAAGCATGATCCATAAAAGAAAAATATATATCAGCTTTATATAAATTAAAAACATTTCCTTTGCAAAAAATACTATTAAAAGAATAAAAGTATAAGCTATAGACTGGGAGAAATTATTTGTAATCAGATATTTGAAAAAGGAACTGTATTTAGAATACACAAGGCAATCTCAAAACTCAACAACAAGATCAAACAATCCAATTAAGAAAATGGATAAAATATTTGAACAGATACTTCACCAAAGAAGATACATGATGGACCAAAGAGGATATACAGAATATATATACATAAGACAAATAAGCACATGAAAAAATACTTGGCATCATTAGTTGTTTTGGAAATGCACTTTGAAACCATAATGAGACACTACTACACATCTATTAGAACATTAAAAAGTAAAGAAAAGAGGAAAGAACTGACAAACCAAGTGCTGGTGAGGCTGTGGAGCTACTGGAACCCTCATCCAGTGCTGGTGGGAACGCCAAATGGTACTGTCATTTTGTAAGACATTTTGGCAGTATTTTTAATAAAGTTAAATATACACTTCTCATGTGATGCAGCAGTCCTATTCCTAGGTATTCACCCAAGTGAAATGAAAACACATGTTCATACAAAAACTTGTAGTCAATGTTTATAGTAGCTTTATTCATAATTGTCCAATAAAAACTGGAAACAACCCAAACATCCCTTAATTTAGAAATGCAAACTGTGACCTATCCATCCAATGGAATACTTCTCAGTAACAAAAAGAACAAACTCTTGATACACACAACAACATGAATGAATCGCGACTGCATCATCCTGAGTGAAAGAAGCCCATCTGAAAAGGCTACATATTCTGTGATTTCATTCCTATGACATCCTAGAAATGGCAAACCAGTAGGGATGAAGAATAGATCAGTGGTTGCAAGGGATTATATGCGTGGGGAGGAGTTTTCATTACAAAGAGGTAGCCTGAGAGAAGGTTTTTGGGGTAGTGATGGAACTGTTCTGTGTCTCAATTGTGGTAGTGGTTGTATAACTCTGTACATTGTTAAAACTCATCAAACTGGACACCAGAAGAGTGAATTTTTCTGAATGTAAGTGGAAAATAAATTTTAATAAAAACTTGCAAATGAATTAGGCATGGTGGCACATGCCTGTAATCCCAGCTATTTGGGAGGCCAAGGCAGGAGGATCACTTGAGCCCAGTTCAAAAATAGCCTGGGCAACATAGTGAGACTCTCTGTCTCAAAAACAATTATAAATGAAAAGAAATCTGCTTGGCTAATTTTGGATAAAAGTCTGTAGGGGAGCAAAAGTGGATTGAGTAAACCAGTTAGTAGGTTATTCCAATTTCCCATGAGAGATGTAGGGTTATAACAGAGAAAGTTGATCAGAGTGGACAGATTTGAGAGCGATACGGAAGTAGAAAAAACAGTGTGAGGTTGATTGTGTGGCTGAGAAAGTGGGACTAGTCTAGAATTACTCTTAGGTTTCTAAGTTGTTAACCAGAGTCAGTATTGTCATTTACTAAAATAGAGAAGAGAAGAGTAGGGCCAGGTTTGGGAGAAAGATAATATGTTCATTTGGGGACATAGGATATCGTGCGTGGATGTCAAGGTAAAGATGGCCAGCAGTGACTCAGATATCCAAGCTTGGTGCTCAGAAGGAAAATGTCTGCATTAGCGATGAAGATTTAGGAGCCCATTGAATTGGAAGCATTCCATCAACATGTAACACATTCTTTTATTTTGGCCCCTCTGTTGCATTTAACAGTTGTTGTCTACCTCCTTTTTGAAGCTCTCTATTCTCTTGACTTGTGTGCCACTGCACCGTCCTGGTTTGTCTCACATTTTTGTTTTCTGAGACAGGGCCTCACTCTATCACCAAGGCTGGAGTGCAATGGCATGATCTCGGCTCATTGCAGCCTCAACCTCCAGGGCTCAGGTGATCCTCCCACCTCAGCCACCCTGAGTAGCTAGGACTACAAGCGTGCACTATTATGCCTGGCTAATTTTTGTATTTTTGTAGAGATGGGGTTTCAGCCATGGTGCCCAGGCTGGTCTCGGACTCCTGGGCTCAAGCAATCCACCCACCTCAGTCTCCCACAGTGCCAGGATTATAAAGGTAAGCCAACGCACCTAGCTTTCCTCACATTTCTATGTCTTTTTTTTCTACTTTCTTTGTGGACTCCTCTATGTCCATCCAATAAATATTTTTCTAGGACCTACTAGGTGCAAAGTTACATACTAAGTGTTGAGGTAGCAATAGTAAGTAGGAGCCAGTGCCTGCCCTCAGAGTGCACAGCCTAGTGATCTCTTCCCTGGCCTTCCCTTTAAATGTTGGTATCCCCAGGCTTCTGCCTACTGCTCTTCCTGGTTTTTGTACACTGTCCTGTTGGAGCCTAGTCAAATAATTCTCCATGCTTACCCGCAGACTTCTCTTTAGTCTTTGATCAAGTGACTTGTATTTATCCATGGAAGACTTGAACCTATGTTCAAGTGGCAGCCCAAGAAGCAGAATAGATGCATTTTAGCCCTGGCTCTGCCATTCAGTGGTTGTGTGACTTCAGTATGTCCCTTGCTCCCTCTCTGGGCTTTGAGGTCCCATCTATACAAAAAGAGGATAGTATCAGGCAATGTCTTTTTAAGACAGACTGTGATTCTGTTTCCTCAGGCTCTTCTCCAGATTTTTCTTCAGCTTGTTGTTACCCTCAAATTCTGTAAACTTCACGCCACCAATCATATCTCAGAGGTTGAAGGGCACTTACAACTACAAAGTTATGTCCCAGATTTTGGGCCTCTGGCCCAGTGTCTAATCTATTAACCAATGGTCTGTTAACCGGATTATTCTTTAAGGAAGATGTTGAGGCTCCTTCCTTTCTACTACATCGATGAGCGTACCTTGAACCCCTGATGCCAGCCAACCTGAAACATGTCTGCCTCTTCCTGCCTACCTGCCGCCTAAACCCATTCTGTTCCAGAGCTATACAGGTGTACATTGGGAAGGCAGCCCCATTCATCGTCAAGGCTGATATGTCTGCTTCTCCCAGATTACAATCTGTGTCAAAATTAGCTATCCTGCCAAGGGGAAGCTTTTAGCCACCTGGATAGAGATATCTTTGGCCACTTGCTGCTCTGTCCATGTGGTATTTAGCTTTTGTAACATCAGTTTTAATGCTCTACAAGCCATGTCTGCCTTTTCAGTTGGGATCCCAACCAACGAAGAACTCCTCTTTTTTGGGGGGGGGGTGGGGGGATGATTATAAAGATTTATTTGCTATAGCATTTTTTTCCATTTTTAAATTCTTTTTTTTTTATTATTATACTTTAAGTTCTAGGGTACGTGTGCACAATGTGCAGGTTTGTTACATATGTATACATGTGCCATGTTGGTGTGCTGCACCCATTAACTCGTCATTTACATTAGGTATTTCTCCTAATGCTATCCCTCCCCCAGCCTCCCACCCCACGACAGGCCCCAATGTGTGATATTCCCTGCCCTGTGTCCAAGTGTTCTCATTGTTCAATTACCACCTATGAGTGAGAACACGCGGTGTTTGGTTTTCTGTCCTTGCGATAGTTTGCTCAGAATTCCAGAACATTTTCTAACAAAGCCTTAAGATTTCCATTTTTGCAGACATCCAGCTGACTTTGTCCAGGGTTTGAAGTTACCACCTCTAACAGGCTCCGCCCTCAATCCCTGGAGGGTAAAAATAAGGTGATTATTTTCTCATACAGGGATGAAGAAATTGGACTCATCTATTCAAGTGCTTTGGGTTCCCAACTGTGTACCACATTATCAACACTTCTCAAGGGCATCAATTGGAAAGTACCTGCAATGCCGCCCTGTTACAAATGTATTCAGACCTTTCAGTGGAGCAATGCAAGCTAATGAATACATTAACTCCCTCCTCATCAAGTTGTGCTTATTTATTCTGCTGCATTAAGCTCAGACATCAGAGAACAGACTGTCTGAACCTTGTTATCTTCCCAACTGGCAGAAATGCCTCCACCTCCCTCTTTCTGGAGGGTATAGTCCATTCTCCCAGGCTTGATGGTGCCATGAGCAGAAGCAGAGTTGCCATTCATTTGAGGCAGCACTTGCTGAAGTCATAGTACACTCTCATGCAGGTCCCAAGTGAAGACTTCTCAGTTTAATTGAGTTTCAGGACTCATTGGCCTTGGCTGCTGATCAGTCAGCTTTTGCTTTAATTTTTTTTGTTGCCAGAAAACAACCACCACAAAAACCAGTAAATTTCCCTTTGTGCCTTAGCTTCCAGAAAGCTGCCAGCCAAGGTCAATGCCCCATGCAACTCTCTAACACTCTGTCTCCACAGTAGGGAACACGCTCTGCCTTTCTTAGCCTTAATTGCCCCACTGGGCACTGTGTTTTGGCCTCTAGGTGGCCCCAGAGCATCTAAGATGAATGAGAAGAGGCTGAATAATAAATTCATAGGCATTCATAAGGTCTTCAGGAGTCTAGGTCCTACTCAAGTACATTCAAAGCAAGCTTAAAAGGGGTTGTTCCCCAGCTTTCGTGATCTGGCTTCTGTTCACCCTGCAGGCTCATTTTTCTCCAACTTCCCCTTCACTTGCGCCACTTCAGCCACATAAGTCTCGTCTTTTTCCTGTAATACTCCAAGTTCTTTCCTATCCCAGGGCCTTCACTCATGCTGTTCCATTTGCTACCCCACCACCCTCAACCAACATTTGGTAACTCCTACTCCATCCATTAAGAGTAGGAGTTGAATATGATTTAATCAGAGATGATTTAATCTTCTCTGACCTTCCCAAACTGGATGAAGTCCCCCTTCTTATTCTGTTTCATAGAACCCTATACTCTTCTTTGATAGCAACTATCAAAATTTATCATTATTTTTGTAATTTTCTGTTCATTGGATCTCTCCTCTACCAGGCTATAAGCTCTAGGAAGTCAGCAACCATGTTTAGCTTTGTTCTCTGCTGGATTTCTAGTGCCTGGAACATACTAAAGGCTCAATATACACATAGTGAGTGAATGAACAAGTGAATGACTACCCTGGAGGACAGGCAGAAATGTTACTCTTGAAGGTAGACAACTCAAGAGAAACTATTTGAATTTACCACTACATTAGCCAGGCACCTGAGGTGGTCAGGGCTCTTGCAGTTCCATTTCAGTCAGAAGACAGATCATAGGAAACAGTCCCCATTTGAGCTCTGGCACAGAGGCCTGAAATCTAGATTTTTCTTTGAGCTCTTCTACTTACTGGTTTTGTGATCCTAATCAAGCTTTTTGCCTTCTGGGACCTCAGTCTCCTTCTATGACAATACTAATTCTTGTCCTGCTGTGTTAGTCAGGGTTCTCTAGAGGGACTAGAGGGTTCTCTAGTCAGGGTTCTCTCTCTCTCTCTCTCTCTCTCTCTCTCTCTCTCTCTCTATATATATATATATATATATATATATATATATATACACACACACACACACACACACACACACACACACACACACACACACACATATATATACAGGAGTTTATTAAGTATTAACTTCCACGATCACAAGGTTCCACAATAGGCTGTCTGCAAGTTGAAGAGCAAGGGGCGCCACTCTGAGTCCCAAAACTGAAGAACTTGGAGTCCAATATTCGAGGGCTGGAAGCATCTAGCACAGGAGAAAGATGTAGGCTGGGAGAGGCTAGGCCAGTTTCTCCTTTTCATGTTTTTCTGCCTGCATTATATTCGCTGGCAGCTGATTAGATTGTGCCCATCAGATTAAGTGTGGATCTGCCTTCCCCAGCCCACTGACTCAAATGTTAATCTCTTTTGGCAACACCCTCACAGACACATCCAGGATCAATAATTTGTATCCTTCAATCCAATCAAGTTGACACTCAGTATTAACCAAACACCTGCTTACCACACAATACTGATGTAATAAATAAGACAAGATATATCCTGTAGCACTTTGTCAGCAGTGAAGCACTGTACATTTGTGAAGAATGGCTGCCACTATTGATGTCTCACCTCAATTGTCATTGCTATTGCCAGCAAAGGTTTCCTCAAGGCTCCCCCAGATCAAGGCATTGTATAATGCTCTAGGACTCTGGAGTGAGCTGTTTGCTTCTTGTGGAGCTAAAAGAGGTATCCTTTGAGAAAACACATGTATCAGCCCAACTCAGCTGTCTGCAGTAGATTACAGGGTTTTTCTTTCCTGAAAAGTTAAATCAGAGCAGCTCAATAGAAAATGGGACATTTTGAGGCCACAGCTAACTGTTGCAATAGCAGTGTGCTTATAAAGAACCCAGGGACGTCCCAGATGGAGTGACAGCTCACCCTTCATATGCAGAAAGTTTGCAGTGGTCAAATTCCAAGGATGCATCATGTCACAAGAAGAGTAAGTGTTCATTTGCAAAACAGAACAGAGCCTCAAGGAGACATCCAGTCCAGGAAGGGCTATACTCCACCAACCCCCAGAGTAAAGAAGGGTTTGCAACTCAGGTTTAAGGAGGCAAAAGTAAGAGAGCACCTAGTAGTTTTAAAGGAATAAAAGCACCCTTGTCCAAACACAATTCATTTCTAGGGCCTGAGAAGATTTTAGATATGTTAAGAAATACACTGTTTGGGCCGGGTGCCATGGCTCACGCCTGTAATCCCAGCACTTTGGGAGGCCGTGGCGGGTGGATCACCTGAGGTCAGGAGTTCAAGACCAGCCTGGCCAACATGTTGAAACACCATCTCTACTAAAAAAAAAAAAAAAAAAATACAAAAATTAGCCAGGCGTGGTGGCGGGCACCTGTAACCCCAGCTACTCTGGAGGCTGAGGCAGGAAGAATTGCTTGAACCTGGGAGGCGGAAGTTGCAGTGAGCTGAGATCACACCACTGCACTCCAGCCTAGGCGACACAGAGAGACTCCGTCTCAAAAATATATATATATACATATATATATAAACTGTTTGTAACAGCAGTAACTGCTTGGCTTGTAGTGGTAATTAAATATGTGTTGAATGAAAAAGAAATTTCTTTGCAGAATCACAAAGAATGGAACTTCAAAGAAGTAAAAGTTACCCTGATTTTTCAAAAGCAGAAAGAGGAAAATTTCAGAAACTAAAGACTGCATAATTTTGAAGGCTGGTTCGACATCTGTTCCCCCCCAAAATTGCTTTCAGACTGGAGGAACATCTTTTAATGATATGCACCACAGGACTCAGCATCTGACACTGCTGTCACTATTATACCATAGGTGAAGACATATGCACCAGCCAGGTTAAATTTAAAGATTCTCTGCCTGGCCTCGTGGAAATAGACTTATTCTTCTCCAGGGAGATGTCCAAGTATGAAGACAGGTCTGGACAGTTCAAGCAGAGTGGCTGGGTAAAGATCCAGGGAGTAAAGTGCCTGTGAATAATGGAAGAAAACATTCAAATAAGCAGAGCAGAAGGCAAGAGCACAGCCAAGGCGAGCAGGTGAGAGTATGCAGGATGCTTTGGAGGATAAGAGAGAAGGCCTGCTGGGCAAAAATGAAGAGTTTGTTTTGAGAAGAAGACTACAAGATGATAACATTGGTAGGACAGTATGCAGGGGCCAGATTAGGACAACCCAGAAAGCCTGGCTAAGAAGTTTGTGTTTTATGATTCTGGAAATGTGCAACGATTCATTGACCTATTCATTCACATAGTCAGTATACAATTATAGAGACCCTACTTTATGCCAGATCCTGGACCTGTTCCTGGCTAGGCATGCAGAGGTAAGGAAGATGGGATCCCTGCTTTCAAGATGCTCACTGTCTTGTAAGGCAATCCAGCTCCTCAATAAACATCTGATGACAAGAATGTGCCCAGAGAGCAGGCAGGAGGGTGTGTTAGGAGATTCACTGTGCAGTTGCTGGGGTTGGGCTTGAGGGGTGAGAATGCGTTCAGATGTGTTCAGGTCAGCGCTTCCAAAGTGCCCTCCCATGGGACAGGACTTGCTGTGTGAATGTGTACCCCAGGACAACAGGGAGAATTTTTCATAAGGAAAAGGTGTTACAAACATTTTCCTAGCAGATTTTAAATTTCTTACTTTCTAGATAATAAATGTTCATTGTTTTTAAAACAGCAATGATTAAACAGATAGTAGCTGGAATTCTTTTATACGCATTTACTTGGAACAACAAGAAGTTGCACCTTACATCATTCTCTCCTCAGGTTGTTTCAAGTTATGCCAGTGGGAGCCTTTTGGGGTAGGGCAGATCCCACCTTAGAAAATACACAGGGCAGCAGCAGAAGCAATAAGAATGGAAGCAAAAAACAGATGGTCTAGATAAAGACAGAAGGAAAGGGAACCAAATTGGAACAGGAATCAAGCTGACCAGAACAAGGCTGTGGCTCTCCTAGCATATGTCTCCATGACACACACGGGAAAAGAGGGTACAGAGACCTGGACAAGTCCAGAGAGCACCCGGCACAAGAAAGTGGGCTCATTTTAAATGGAAGGGATTCATGTGGGTATCAAAAAGAATGCCAGACTGGAGAGACAATTGACAGAAAGGCAACACGAAGAGCTCTGTGAGCCCTCTTCCTAGTGAAATAAATGGTGAATATTACTAAGGAACACAACAATTTAAAGTCTCGGGAAATTCAGAGAGTATTCAACAAATGGAGAAACATTTATTCCAAAAAATGTACTAAATATCAGTACGAGCAGCAACCAGCTCCCTCACCTGCCCCCCAGCTTAGCGTGACAGCAGCTCCACTCCTTCCAGCCATAGCTCAAAACAGACAGATCCTTATACAGCCAGTTTCCTGACTAAGGTTCTCCCCCCAACCCCAGTGGCAGACTGCCAGCATTTCTCATCCCCTCACCCTGCTCCACATTGCAGAAGCTTTGCTCCAGGAAAGAGTATCTGAGAAATCTAAGTCTCTCATTATCAGAGGAGAGGAGGAGGCGGGGAGAGGAAGGGAGAGAGGGAGAAACGGAGAGAGGTAGGGAGAGAGAAAGTATTCAAAGAAGCAGGTTCTAAGAAAAGATCAGTAAAAATGACAAACGTTTATCTAGGTAGACAAAGAAAAAAATGTGAGAAGACTCAAATTACTAAAATCATGAATGAAAGAAGGGACATCACTGCCCATTGTAAAGAAATAAAAAGGATAATAAAGGAATACTATGAATAATCATATACCAACGAATTAGATAATCAATTAGATAACCAAGAGGAGATAGAAAAATTCTTAGAAAGACACAAAATACCAAAACTGATAGGAAATCTAAAAAAGCATATAAGAAGTAAAGGGACTGAAGTTAATAATTCAAATAATCTCCCACAATGAATAGGCTAGGTCCACGTGACTTCATGACTGAATTCTACCAAATGTTTAAAGGAGAATTAACACCAATCCTTCTAAAACTTCCAAAAACTAGAAGAGGAAAGAACACTTCCCAACACATTCTATGAAGCCAGTATTACCCTGATACCAAAACCAGACAAAATCATCACGAGAAAAATAAAACTATACATCAAAATTCCTGGCCGGGCACGATGGCTCACGCTTGTAATCCCAGCACTTTGGGAGGCCGAGGCGGGCAGATCACGAGGTCAGGAGATCGAGACCACGGTGAAACCCCGTCTCTACTAAAAATACAAAAAATTAGTCGGGCGTGGTGGTGGGCGCCTGTAGTCCCAGCTACTCGGGAGGCTGAGGCAGGAGAATGGTGTGAACCCGGGAGGCGGAGCTTGCAGTGAGCCGAGTTCGCGCCACTGCACTCCAGCCTGGGCGACAGAGCGAGACTTCTGTCTCAAAAAAAAAAAAAGAAAAATTCCTAATGAATATTGACACAAAAATCCTCAACAAAATGATAGCAAACCAAATCTGCCAACATATTAAAAGGGTTATATAACATGACAAGTGGGATTTAGTCCGGAATGCAATGATTATATATATATGGATGTGTGTGTGTGTGTGTGTGTGTGTGTGTATGTATTGTCTACACTACCCTGATTTTACCTGTACAGTATTTTACAGACTTTATTTTAGTCAATTATTATGAAAAACACTGTGATTTAGGAGCCAAATAACCACAGCTGACCTGGGACCAAATTCTGCTTCCAGTTGCCTGTTTTTGTAAGGTTTTAGTGGGACACATGGAACATAGCCACACTTGATATTTACATATTGTTTATGAATGCTTTTGTGCTTTGATGGTAGAGTTGAGTAGTTGTGAAAGAGACGATTTAATGTAGCTTGCAAAGTTTAAAATATTTACTACCTGGCCCTTTACAGAAAATATTTGGCTGGGCACGGTGGCTCACGCCTGTAATCCCAGCACTTTAGGAGGCCGAGGCAGGCAGATCACGAGGTCGGGAGATCGAGACCATCACCAACACGGTGAAACCCCGTATCTACTAAAAATACAAAAAAATTAGCTGGGCGTAGTCCCAGCTACTCGGGAGGCTGAGGAAGGAGAATGGCGTGAACCCGGGAGGCGGAGCTTGCAGTGAGCTGAGATTGCACCACTGCACTCCACCCTGGGTGACAGAGTGAGACTCTATCTCAAAAAAAAAAAAAAAAGAAAAAGAAAAAGAAAATATTTGCCAAGCTGATATTTTCCAGATGAGAAAATTAAATATCCAAGTTCAATATCTTGCCCAACTTCATACTACTATGAATGTGGTAGGGTTGAGAAATGGATGCAAGTCACCTGGTTTTAAGGCCAGTGCTTATAACATATATCATACTACCTCATTATCTGATAGGACTGTTATCATCCCATCACTCCCAACAATGGTCCTCAGGCTTTAATATTTTTTTTCCAAGATATTGGCATTTTTTCACTTTTTAAATGATAAAAATATTAAAAGGTATCTATTTACCTCTGAATACTTTAGATACATTTCATAGACTTGATATTCACTGTATTGCTTTTCATTATTTTATAGTCTATAATATTTCATTTATTGCCTCTTTGATCTGTTGTTTGTGAGTTTTTACTTCTTCAATTTTGAGGTGGTTGCAATTTTTTTTTAATTAAAATATGTTAGGTAACATTTTATTTTCCAGTATGAATAGTTTTCCATGCATGCAGATTAAAGAATACTTTTCATATTATATTGTAAACCAAAAAGTATCTGAGACAGGTCTCAATCAATTTAGAAGTTTATTTTGCAAAGGTTAAGGACCCACCTGGGTGATATGTCTATGCCTTTCTCCAAGTATTATTTTGAGGGCTTCAATATTTAATGGGGAAAAGCAGGCTGGAGGGGAAAGAGGTAGGGTATGGTCACATTACTGAATCCACATATTGCAAGAGAAAAGGAGCGGTTAGGGGAAGGGTCAACTATGTATTCATCTCATGCTCTGCAAATCAGCACTTTACATAAGATAAAGTGAACCTAGAGTAGCTACCTGTGGAGATACTAAACCTTTTATCTGTAGCTATTTGCTTAGGAACAAAAAGAAAGGCAGCTTCTTGCATTACTCAGCTTTCAGCTTAATTTTTTCCCTTTTGGCATAGTGAATTGGGGTCCCAAGTTTTTATTTTCTTTTTATATTTCTCTCCCGTTTTCTTCTTAAAATCTTTCAGACAGAGCATTTTAGAAGAAAATGAGTCTGTGGTCTTGGGTTTTGTCTCATCTCTTGTGGCTAGGACAGTTTATTTTTAGACAAATAGGTCCCATGTTGTTAGGAAAGCTCATTTTTGGCAGATGATGAAGTCTCAAGTCCTACAAAGAAAAAATGAGGGGAGGAAAAGATAAGGGAAGCAACAATCAAATGAAAAAGAACAATCCTAGAAAATGACTGTAAGCCATATTGCTCTGAAATCCATACATCAGTAGGCAGGTATGAAAGTGGTTTATATACATAAATAGGTTATTGTTATTTTCATCTGAAGTTTAAGTTGTCTAGCTTCAGTTTACAGGGACTTAGGAAAAGCACAGCTTAATTTTTAGTGATTTCAAATCAGGAGTTTGGCTCTGTGTCTCCACCCAAATGTCTCCTAGAGTCTCTAGGGAGAGGGTGAGTCTTATGCACAATGGTGAAGAAGAACATTTCTCTTGGCCACAAATTGTCAAAGAAGCTTTGGATTAATCCCATCTGCTGATGCTGCTAACCTCCCTAGTGTTGTTGATTGAGCTCCCATTTAATCCTAGGGAGGAATGGGCTGCCTTCTGTTGTTAGATTGGGGGTTGGGAAACATCATGTCTAGATGACCTCTTTATTATATGTCATTATCCTTATATTGACATATTCCTATATTATATTAATTATATTAGTATAATCTTCCCTTAATTTCATTAGATTTTGTATATTAACGCAGTCACTTCAGCCTGTGCGTAACTCTATCATCCCTTTCTTCCAGGGACAAAAACCTGAATGAGAGGTCCTGTACTTAGGGAGGTAAATGAACTGAAATTGATCACACAGTGTCTCCTCCAAGAAGTTGGAAGCTTGTTATAATTGTTCATGAAAAATAATTCTATGAGTGTTTCCCCTTAAGGTAAGCTCTATTTCTTCAGAAGACCTCAGGAGAAGAAAGGGAAGTAGGATGTTAACAGAAAACAATAAAATAAGATAAGAAAATTATCTGGTGGATGAGGGCACATTTTGAAAAGAGCTTTTCACATAAGGTGGGCATGACTCTGGTTAAGCCAAGCTCCTTCCTCTATGCATTCATCAGTTTGAGGTTGTGATTTTCTTCATGCAAACACCCAGCACAACTTGGAGCATGTATAAATCTGCCTCATCCCCCTAACACTGTTAAAACTCAAGCCAGAGTATTATACCTGTTGAGATAAGCAGAGTTGAAACAAGGATAGGATACCCAGAAGAGCAAGTCTATTCAAGGAAGTCCCTCCCCTCCCCTCCTCTCCCCTCTCTTTTCTTTTCTTTCTCTTTCTTTCTCTTTCTCTCTTTCTTTCTTTCTTTCTTTCTTTCTTTCTTTCTTTGTCTTCTTTCACTCTTTCGTTCTTTCTCTCTTTCTCTCATCTTTCTTTCACAGGGTCTTGCTCTGTCACCCAGGCTGGAGTGCAGTGGCATGTTCATGGCTCACTGCAGCCTCGACTTCCTGAGTTCAAGTGATCCTCCCACCTCAGTGTCCCAAGTAGCTGGCACTACAGGCACGCACTACTATGCCCAACTAATTTATTTTGTGGAGATGGGTCTTGCTATGTTGTCAAGGCTGGTCTTGAACTCCTTGACTCAAGCAATCCTCCTGCCTCAGCCTCCCAAAGTGCTGGAATTACAGGCATGAGCCACCATGTACAGCCCTTCACTGAAGTCTTCATAGTCTGAAGGCGGTGGTTTCAGACTGGAGAATAGAAAACTGAGGAGAGCTAAATGGACACTAGAAAAGGTACGTGGAATAAAAAAGTTTCTTGGTAGTAAGCCAAGAAGTTAATGGTTTTCAAAATGCTTAGAGGATTTGTAGGTGGGAACTGGATGATTGACATCTCCACAGACACTTAAATATGGCCATGACATATTAGCATAAATTTTTACCATGAATAGATTGTAGGTAAGACATGCAACAACTAGATAATGGTTAAAGGTGGAAGAAAACAGAATGTACCACTGAATGGGTTGGCAGTAGAGAAAGGCTTTGGAAGACACACCCTATCCTTGCCATGTGACTCACCAGAACTGACATGAGAAGATGAGGAGGGTGCTAGGTCAGTTTGGGAAAGTTTTTAGGAGTGCTAAAGAAATGCCCCTTTTTTGTTTCAACCAGCCTGGCCTCCTCATAAGACTCCCCACTCCTCCCCTTGTCCCCTCCTCTTCCCCATGCCTGGCCCCTCCCCCTACTCTCTACTTCCCTATGACAATGTCCTGATGGGGTTTTGTGATGTCTAAGCCCCTCCCTGCAGGCCTACCATTGGCTGGGTAATGGCTTGCTGGCCAATCAAAGCTTAGGGGTGTGGCTCATCATTGTCCTGGAAGGGTTATATATAGGGAGGCCAGGTGACCCAGAGAAGACAGTTGGGAGATGCTGATGTGGTGAAGATGGCCAGTAAAGCACAAGCCTCCAACCCAGTTGTCGAGGGACAACCACCCACAACACCAAAGAGGCGAAGAAGAGGAAGGCCCCCTCTCAACCAAGATTCAGAAGCCCTCTGAAGGTGAGTGGCGCACCCAGGCTCCTCCTTGTCTTCCCCTTGATTCCTCCCTGCCTTCCCCTCTACTCCTCCCTCCCAAGACGCCTTACCCTGTCCTCGCCTGGCACAACCCCCACCTCAGCCTGTACCCTTCTCATGAAGCCCCTGTTCCCACCCCTCCCCCATCCTCTTCCCCCAAACCAATGCCCTTCTGTGATCTCCCTGTTGTCCTTCCAGATTCCCAAGACAACCCGGAAGGGAAAAGAGAGTCTTTGAGGGAGTTCCAGGAAAAAAGCCACTCCCGAAAGACCGCCGCTTCAAGAAAACCTGAGGAAGGGAGAGGGCCAACGCTATCCAGCCACTCTGACCAGCTGAACGAGGAACTCAATCAAAAGGAGCCACAGCAGGACCAGGAAAGTGAGGAGACTTCCACCATCTCCAGCGTCTCCCTGGACAGCCAGTAATTTCAGGGCAAGTTCAAAGGACTAGATCTATCTGAGAGGTCTCCATAGGTCTAACCCCAGAGAAATAGCCAAAAGGGTCTATGGTACATTTTACACACAACAGGGTACCCCTCATGGTGATGAAAATAAAATGAACCTGTTGTAAAATGATTTGAGTGTCTGCATGTTCTAGGATGGTGGGGAGGGAAGGAGGGAGGAGGTGGTGTGTGGCAAGCGAGGGAGGTGGGTGTTGCGGGATTGGGGTCAGACTGACAGGTCCACAGTTAATCAGACAAGGAGGATAAGGATTGAGTCGGGACTGAGCACTGGAGGCAAATTTCCACTTAAGAGGCTGGCTCTGCTTCTTGCGAGGTTGCTTTCAGAAGGCCAAGGGTCAGCTCAGCACTCCTGGGCTACATGCTGTGACCCTGGGGGACTGGGACCAGGCTTGCAACTTTGTTCTCTGGCCCCTTGAGGTTAAGCACCCGCTGTGATGGAGGGGCCAGAGTGTTTGTGTTGTGTCCATGGCAACAACACTGTGATGGGGGCTGCTGGCAAAAGTGCTCCAGCAGGGCAGCAGAGGCCCCCGTGTGTGAGCATATGCAGGGTGGCAGAGGTCCCCATGTACGTGTGTAGGCGGGACAGTGTGGGAGGCTGCAGGTGACTGCGTGGTGGTGAGGCAAGGCTGCAGGTGCAAGGTGGTGGGGGTCCGTCTGCAAAAGTTCTCTCACAGTTGGGCAGGATCTGCCAGCAAAAGAACTATGGCAGTGGCCGCTGGGAAGCTGAGGCTGCGCTGCAAACGGCTGTGGCTAGGCAGGGACCTTGGTAGATGTCGGCAGACAGGGGGCACTCAGATCATACTGGCCCCATCCCACGGCTAAGACAGCCTTGCTCTGTCCAGGTCCAGCAGCTAACAAAGGCTAGAGCCACCTAGAGGAGTATGGAGAGTCTTGAGGAGTGGGCGTCCACGGCCATGCTCCACTGCAGCCGCTCCTGCGCCAAACCCTCTGGGCTCCATGCAGGCTAGAGTTGTGTCTCTGCCAATTCTCCAGGAAGTTCTCCCTGCCAGTTCAGATGTCCATGGTGGTTGTGGGGTCTCCTGCAGCTAGAATCTCAGAGGTCCGTGGCAAAATTGGGCTACTCCATGCCCATTTCACTCACCCCTTCCCTAAGAGTTGCTCAGGGGCAGGAACTAAATACTGCTTCTTGGCAACCCTGTGCAGGGTTCCCAGCTTCCTTCTCTTTCAGCCGGGGGTCTGCGTCTTTCCTCTGTCCACTCTCAATGCCTTCTTTCTGAAGATCTGTTTGGAGTGTGCTGGTCTACTTGACGGTCTGATCTCTCTCAGTGAGAGAAACTCTTTCTGGCTGCATCTAGTTGGCCATCTTGGCTCTCCCCCTCTCCCTTCATATTTTGAATGTCCAAGATATTATTCTTGGTTTCTAAATGCCCCTTTTTATGCCCTCCTTGTCCTAAATTAGACCTGAATATTGTCTTGTGTCTTTGATGACATCATTTGTAGATTTCTTTGAAGTTTTATTTTGTTCCCTGCTGTGTCTCTGTTTCATTCAACTTTCCTGTTTTTGTTGGTTACTATGTTTACTTTTGGTCTTGTGTTTCATGTAAGCAACTTTCCTTAAATATCTCATAATTCTTGGCCCACTGTCCATGAAATTGCAGTGGAATTGGTGGATCGTATAGTTGCTCTATTTTTAGTATTTTGAGGAGCCTCCAAACTGTTCTCCTTAGTGATTGTACTAACTTACATTCCCACCAACAGTGTATGAGGGTTTTCTTTGCTCTGTATCTGCACCAGCATTTGTTGTTGCCTGTCTTCTGGATAAGCCATTTTAGCTGGGGTGAGAAGATATCTCATTATAGTTCTGATTTGCATTTCTCTGATGATCAATGACGTTGAGCACCTTTTCATGTGCCTGTTTGCCATTTGTGTGTCTTCTTTTGAGAAATGTTTATTAAAATATTTTGTCCATTTTCTGTTGGATTATGAGATAATTTTCCTATAGAGTTGTCTGAGCTCCTTATCTATTCTGATTATTAATCCCTCGTCCTCAGAGGGGTAGTTTGCAAATATTTTCTCCCATTCTGCGGGTTGTATCTTCATTTTGTTGATTGTTTCCTTTGCTGTGCAAAATCTTTTTAACTCGATGTGATCTCATTTGTTCACTTTGGTTTTGGTTGCCAGTGCTTGTGGGGTATTACTAGACATTTAACTTTTAAACTTTTGTTCTTACATTTCTGTTCCAGACCTGTTGTTCTATAAAATATTTGGCTAATAGTAATAAAAGTATCTGGCTTCCTGTATAAAGTGATTCTAATGTATTGGCTTGACCAAAGTTTAAAATATCCCAGCATAGGGATTTCTAATGTTTAAAAAACCCTGCAAGGCAGTATAGTGCAATGAGAAGAGTACTAGGTTGTGAATCAGTAGACATGTAGCTTAGTTTTAGCAAAAAATCCCTGTGTCACCTGGGGCATGTCTCATGCCCTCTTTGCTCCTGAAGTCCCTTCTGTAAAAGGAGTTGAAAGTAGATGCTTACCAAGATACCTCAGTGCTCAGAGACATTCAGAATTCTATTAATAGAAATACTTTTATATGTGTTAGGTTACTGGCTATTTGATATCAGGTAGTCTGGGACTAAAATGTAAAACCAAAGTTACATTGTAAGTAAATATGGCCCCTTTTAAAGTTAAGTTATATTTAAAACTTGGTCAGACAATAACTTAAACTGAAGAATTTAGTCGTTGTGAAAAGTAATTTTTAAAGTAGAAAAGTGCCACGTTTTACTATCCTCTGGCACAATCAGAAAAATGATACCTAGAAATGGAAATTGATTTGTTTAAAATTGAGATAAATACAAAATTGTCGGAGCCATGGAGAGACCCAGCATCCAAATAATAAATCCAGTACTTTAGAATATACCAATTAGACTGTATTCGGAGCTCTACACTCTCTAGTTATAGAAATAAAATAATCTCCACGTCCACCTTTGGATATATCAATACATGTGTTAAAATTGATGAAGCTATGAAATTGAAAAGTCTGAGGTCTTTTTGGTCTCTAATCTTATTTTTGTGGTCATTTACAGACTCTCAAAGTTAGATTTTGATTCCGTTCTGTTTCTTCTATTTCAGCTATTTTACTAGCTGCAAAGAAGCTTCTTCATAGGAAGGCTAATGTAATTCTTACAGATTGCTAAAAATGAAGAATTCAACGTTACTTTTGAACTTCCGTGTCTGATTGATTCTGAGGAAAATATTAGGAGTCAAGTGAAGGTGATATTTTTCAAGAGAGTGATTATGACAAATTTAATACAGTATTAAAATATCAGGGAAAAGGGAACCTTCTGTCTTTTTTTTAAGTAGTAGATCCTAAATTCATTTCATAACAAAGAAATGCGCTGACTTGATCAGAAATGTTAATATAAAAAGTTGTAGAATTTACTAAATGGTGTTTGTTTTCTCCAGTCTTCATAGTCAAACTCTAAATTATCCATATGGATAACTTCTGTAATCAATCAACTTATTCCGCAAAAATCATTTTTAAAGGGTTTGTGTTGGAATATCTTATCTTCAGATTCTATAAATATCATAGTTCCTAACACAGGTATGGTCAACTAGGTGGTTATTTTGAATCCAGATAAAAGGAGAGTTAAATCCTTAAAATGTAAAAATAAACTGTAAGATGGGCATAGTAATATCACTGTTATTTCTGGGTGAGTCAATATCATTTTCTTACTATATCATGCTCATCATATGTAAAAGTGTCTCTCCTATATCTAATCCGAGGTCTCCCAGACTGTATTTCTGGTTTATTAGCAGGCATGAGACAATGGTGTTTTTTGTATCATAATAATGTCTGAAAGATTCCACATGAAAATATAACCCAATATGGTATTTTTAAGTGAAGTAGGATTCTGACCTAATGTCTTATTTTACAGATTTGGAAATTTGAAGTCCAAAGAAATTTAGAGACCAGCGTGAGTTTCCATAGTAATTAGTAACTAATCTGTGACTCTTTCCTCCCAAGCTAGGATCTGTTCTACTGCATATCAAAAATAAGAACTTTTCAGATAAAATTACAAATATCTCCAGGTTTTTCTTGACAATTTCTTTTTCAATTCTACTCTCTTTTCTATCAAAAACTATGCTGGACTGCATCTTTTCCACAAAAACTTTGTAGATAGTTAGCTCACAGGGGCTTGTACCATGAATTAAATCCGGTGCCTAATGGAAATGATTGGCTATAGAAGGCACTTAATTGTTTTTTTGTTGTTGTTGTTTTGTTTTTTGAGATGGAGTCTCGCTCTGTTGCCAGGGTGGAGTGTAGTGGTGCTATCTCAGCTCACTGCAACCTCCGCCTCCCGGGTTCAAGTGATTCTCCTGCCTCAGCCTCCTGAGTAGCTGGGACTACAGGCTCATGCCACCATGCCCAGCTAATTTTTGTATCTTTTGTAGAGACAGGGTTTCACCATGTTGGCTAGTATGATCTCAATCTCTTGACCTGGTGATCCACCCACCGCCGCATCCCAAAGTGCTGGGATTACAGGCGTGAGCCACTGTGCCCGGCCAATTTTTTTTTTAATATAGCAAATATATTGTTTTTTAATATAGCAAACAAACAGGTAATTGTCATTATTTTCAAATAATGCATGACAGCTGAGAGAAATCACCTGCTTTTTAATTTGAAAAGTAATTTTTTTAGCCATTTTCAGTTAAACAATTTGGCAATGTGTATTAAGGACCATAAGACTTTTCTTGACTTAATAATTCCATTTTTTGACTCTAAGGAAATAGTATTATGCATACCATTTCTTTGACACTATTCTAAAGCAATAGTTTTATGCACAAAGATGGTTAACACATCATCCTTAATCATAAAAAGAACGTAGGGAGTGAATATACAAGGTTTACCTATTCCATTCACATGGCTGGACAAACAGCACCTACTGCCTGTGATTCAGCATTAATTTGATGTATTTAGGGCCTTTTGAGCATTCATTTCCATTCTCATCTCCTGTGGAACAACTCAAAAAGGACCCTTGCCCTTTTGTTCATTTCAAAATAGATTGATCTGCGTTTGAGAGAAGATGCAGAAACAACTTAAATGTACAATAGTAGAGCTATTTTAACATAAATTATTGAATCTCCACACAACTTGTTATTATGCAGCCATTAAAATCAGGTTGTATAATTTTATTTAATAATATGAAGAAGAACTTTATTATAATGGTAACTTCTAAAATCAGAAGATAAAATTGTATGTACGATATGGCCTCAATCATGTAAAACAAATATAAATAAAAGGGAATATGCCAAGATAGTATTGACGATTACCTCTGCTTAATGAGATTTTTTTGAAACTTGTTTTTCAAACTTTTTGTTTTTCTACAATAAGTATGTATTGCTCTTATAATCATAAAAAGAGACAAGATGATGTATGTTCAATTGTTCCAAAATGATTAGAATAAAGTACTTGAAAAATAATAGTGAAACAGACTGTTTTCTTTCTCATGCATTATTTATAAGGAAAATAATTCCTATCAGTCTCTGTTTTCAAAAAGCACAATGTGTACTCTTCACACCATTGCCAATACAATGCTGACGTAATATTGGTAAAAAGCACAAATGATACCTCCAGAGACCTCTCTGTTGATTAACTGGTCCTTCGAAATTGCTAAGTTCTAATGAAAGGGTCACTTAGTCTCCAACAAACATAACATTTTGTCCATGTCCTCTAATTTCACACAATGACAGTGTAATTTAAATATATATGGTTTTGAAATTTTCAATCTAGTTTGAAGAAGTACTATGTAAATATTTTGAATATTCAATTTAAAGTTCAACATAATGGAGTAGCACCTATTTAACAACTATACTGTTCCACATGGGGACAAAGACAACTTTCCGAAGTTTTAATTGGTAGGGACCATTTTGTACAGAGATATTACCTTCCTTTGAATAGTCTTTGTATTTATGTGGTACTGGCTGCCTTAATAGCTCACGAATCAGCCGATAGATCATCTGTTCCTATTTGTTAGATACTTCTCTCAGATGCAGATTAATCTATTTTGAAATGAACAAAGGGGCAAGGGTCCCTTTTGAGTTGTTCCATAGGAGATAAGAATGGAAATGAATGCTCAAAAGGCTCTTCATACATCAAGTTGCTGCTGAATCATAGGCAGTAGGTGCTGTCTGTCCAGCCATGTGGATGGAGGTAGGTAATTCAACCTTACATATTCTCTCTCTACATTCTTTTTGTGATTAAGGAGATGCATTTCCAAAATGGTAGGTTGACAGTGTCTGGGTAGCAATAACTAGCAGAGAAATAGTACACACATCCTACTTCCTGCACCTCATTCTTATAGAAGGCACCAACTAATCATCAGGCTTGATCTAGCCCTGTTCTGGCCCTTCCATTCAGTAAGTTGTTGTTTTAGCATCTCTTTGCCCTCAGCTACCCAGTCTTTATCTTCATGCATCATCTCCTCCCTCTGTGTTCTATTCCAACCTTGTAACTCCTCATATAACATCTTTCTTTCTCATTTCCCAGGACCAGACCCTTCCAGGTCTCTGATTTACTTCTGCTTTCATTCCTTGGAAACTGGTGTTGATTTACCTATGACCCTGACCTCTAGCCCCTTCCCCCTCACCCTACACACGGCTCTTGTGTAGAGGCTCCCTACAGAGCTTTAGACAGAGCTGGCTTCAAACATCTGCTGAAATTAACCCTTCACATTTTACCATTTACCAGAGCTAAGACTAGTTCAAATAAACAAATAATTAGAGTTGAAAGAGATATGTGGATGTTCAACAACAAACCAACATGCAACATTATCCAGAGGGGCTATCTAAATTAGAGCTTATTTTACCACATCAGTAGGGAAGTATATAATTTGAAAACATTCAGAGGGAATCATTTTCTACTCTTGTGCCTGACGCTAAACATTATCCAGTCCCCCAGTCCAATGTTGCATATTAACCCATTTTCAAGTATTAGGTGTGAATAAATACTGCATTCAGGTAAGTGAAGGACACAAAACTCCATTTCCTGTAAGGCAAAGTTGATTGCATCCTATTCAATGTAAAGCCAGGAGGTTTTAGGAAATCGGGCTCAAACATTTTGTTAAGTCTTGAACATTTTTGTTAAGGCACTGTTTTTAGGGCCCTATTGCTTGCATGCACAGGGCAGCTTGTAGCTTTTGAGATGCATGTTAATATCGGATATTCTCTCTCTGGTAGATTATTAAGTGATTTATTACTGGAGGGGTTCAGAAATACTGAAAGAACATCACTGAGAGTTTCCTCTTCTCACAACATGGATGTGGGGCTTGAGGAGTCAGCAAATTACTCAGCAGACAGTGAATATTAGCCAGTTCATTAACTATTTTCTCCTAGCCCCAAGAGCCACGAAGCTAATCCCTTGTTTGCCAGGCAGGGTGGGCCTTGCTCTCTGGTTCTTAGTGATTGAGATAACTAAAATTTGTTTGTGTTTTCCAGCCAGAAGTCATTCCACTTAATGCTTTCAATATGGAAACACTCTGGTTAAGGCACTGAGCAGAATTTAAAGTAATTGTCGAGTCTTCAAAATTAAAGTATAAACAAAAAAGCAATTTTAAGAATTTGTAAATCCTTCTTCCTGGTTCTGAAGGCTTTCCCTGAGGCTGACATTAGGCAGGGCTTGGTCATTTTCCTTCAGGGGAGAACCACTAAGTCAAGCTCCCCGGGAGATTTTTTTGTTTTGTTTTGGCTTGACCAGCCGTGAGTTTCCTCCCTGGTCAAACATGACAGATTCTTAATTTTAAAATTCTGAAGTAATGATAAATCAGGCTAAGAAAGGCTGAAGTTTCACATTTGGGAGCTAGCAAGGTAATCTTTGCTAAGTAATGTGTGTGAATAAGTTTAAGGAGGTGAGGTAGGCAAGAAACAGGTGAACCAAGGAGACCTGGTCCTAAGGTAAATTTACCTCATCCATTTCAGGTGAGTAGCATCCTGTTTGCATATCATTCGCATCTCTTCCTTGGCACAGACTTCTGGTAAGTGTTTTCCCATCTTCATATGTGTTGGTAAATGAAATAACAAAAGTATTTCATTCGAATGGAAATAACACAAATGCCTGTCTTTTGAAATACTCTTTAAACTTAATTTCTGAATGTTTTAGAACAACTCTTAGCCTCTTCTAGGATTTCTGAGACTTGACTACATTTTTGAACAACTGATTATAGGTTTTCCAGAATTTTAGGGAGTTAATATGTACATCAATTGCCTAGAGTTTATTTGCAGATTATACTGCAGCATTATCGAGCAATCCATCCACATTTACTGATATTCTCACAGCATGCCCAACAGTAGGATAGCATTGAAAAATAGCAGGCCTTATCCCCATTTCTTGCAAAACAAAATTACAATCTGGCTAGAGAAGTAAGTCTTAGAGAATGTTTATAACCACAAATAGATAATTCAATACAAAAAAGATATCCAACACAGGATTGATATTAAAGGTAGCTAGAGAAGGGCAAAAATCAGGGCTAGGCAAAATGAGTCAGAGTTTAATTAAGGAGGTGAAGCTTGAGTGGGATTTAAATGAAGCTGAGATATAGACACAGAAAGAACACAGTTATATCAATAATCTGAAAACAATGATGCACCCTCCTTTTCACAAAAGCTTCTTTCTATGATTGCACCACTGCATTCCAGCCTGGGAAACAGAATCAGACCCCATTTTAAAAATAAATAAATAGGCCAGGAGCAGTGGCTCACGCCTGTAATCCCAGCACTTTGGGAGGCCAAGGTGGGCTGATCACCTGAGGTCTGGAGTTTGAGACCAGCCTGGCCAACATGGGGAAACGCTGTCTTTACTAAAAATACAAAAATTAGCCAGGTGTGGTGGCGGTTGACTGTAATCCCAGCTGCTTGGGAGGATAAGGCAGAAGAATCACTTGAACTCAGGAGGTGGAGGAGGTTGCAGTGAGCCGAGATCGTGCCATTGCACTCCAGCCTGGGCAACAAGAACGAAACTGTCTCAATAATAATAATAATACTATACAATAAAAAATAAATAAAGCTTCTTCTGACTCGAAACTGGAAGGTAGAAAAAAAGATAGTTAAAGAATGGTGCAGTTTGGCCAGGTGCAGTGACTTGCCCCTGTAATCTCAGCACTCTCGGAGGCCGAGGCTGGCAGATCGCTTGAGCCCAGGAGTTTGAGACCAGCCTGGGCAACATGACGAAACCCCATCTCTACAAAGAATACAAAAAGTAGTCCGGCGTGGTGGCACATGCCTGTAATCCCAGCTACTTGGGAGGCTGAGGTGGGAGGATCACCTGAGCCTAGGAGGTCAAGGCTGCAGTGAGCCATGATTATGCCATTGCATACCAGCCTGTGCAACAGAGTGAGAGCCTCTCTCAACAACAACAAAAAAAAAAAAAAGAAAAAGAAAAGAAGAAAAAACAATGGTGCATTTCATTTGATTAACGTGTAAACACCAACTTCCCCAGTCCAAACCACGAACTTCTTTCATCACATAGCTCTGAAATGTTGCTGCTGAAATATTTCTGATGAAATGCTGCTAATAAAATATATTGTTTTGTATATAGTAGATATTCAAAGTGTTTTTATAGAATTAAATTGAGAAGTAAAGACACTAGCTTAATTCCTCTGGTTAAGAATAATTTAGTGGAGGCTGTGCGCGGTGGCTCACGCCTGTAATCCTAGCACTTTGGGAGGCCGAGGTGGGTGGATCACTTGAGGTCAGGAGCTCGAGACCAGCCTGGCCAACATGGTGGAACCCTGTCTCTACTAAAAATATAAAAATTAGCTGGGTGTGGTGGTGGATGCCTGTAATCCCAGCTACTCAGGAGGCTGAGGGAGAATGGCTTGAACCCAGGCGGTTGAGGTTGCAGTGAGCTGAGATCACGCCACTGCACTCCAGCCTGGGAGACAGAGTGAGACTCCGTCTCACCAAAAAAAAAAAAAAAAAAAAATTATAATAATAATCTAGTGGAGAAAGGACTCAGCTTCAGCTTCACAAATATTCAGCAAATAATGCACGAGCACAAATTTATTGATAGTGATATAGTTGCTTTTCAGCTGCTAATAGATATAGGTAATGTATATATAACTTTTTTTTTAAATTGGACTTTTATTTAGCAGGTATGCTATGCCCCGAATATATGATTTGTATAAAATATAGTAGAATTTAAAAGGATCATCTGCATGCTATCTTAAAAATCAAATATTAACAAATATATTTGATTTAATTTCATTCAGAATATTTGAAACTATATAGCTGAATTAATGCTGATTAACAAGTTTATTGACCATAAGCAGCAAAATCACCATGAGAAAAAAACTGCCAAAAATATGTCTTTTCTCCAACCAAGGTGTTTAATAACTCTTGTTCCTCTTACATCAAAGTAGAAAATTCAGCATGAAAAATGACATAAAGTTTTAAATTGGCTTTTAACTGCTTTCTGACAAAAACACAAACGTGATAGTGAATGAGGCAGCCTTTTAATTTTCCTCATTTGTTAAAATCTCCATAAAGTCATCTCTTTATTTTATAATATTCATTTTACTATGCTCTATTCAGTCCCAGAATAATTCATATGGTGTGTAAAACTATAACAAGTAGCTTTATGTGTAGGTTCTCCCCCGCTTTGGAGATTATGATCAGAAAGGAGGTCGCTGTGTCAAAGGCTGTGCTCACATGTGTCCATACTGTTTTCCAAGAACTGACTGGCCTTCTAATAGAATTAGTCATTCAACGTGTAACTATACCACAGAGAATCAAGATATTTTATTTCCCTCAACATTGCATCCCTAGGGCTTCCAAATTCTTACTTGAGTTCCACAGTTTTCCTTAGCTCCCTTTGCTAACCTGTCTTTGTTTTGGTCCTTCCTCATTTATGCCTTCATGATATATAGAACCACCGGACAATGCATTCATTTACTTCACTTTTTTTTTCTGTTTTTTGCTTTTCATAAATGTTTGCGATCGCCCATTGAATTTTGTCAATATTATAGAATCTGTTAACTGCAACAATAAACACAGTCCTAAACTTTACTTTATCTGTTCTCATTAATTAGTGTTCTAATTAGATTTTACTCTACATAGTATTCCTCTCCGTGTTTTACAAAATCATGTTTTAACCTTTTGCTTATATGTACTCTTCTTTCAAATGTAGAAAAAAAATTAATTAAAAAAGATGGAATCTCTTTTGAAGATATAACAAATTCAGATGTTGCTAAACCTACAACTAGGTAATTGTGAGCAAAATTAGCTACCGGCTGTTCGTTCTAAAGTAACAAGTGTTTGCCTGTGTCAGTAATTATTTCTACATAAAATTTTGCACTTTTGCATTTTGACAATTAATTAAACCATGCAGTTAAATTATACATGATAATTAGTCATGAAAGAACAAAATGCAAATAAAGAAAACTTAGAAAAAGCAGCCCTCATAAAGAGTAAATTTTCTAGCCGCATATGAAGATAAGCCTATTGAGCAACCATCTAAAATACCTTTTTATAGAACTAGTTATACAGTTAAGGTGAGAGATATACTGAGAATTGTCTGCCCTTGTGCTACATGTTCTGGCATCCCCCAAGAATCCCAAGAATCCCTGGTGATGCGGACAGGTGTGCAGCTCCCTGAATGTGCAACTGTTTCTCTCTGGGTGCTTTTTGCCCCTTTCTGCTTCACAATACAATGTCTCTGGGAAGTGACTTGTCATCTCTCCCAATACCCCCTCCTCCCTGATCTGGCCATAAGTTCCAGGCACGGTTCTAGGCACTGGAGATATAACAGTGAACAAAAGAAAGCCCCTGCCCTCATGGAACTGACTTTCTATAGGGAGGAGACAGAACAAATACACAAGTAAGTACATACAATTTTAGGTAGTGATACATTCTATCATGAAAAATAAAATCAGAGAAGCGAATTGAGATTGAGAATTGGAGCTTACTGTAGTGGTTATTGGAAAAGGCCTCTTTAAGGAGATAGTATTTTATCAGAGACCTGCAAGAAGTGAGGTGGTGAGTTATTTAAACATCTTGCAGGGATTACCTTTCCAATGAGAAACCAAAAGGTGAAGCCACCAAAGTGAAAACATACTTGTTTCAATGACCAGAAAGGATACCAGTGTGTCTGGGGCAGAGAGGGTGAAGGGAGAGTAGGATGAGTCCAGAACGGTATCAGGGACCAGATCATGTAAGGTTTTGTAGGCTACAGTAAAGACTTATTTCGGATTTTACTCTGAGGGTACCGGGAAGCCAAGGGTGTTTTTTTGTTTTTGTTTTTGAGACAGGGTCTTGCTCTGTTGCCCAGGCTGGTGTGCAGTGGCACGATTATGGCTTAATGCAGCCTTAATCTCCCGGGCTTAGGCAATCCTCCCACCTCAGGGAGGGTGAGACTACAGGCACATGTCACTATGCCTAGCTATTTTTTTTAAATTTAATTTTGTAGAGATGGGGTCTTACTATGTTGCCCAGACTAGTCTCTAACTCCTGGGTTCAAGCAATTCTCTTGTCTCAGCCTCACAAAATGCTGGGATTACAGGCATGAGCCACCATGCCCAGTCCAAGGGTGGGTTTGGAACTGTAAAAACAAATCACCAAATTGAGAGATTGTTATGGGCCAGGCACTTAACCCCATCCAACTGCAAGAGAAGCTTAGTTCCAAAGTTCTGGTGACAGAAAAGGAGCATATTTAACACGCTTTGACCTCTGTATTTGTTGTCTACCACTCTACTGTGGCATAACCAATTACCCCAAAACTTAATGTCTTAACACGTATTTATTATCTCACAGTTTCCATGGGTCAGATGTTCTGGTGTGATTTAGATGGGTTCTCTGATTTTAGAATCTCTAACAAGGCTGCAATCGAGGTGTCAGCTAAGGCTGCAGTTTCATCTGAAGACTCAATTTTGGGATAACTTACATGATACATGGCAAAATTCAGTTCCTTAAAGGTTTTTAGTTTGAGGCCTTGGTTCCTCATGACCTGTTGATCAGAGGCACTTCTTGTGTTTCTTTTTGCCATGTATGCCTCTCCATAAATTATCTTACAACATAACAGCAAGCAAGCTACAGAGCAAGAGAGAGTAACAATAAAAGAGACAGAGAGACACAGAGAGAGAGAGAGATAGCAAGATGAAATTCAATCTTTTGTAATCTTATCATAAAATTGTCATCCCATCACTTTTGCCATATTCTATTGGATAGAAGGAAGTTACTAAGTCCAGCCCACACTTAAGGGGGAAGGGATAACCCAAGGTCATGAATTCTAGGAGGCAGAAATCACTGAGAGCCATGTCAGAAGTTGTCTACCATGTCCTCTATCTGCACCAGGCTCTGCTTAGCCTACAACATCTGAAGCATGGTTCAGACCAAGGCCCAACCCAGGCCCAGAATGTGAAGAGCTGAGGACTTGGGACAAGGTGAGCAGGAGAAAGTCAAAAAAGAATATCCTATGTTTAAGAAATCTACAATGTCCAGGAAGATCAGCAAAGTCAGAAAAAAAGAGGCAGGTACCACTGGAGCAGAGGATTGAATTAATCACACTCTTTTGTTATGGGCACATTCTCATCATAAGTCCATGCAAACCCTGTTTAAGTTTTTATTTATCTATTCCATGCATTCATTCATTCATTCCTTTTTTATAACAATTTTATTGTATTATAATTCACATACTATAAAATTCACCCATTTGAGGTATACAATTCAATGGTTTTAGTATACTCACAGAGTTTTGCAATTTTACTGTAGTCTAAGTTTAGAATATTTTTATCATCCAAAAAAGCAATAACAAATCTATTGTTAGCGAAGTTCCATGTCCCCAACTTCCAGCACCTGGCAACCATGAATCTACTTTCTGTCCTTATGGATTTGCCTACTCTAGATATCTCATCTATGTGGAATCATATAACATGTGTCCATTTGTGTCTGGCTTATTTCGCTGAGTATAATGAACCTTTTCAAGGTTCATTCATGTTATAGCCTATATCAATATTTCATTTCTTTCTTTCTCTCTTTTTTTGTTTTTTTTTGAGACAGAGTCTTTCTCTGTCGCTCAGGCTGGAGTGCAGTGGTGCAATCTCAGCTCACTGCAACCTCTGCCTCCCGGGTTCAAGTGATTCTCCTGGCTCAGCCTCCTGAGTAGCTGGGATTACAGGTGCCCACCACCATGCCCGGCTAATTTTTGTATTTTTAGTAGAGACAGGGTTTCACCGTCTTGGACAGGCTGGTCTTGAACTCCTGACCTCGTGATCCACCCGCCTCATCCTCCCAAAGTGCTGGGATTACAGGCATGAGCCACTGCACCCGCCACTTTATTTCTTTTTATTGCCAAATTACATTTTGTTATATGGGTGTATTTTATTTATCATCAGTTGATGAACATTTGGCTTGTTTTCACTTTTTGGCTATTATGAATAATGCTGCTATCAACATGTGTCTATTAGTTAATATTATATATATATACACATACCCCTATATGTACATACACATGTACATACATATATGCATACATACAAAGGCAAAATTGCTGGACCATGGAGACTGTGTATACTTAATTGAACTGAGCAGTATTTGCTTGATTTCTTTGCAATTGGCTGGCCCTGTCTATGTTCCCACAGCAAAGCATGAGAATTCCTATAATACCTCAGCTCTGTCAATACTTGGTAATCTCCAGCTTTCTAATTTTTCCTGTCCAGAAGGTATAAGATCATATTACATAGTTGCTTTAATTTACATTTCTCTGATTATAATGAATTGGAGCATCTCCTCATATGTGTGTTTGCTTTTTGGGTTAACTCCTTTATAAATTACCTGCTTGTATTTTCCATTTTCACACTGCTATCAAAATACTACCCAAGACTGGGTAATTTATAAACAAAAGAGGTTTAATTGACTCACAGTCCTCATGGCTTGGGAGGCCTCAGGAAACTTACAATCAGGGGAAGGGGAAGCAAGGCACCTTCTTCACAAGGTGGCAGGAAGAAGTGCCCAGTGAAGGGAGAAGATCCCCTTATAAAACCATCAGATATTGTGAGAACTCACTCACTATCACGAGAACAGCATGGGGGAAAACGCCCTCACAATCCAGTCACCTCCCTCCACACGTGGGGATTACAGGTTGAGATAAGATTTGGGTAGGGACACAGAGCCAAACCGTATCACTGCTCCTTTATACTTTAATCATTTTTCTATTATGCTTTCTTTTTTTGTGTTGCTTTTTACAAGTGTCTTATCTAGCTTAAAGTTAGTTCCTCTTGGTTTTAGATATTGCAAATATTTTCTCCCATCCTGCCATCCATCTTGAATTTTGTTCGTAGTGTCCTTCATGAACAGAAATCCTTAATTGTAATGCAATCAAATCAATTAACATTGACTTCACATTTTGGGTTTTGGAGTCTTAAGAAATCCTTTCCCATTCCAAGACAAAAACAATATTTTACAATTTCTTTTTTGTTGCTACCATTTTTTCCTTTCATAATTATTCTTGGTTTGTTTGCTTGTTTTGAGATGGAGTCTTGCCCTGTCTCCCTGGCTGGAATGCAGTGGCACTATCTGGGCTCACTGCAACCTCCACCTCTCGGGTTCAAGTGATTTTCCTGCCTCAGCCTCCCAAGTGGCTGGGACTACAGGTGCACGCCACCATGCCCAGCTAATTTTTGTATATTTAGTAGAGATGGGGTTTCACTATGTTGGCCAGGCTGGTCTCGAACTCCTGACCTCAGGTGAGGAGGTCACCCACCTCAGCCTCCCAAAGTGCTGGGATTACAGGCATGAGCCACCATGCCCGGCCCATGATTATCCTTGAAATCATCTGGAATCCACCTTCATATAGGTTGTTAGAGAGGAACCTAGTTTGATTGTTCTGCACATAATAAGACAATTTTCCCAGCACTGTCTACTAACTGATCCATGCTTTTCCATAACCTGTGATGCCATATTTATTGTATCCTATAATCCCATGCATAGCTGGGTCTTGCTGGGTCTCTGAGCTCTTCATTCTGTACTATGATCTACTTAAATTTGACACTATCTCTAGCATGACTTTAGCTTCATTCTGTATGCATTCACCTTGGTCATTTTATTCATTGCCAGGAATAGAATAACTTACCTGAAAAAGGAAAAGCAAAGAAGCCAATCTTGCAAGATGAACCTGAGGGGAGGCTTACCTGCTGGATTCAGTGGTGCTTAGCTGCAGAGTGTTCACTTCAGTATGCCAAGAGGGCTGAGGGTCCCTTGCAGAGTTAAAAGCTCAGTCCACTTTCCAAGAATCTTCTCACTTTTCTTCATTCTAAAGGGCTTCTGGCAGTTTCCTTCCTTATGGGGCAGCCAGGAACTCATGCCCTACACTGTTATAAATCAAGAGGTTTGATGTACTTCTAGCAAGTCCAGTAGGAACCAGACTTTCTCAAATAGCTTAATTAAATGACGGCTATTGTTAATTTACACTAGTATCCTATTAGCTGTCCACAGAGATTTCTATTATCCAACATCAGTAGTGAGAATGAGGCAGATATTATTAGAAAAGCATGGAATTAGGACATATAAGTGCCATTAGGCTGTATTCAAATAGAATATTAGTATCTATTCATATTATAATTATTTTTTGTATCTTCAAGTTAGTTAGCCACTGACCAGCCATTAGGAGTAGTTATCAACTGGGTTTCACGGCAATCTTGTGTCATGTTTAAAATAATCATAATGGATATGTATTTTGCTTATTTTATCTCCAGCCACGAAGCCCACTCTTGGTTTGAGCTAACTGTGGTGCATGACTGTCTGCACCTGCAGACAATGAGACGTTTGTGAGCAGGGAAGCCAATGTGTAGCTTTTGCATAGTTTCTCATAATCATCAATTTCCTATCTTTCCTTTTCCTTTCATCTCTGGCGTACACTCCAGCTCCTACTTCTAGATTCTTTTATTGTCTTGTATCAAAATTTTGAGATAAAATTTACCCTTTTAAAGCATACAATTCAGTGTTTTTTCAATGTATTCACAAGGTTGTGCAAATACCACCATTACGTAATTCCAGAACATATTCATCACCACCAAGAGAAACCCCATGCATTAGTAGTCACTTCCCAGTCTCCCTCCTCCCAGCTCCTGGCAACCACTAATATACTTTCTATCTCTCTGGATTTGCCCATTCTGGACATTTCGTATAAATAGAAGCTATTCTTTTATTATGGTAAAAACATATCACATGAAATTTACCATCTTAATCATTTTTAAGTGTACACTTCAATAGTGGTAAGTACATTCACATTGTTTTGCAATCAATCTCCAGAAGTCTTTATATCTTGCAAAACTGAAATTCTGTCCCCATTAAACACTAACTCCCCATTCCTCCCTTGCCCAGCCCTTGGCCACTACCATTCTACCTTCAGTCTATTTGAATGTGACTAATCTAGGAACCTCAGATAAGCTAATCATACAGTATTTGTGTTTTTGTGACTGGTTTATTTCACTTAGCATATGCTGTCAAGGTTTATTCATATTGTAGCATCAATCGGTACTTCATTTTTATGGCTGAATAGTATTCTATTGTAAGGATATACCATATTTTGTTTATCCATTCTTCAGTTGATGGACATTTGGGTTGTTTCCACTTATTGGCTATTATGAATAATATGAATTAGGAGCATTCATGTGCAAGTATTTCTTTGGATGTAAATTTTTAAATTTTCTTTGTCATATACCTAGGAATGGAATTGCTGGGTCTTATGGTATCTGTGTGTTTAACCTTTTCAGGAACCACCAGACTGTTTTCCACAGCAGCTGCATCATTTTACATATCCACTAGCAGTGTGTGAGAGGTCTAATATCTCCACATCCTCATCAACACTTGTTATTATTTGTCCTTTTGATAGCCATTCTTGTGGGTTGCAGCAGGGGTTCCCTGCCTCCCTAACCCTGCAATTTCTGAACTGACTTAGGGCAGAGGGAGCCAGGTGAGAGGGGATTTTAGTTGTTCCAAAGGTATACCTACAGGAAGACTAGTAACTGGATCAATTTTATTTTTTAACAAAAGCTCTTAGTTTTCTATTTGAAAAAGATCATTCTGAACGCTCAGTTTTCGCTTGATTATAATAATTAGGTGACCAGACTGCTTAAATAAACAATGCTGTGATAAGCCGGAAGAGAATGATCACTCAAGCAGATCTGCCCTGGGTTTGCCCTGCCTCTTTGGACGAGTGATTGAACTTCTGAGTGTTCTTCTCTTCTGTAAAATGAGGTAAAATCGTGATAAAATGAAAAGTTGTATGTAAAAGAACCTGCACACATCTTCAGAATATGTCCATGATAAATCTCTATTTTGTCATTCTTTGGTTTTTAATGACCTGGCTTTTTATGAAAATTTCATTTGATTTTAGCCCTTGGGTATTCCTTGTTGAAGTCTTCTGGCTATCTGTGACAAGCAACACAGAGAAAGTGGAGAATAGTGAGGTGGCTTTTCTAAAGAGAAGAACATTTTGTTGATTTTTTAAAAAAGGAGGGATATTAGAGTCCTACATATTTCAGTATTTTTGAAGCTTCATATTATTGAGACAAAATTGTTATAGTTGTCATGGTAAGTGGTGTTTTTTTTTCATAGCAACTGAAGCCACAAATAATTACACAAATGCTGAAAAAAAAAAAAACCCAAAAATGACCAGAGGGCAAAAACATGGCTTGCTCACAATCTTTAGGTGAAGACATTTTCTCCTATAAAAACATTTTAAAGTTCCGTGCCTACAGCCTGTGCTTTTGATTTAAGCTACCCTAAGATTGCTTGGGCAGTAGTAACTGCTTCAGAATGGAAAGACTTAGTGCCCAAGGCTCTTTACTTGGGCTGGCTAGGCCAGTTCTAGGGTCTCATGTAAACCAGTTTAAAAAGATGAACACAGTTCATCAAACTGGATACCAGTTTTAAAAGATGGACAAGATGGCATAAATTGCATGGAGCCAGGGGGCTCTCTGGTTGACTTGAACCAGGATGTTTCTTATTGCAGAGGCCCAGGAACACAACTTAGAGATGGCCCAGCTTGCCTGAGATCCCACATAAAAAGAGAATTGGCAACCAAGGCTGGAACTAAGATGTAGCAAGTGGAGTGCCCAGGGCACATTTAAGGAGGCATTCACTCCCAGGGTCACGCAACATTACATGAGCTATTTGGAAATGTAAAATGTGTGATGCTAAGGCAGCTCAAAGGAGAAATTTATCTGGGCTACTGTAGCACTAAATCACAATATTAAATTGATCCTTACCCTGCTCCCTTTCCTATTCGCCCACCAAACCAGGGTCTGACACTGTGGTAGGGGCTTGGGAAGACAGGGAATCTCCCATATGGTCCCTGCCCTCTGTCAGCTACCAGATAGTGGTACACATAATTCTGAACCGAGATCAAAGAGATGTAGAAGTGCCTCCCAGTTGAGAAGTCTTGGACGGGTGAGAAATGTGGCATGGTTAGCACAGAAGCTGTACTTTAGGAGGCAGGAGACATGAAATGGGAAAGGAGGCCTGGATTAGTTCAGGAAGGCTAAGAGAAACTAACACCTATCACGTCCACTATTTGCCAAGCAAGGAAAGGCCCCCTGGGTTTTGATGACCGGATAGGGCAGAGAAAGCCAGAACAGTTAAAGGACCATTGCCACAGTCTAGCCCAGAGATCTACACTAGGAGTCCAAGCCAGTGACCAGATCTCCTGCCTGAAACTCACTGGGATGTAGTGTCCATATGGAAGGATTCTTGTGCCTTGTACATTCCTCATTTTCTTACTAAAGAACTGCATAGAGTTTGGAAGATATATTTGACCAAATTCATTTCTTTTTTTAAAAAATTAATGTTCCAATTTCATCCATGGAACATTAATTTTTTAAACTATCGCAAGAACAAAAAACCAAACACCGCATATTCTCACTCATAGGTGGGAATTGAACAATGAGATCACATGGACACAGGAAGGGGAATATCACACTCTGGGGACTGTTGTGGGGTGGGGGGAGGGGGGAGGGATAGCACTGGGAGATATACCTAATGCTAGATGACGAGTTAGTGGGTGCAGCGCACCAGCATGGCACATGTATACATATGTAACTAACCTGCACAATGTGCACATGTACCCTAAAATTTAAAGTATAATAATATTAAATTAAAAAAAATAAATAAGTAAAAATAAAAATAAAAAAAGAAATTTGAAAAAGCAAAAACCTTCTACAATCCTTTACAAATTTTGCTAAAGAGCAGATTAGTGCCTTAAGAGTATCTTGTTGTGCTTTTATTTCAATGCTCAATTTACAGAAAAACCATATAATATCCTTTTGAATTTAGTCCGTAAGTTCACACACAGAATTTCTTTGGCAATATTAATTGTTACAATCCTTTCACAACATGTTTGACCTTTTATCTTTATCTTATCTAACTCAAAACAATCCTTTAACCCTAGGCAAGAATTTACATTTCCACACCTTCTTATAATATTGTATTAAAAACATATTTTACTGTTCTTACACACCTTGCATGTAAATTTATTTCTAGCAGTTTCAATTACATGTTATAATGGTAGCTCCTAGAAATTTTTAACTTTAATGTAAAACCTGGTAAGTTGTTTTAATTATGTGCTAGGTGCAGCCAAGTTTGACTCCTTCCAGCATAATTAAGGGTGTGGTTAGTTCCATATGTCCCCAGGCCTTATCAGTTGTGAAGCAGGCTACTTAAATAGTTCTCAAAAAACAAAAAATCAGTTATAACCTTAAAACATTTAGCAAACCTAGTATCTGACCTGCATAATTTAGTTCACCTATTAATATTTTGACAATATCTGCACTTTACCAATAATCTTTAAGGCTGTTTTTATTTCTCAAAGATTACAGTCATGTGAACTAAAAGGTACCAGAGCTTTATATTCCCTTTAAAAAAATATTTGATCCAAGCGCTTATCTTCCTTTAGGCCAATTAATTAGAACTCTTTTCATAGACACCACACATACAACACATATATAGCTACACAGACAGGTAGAAGAAAACCCAGTTGCCGTAAGATTTTTTGTTTGCCAATCTCCTAATTGGATTATTGGCCTCCAGGTGGAGTCCTTTAAAAGACAGGGCTCAGAAAACTTGTAGCTTCTAAGGCCTAGTAAACAGACATAGGTGGGGCAAAAACAGATTTTGAGAAGGATCTATCTGCTTTTAATTCCTGGGGTTCCATGAGGAAAACAGAGGTCTCCCCACTCTCATGTGTGCATTAAGAGTGGCAAGGCAAAATGGAGAAAAATAATTCAATCAACTGAGAAAACACCTTTTTCTAGCAAAACAAGGTCCAAGAAAAGAAAAACATAAAGGCCTTTTAAATATACCTATAACTTGGATATCCACTTTAATTAAGCTGAGCACTCTTTAAGAAAATCATTTTAACTCCCTTATTATCCAATTTTAGCCATGCCAAGTGGCCAATATCTCTGGCTTTCAAACCTTATTAAGGCTCAGAGAAAGGAAAATCCAAGGATTAGTGGAGGGAAAGAGAGTCAACAAATAGCAAAGGATGCAAAGATATCAAACTAGAAAGGACTCATTCCCTAAGCCAGGATTGAATCGGGGCCACCACTGTAAAATGGCAGAGGCTAAACAAAGCATTGCTATGTGGTTACAGGTCATGCTCCCAAGGAGGTAAAACAAGATGGAGGACTGCCACAAAGTTTGCTATGTACCATATAGAAAGACACACAAAGCACACCAGATTGGCTATAGCTCAAGACCACCCTCACAAATCCTTTTTCATAATTAAAACTTTACAGAGAATATAAACAGTGAACTTTATCATTACTGGCCTAGTAAAACATTTTGAAAAGAAAAAAAAACACCTCACTTAAAAGTTAACTCATCACCTGGTAGAGAAAGAAAGAAAGCTTAAAGTACAGGGCTGTGTTAACTGCTGACAGGGTAGAGAAAAGGAAAAAAACTTTAAAGTGAAGGGCTGGAAAGATGCCTGGGGGAAGAACCTCTTATTCTTATGCCAATGGGCTCCTCCAACTGGGAGACAAACTTAAGAGGGGAGCTGGGGAGCTGCCGGTTCGCCCGTCCATCCCCAAAAAAGAAGGAAAAAGGTGACATTACCGACCCCCAGGAGCAACATGAATGGGAGAGGTATAATTTTCTCTACCCTCAGAAGAAGTCTGAGGACAAAAAGGCTTAGAAGTGAAAGGAAGAAACAGTTTTTGGTTTGCATGTTACTAACCTTTTCCCATGTCCCCATACAGGCCACCAAAAATGTAGAAAAAAACAAGTTCTTGTCACATGACCAGGAAGGATTGGGTGCACAGACATGTTGAAGGGTGATTAGAGAGGAATTTACTGGGTGAAAAGGAAAAAAGGAAAAAAACCTCTCAGCAAAGTGATATGGAGTCTTGCTAACAGGCCCTCCACCTCACAGATAGATTCCCAGGTCACCACAGGAGCTGAAGAGAGCAGAGTCCTCCTCTGCTTAAGATGTGAATTCCCTGTGGCTCCACCCACTTCCCCCAGTGCATATGCTGGGCTCCAGTCCACTGTGGGCATGCCCAGAGAAGCCCTGGGCAGATTTCTTCATCTGCACACAAGCATCTGATGTAAAAACTTGTGGGGCAGATCGGAGATTCTCCAGGGATGCCTTTTTATCTGCCTAGGCATTTGGCTGTCTTAGTGAAAAGAAAAGTGTTGCAGTTCTAAGGTCAGCAAGCCGACTACCACAGGGTAGGAGGGAGGAGACTTAAGGAACAGGAGCAGGGAATAAACAGCTTGCCATGCTTACAGTTTGCCAAAGAGACTTTACCCACCATCATGAGTCATGGCACTTGGGAGTAGTTGGGAAGCATCATTAGTCCTGTTAGCTCAGTTTCTTGGCAGCCCACTTAAATCAGGAAAGTCAAGATATACTAAAGGAATCCATTTCTGTTCTCATTACACACCCAGTTAGAAAACAGTCCACCCTCTACAAAAGGCAAAAGTAGGGCAGTGTCAGCCAAGATGGAAGATGGTTGACCTCAGAGCTTAGTTTGTTGCATTCTGTTGAAATGTCGAGTTTCAAGTTGCAATGAAAAGACCATAGTCTTCTTTGGTTGTGTTACCATCCTGTCTCTAGGCAAAACAGTTCTGGCTGTTCCTGCAAGTCTGAAAATGTGTAAGAGCAATCTTGTTTATGTTTGTTACCAAGATTTTCAGTCTCAAGGCTTTATATGCTCCCTAGTAGTACTTGCTAGGAAGTTAAGGACCTTGCCCTGATGCTGTGCAGGGTTATGGAACACTAGGGTGCATGTAGCCTTCCTTCCTTCCTGCTGTTTTTTCTAGTATATCCCATCTGACTACATCTTTCTCACTACATTTCAGTGGCTCCTGATAGACTTGAGGATTGAACCTCAAAACAGCTTGAAGTTAATTGATTGCTTATCCCATTAAGACTTTTATTTATTCTTTCACCAAATATTTATTGAGAGTCAACTACATGCAAGATTTCAAGGTCTTGCATGATCTGGCCCCTCCTTACATGTCTAGATTCATCTTCTTCCACCTGCCCTTCATACTGTATGCTCCAGGCCAAAAGAATGATACCCAATTCCATCAGCAGGATGTTTAATGTCTTAGTGACTTTGCACATGCTATTTTTTTCTGCTTGGGAAGCACTTTCATTACTTTTTTGTTTGGCTTGCTACTTGAGACTCATCAGGACTCAACTCTGTAATCACCATCACCCCCTCTGAGAAGCATTGCTAGAATTGTTGCCTTCCTCCCCATCTCTGTGGTGTTGCAGTCCCTCCCCAGTGGAAGTAGAGCCCCCTGTGCCTTCTTTCACCACAGCCTTCCCCTATTACATTGCACTGTAACTTGTTCCATCAACTGTCAACCCTTACTTCCAAGTCTATGAACCCCTAGAAGGCAGAGATTGGGATTTCATCATTTATGAATCCCCAAGGCCCAGGCCCGAGTATTGGCCACCATCTCTAAATGCTAAGTGAGTGAATGGATGAGGCCAGACTTCCCTCAAAGGGCTTGCCAGGCAGGTCACAGGAGCTGTCATCATGGAGAGGGGAAGGGACAGGACCCTGTTTCCAGTGAGCTATGGTGGAAGTTCCTACTTGGCATTTTCTGACACTGGCTTGAAGGGGAGATTGGGGTGCCCTTGCTGGCTGGAATGAAGGTGGGGTCACAATAATTTTTCTGTGGTATTTAGCTGGATTAGAGAAGTTATTGTCCAAATGTTTTCTGCCCTAGGCACCCCTTTCCTGGTCCTTTGGCTGGAGAGAGCAAGTTTTTCTTGGAGCTTTTTCTGTCTGCACCCATTGGTGTTTCCAGATTGCCAGTTTCTTCAGCTCCAAGTTTGGGATCTGTGAGGCAGAAAGAAAACCCACAGAAGCCACCACTGAGTAGTTCCATGGATCCTGAAGTCCCTAAAGAGTCAACTTTCTTCTTTCTACCTTTCAGTGTCTACTTCTGTTTGTTTTATACCTATTGTCCAGGGGTTTTAGTTGTACTTAGTGGAAGGAATAGGGAGAAATATGTCAACTCCATCTTCCCAAAAATGGAAGTCCCATAATTGTTTTTTTCCCCAGCTTCAGTGAGGCATAATTGATAAGTAAAAATTGTATATATTTAAGGTGTACAACTGGATGTTTTGACGTATGTATATATGGTGAAATGTTAAATGATTTACATATCCATCACTTCACATAGTTACCATTTCCTTTTACTTTTTATTTATTTATTTATTTTGGTTAGAACACTTAAGATCTACCCACAACTGATTTTTGTACATTGACTTTGTAACTTTTGACTCTCCTATATTTACTCCTTAAATCTAGCAGATTTTTGTGTAGATTCCATAGATTTTCTATGTACATATATAATAGTTTTGCTTCTTACATTCTAATATCTTTGTCTTATATTTCTTTATTATTATTTTACTGAATAGGCCCTCTAGTATAATGTTGAATAAAAGTGGAAGGAGAGGACATATTTGAATAGTTCCCACTCACAGAAAAACTAGTTAGTCTTACAATTGAGTCTTTTTTCTGATCTTAGGAGGAAAGCATTCAATTTTTCATCATTAAGTAGGATGTTAACTGTAGGTCTTTTTTAGATGCGCTTTGTCAGGCTGAGGAAATTTTCTTCTATTCCTGGATTGCTGAATATATATTTATATTTATATAAGGAATGGATGTTGAATGTTGTCCATTTTTATATCTCTGTCAATGATCCTCTGGGTTTTCTCCTTTATTCTGGTGACTTAAATTAATTGATTTTCAAAAGTTAAACCAACCTTGTGTTTATGGGATGAATTCTATATGGTCATAATGTAGTACCCTTAGTTTTTAATTCTAAAATTCCTTTTATTGTGGTAAAATATACATAACAAAAAATTTATCACTTTAACCAGTTTTAAGTGTTAAGTTTGGGGTGATAACTACATTCACACTGCTGTGCAGCCATCACTGTCAACCACCTCCAGAACTTTTTCATCTTCCTAAAGTGAAACTCTGTACCCATTAAACAAGAACTCCTCATATATCCTCCCCCAGCCCTTGTCTCCATGTGTTTGACTACTCTAGATACCTCCTATATGTGGATTCATACTATTTTTATGCTTTTGTGACTGGTTTACTTCACTTAGCATAATGTCCTCAGGATTCATTCATGTTGTAGCATGTGTCAAAATGTTTTTCCTTTGAAGGCTGAATAATAATCCATTGTCTGTTTTTTTTTTTTAAGAGACAGGGTCTCACTCTGTTGCCCAGGGTGGAATGCAGTGGTGCAATCATAGCTCACTTAGCTCACTGCAGCCTCAACTCCTGGGCTCAAGCAATCCCCCCACCTCAGTCTCCCAAGCAGCTAAAACCAGAACCATGTGCCACCACAGCTTGCTGATTTAAAAATTATTTTGGTAAAGGTGGAGTTCTCACTATGTTTTCCAGGCTGGTCTTAAACTCCTGAGCTCAAGCTCTCCTCCCACTTCAGCCTCTCAAAGTGCTGGGATTATAGGTGTGAGCCACCATGCTTAGCCGATCCATTTTCTTTATATATCACATTTTGTTTGGCCATTAATCTGTTGTTGCTTCCACTTTTGGGTTACTATAAATAATGCTGCTATGAAAATGGGTGTACAAATATCTGTTCAGTCCCTGCTTTCAATTTTTTGTGTATGTACTCAGAAGTGGAATTACTAAATTATGTGATAATTCTATGTTTAGCTCTCTGGGGCACCAGCATACTATTTTTTTTTTTTTTACAGCAGCTGCACCATTTTACATTCCCACCAGTAATGCATAAGGGTTCCAATTTCTCAGCATCCACACCAATGCTTGTTATTTTCTGTTTTTAAAATAATAATTATTCTAATGGATGTGAAATGTTATCTTACTGTGGTTTTGATTTGCATTTCCCTAATGATTAGTGATGGTGAGCATCTTTTCATATGTTTATCGGCCATTTGTATAGCTTCTCTAGAGAAATGTTTATTCCAGTCCTTTTCCTTTTGAGTTTTATTTTTGTTGAGTTGTAGAAGTTCTCTATATAATCTAGATTTTAATCCCTTATCAGGTATATGATTTACAAATATTTTCTACCATTCCATGAGCTGCCTTTCACTCTGACAGTGTCCTTTAATGCATAAATTTTAAAAATTTTGATGAAAGCCAATTTATTCATTTTTTCTTTTGTTGTGTATGCTTTTAGTGCCATATTTAAGAAATCATTGCTAAATCTAATATCATGAGGCTTTTCTCTTATGTTTTCTTCTAAGAGTTCTGTAGTTTTAGCACTTGCATTTATGTCTTTGATTAACTTTGAGTTAATTTTTGAATATGGTATAAGGTAAGGTTCCAACTTCTTTTTAAATTTTTTTGCATGTGGATACTGAGTTTTCCCAGCATCATTTGTTGAAAAGACTGCCCTTTCCTCATTGAATGGTCTTGGTACATTTGTTGAAAATCATTTGACTATATATGTGAACTTTTATTTCTGGGCTGTCTAGTTTTTTTTTTTTTTTTGAGATGGAGTCTCACTCTGTTGCCCAGGCTGGAGTGCAGTGGCACGATCTCGGCTCACTACAACTTCCGCCTCCCAGGTTCAAGCAATTCTCCTGCCTCAGCCTCCCAGGTAGCTGGGACTACAGGCGCCCGCCACCACGCCCAGCTAATTTTTTTGTATTTTAGTAGAGACGGGGTTTCACCGTGTTGCCCAGGCTGGTCTTGAACTCCTGAGTTCAGGCAATCTGCCTGCCTTGGCCTCCAAAAGTGTTAGGATTACAGGCATGAGCCACTGTGCCTGGCCTAGTTTATTCTTTATATGTCTGTCTTTATGCCATAGCTACATTCTTTTGATTCGTGTAGCTTTGTTGTAAGTTTTGGAATCAGGAAGTGTGAGACCTTCAACTTTGTTCTTTTTAAAGATTATTTTGGTTATTCAATGTCTCTTGAGATTCCATATACATATATTTTAGGACAGATTTTTCTATTTCTGCAAATTGCCATCAGGATTTTGATAAGGATTGGGATGAATCTGTAGATTGCGCTGGGTAGTACTGACATATTAACAACATTAAATCTTCCAATCCATGAACATGGGGATGCCTTTCCGTTTTTTGTGTCTTCTTGCATTTATTTTAGCATTTTGTACTTTTTAGTGCACAAATCTTTAACCTCCTTGCTAACAGGCCCTCCACCACACAGATAGATTCCCAGGTCACCACACAAGCTGAAGAGAGCAGAGTCCTCCTCTGCTTAAGATGTGAATTCCCTGTGGCTCCACCCACTTCCCCCAGTGCATATGTTGAGCTCCAGTCCACTGTGGGCATGCCCAGACAAGTCCTGGGCAGATTTCTTCACCTGCACACAAGCATCTGATGTAAAAACTTGTGGGGCAGTTTGGAGATTCTCCAGGGACCCCTTTTTATCTGCCTAGACATTTGGCAGATAAAATACAAAAAAATTAGCTGGGCGTGGCTGCAGGCACCTGTAGTCCCAGCTACTCCGGAGGCTGAGGCAGGAGAATCCCTTGAACCCAGGAGGCAGAAGTTGTAGTGAGCCAAGATCACGCGACTGCACTCCAGCCTGGGCAACAGAGCGAGACTCCATCTCGAAAAAAAAAAAAAGTTTATTCCTAAGCATTTTATTCTTTTTGATGCTGTTATGCCTTCTTGAATTGACTCTTTTATTACTATGAAAAGTTATTCTTATTCCTGGTAAGATTACTTATCCTGCAGTCCATTTTATCTAATATTAATATAGCTACTCCATCTTTTTTATAATTAATATTTGCATGATACCTGTTTTTCATCCTACTTTTAACCTCTCTTCATCTTTGTATTTAAAGGCATTTCCTATAGGCTGGATATGATGGCTCACACCTATAATCCCAGCAGTTTCAGAGGCAGAGATGGGAGAATTGCTTAAGTCCAGGAGTTCAAGACGCCTGGACAACGAAGTGAGACCCCGTCTCTACAAAAAAATCAAAAAAGTATCTGGGTGTGGTGGAGCACACCTGTAGTTCCAGCTACTCTGGAGGCTGAGGTGGGACAATTGCTTGATCCCAGAAGGTCAAGGTGGCAGTGAGCTGTGACTGCACCTCTGTACTCCAGCCTGGGTGACTAAAGGAGACCCTGTCTCAAAAACAGAGGTGTTTCCTATATATGAGATTATTGTTCAGATTGCTTTATTTTCCCAGTCTGGTAATTTTTGTCTTTTGATTGAGGTTTTCATACTATTATTTTCTTTTAATCTAATTATTGATATGCCTGGGTTTAAGTCTACCATCTTACCATTTGTTGGAAATTTAGGAACAACTTTAGAGCCTGTTCATGCTCTGTTTCAAAGCAACCATTTTGTGGGAGCAAAATACACGTGGGCATGATAAAGTGGGAGCATCCAGGGCTTCTCATCTGGGTACAACTAATCTCTAGCCCTGGGATTTGATAATTCTCCCCAAAGAACTCCCTGGGCTTCACTGTCCTCAATTAGAAAGTGAAGGGCTTGGACTAGACCATCCATAATGGCCAGCTTGGCTATGCTAGGATCACTAAGGCAAGACTCCAAGCAAATTTCCGACTTTTGCCCTTCTGTCATCTTTGTGAGAGACTCTTCTGAGGTTCACCAACACTCTGTAGGTTAGAGGACATAGGTACTTTCAGTGGTCTTGATTTTTTTTTTTTTTTTGACGGAGTCTTGTTCTGTCACTCAGGCTGGAGTGTAGTGGCATGATCTCAGCTCACTGCAACCTCTGCCTCCTGGGTTCAAGCCATTCTCCTGCCTCAGCCTCCCTGAGCAGCTGGGATTACAGGCACACACCACCACATCTGGCTAATTTTTGTATTTTTGTAAAGACGGGGTTTCACCATATTGACCAGGCTGGTCTCGCACTCTCCTGACCTCAAGTAATCCAGTCACCTTGGCCTCCCAAAGTGCTGGGATTACAGGCATGAGCCACCTCGCCTGGCCTAAACTTGTTCTTGTTAAATTGAGAGCAGAGGAAGAAGAAATCATAGAGGTTTAGGCTCTCTAAGAACATGTTTTAACATTTTTTTTTTCTTTTTAGTTAATGCTGTTTCTGAAAGGCATTATTTTTTTTCCTGGATTCCAATGCCAAAACATGTTTCTTCCATAGTTTGTCACATCAAAACATTTAGTAAGAACTCTAGGAGTAAAGACAAGATAGCCAAATAGAAACAGCTCTGGTCTGCAGCTCCCAGCAAGACCAACGCAGAAGGCAGATGATTTCTGCACTTCCAACTGAGGTACCCAGTTCATCTGATTGGGACTGGTTAGGCAGTGGGTACAACTCAAGGAGAGCAAGCAGAAGCAGAGTGGGGCGTTGCTTCACACGAGAAGTGCAAGGAGCTGGGGGACCTCCCCACCCCGCCAGCCAAGGGAAGCCGTGAGGGACTGTGCTACCTGGCCTGGGTACTATGTTTTTCCCGTGGTTTTTGCAATCTGCAGATCAGGAGATACCCTCGTGTGTCTAACTACCAGGACCGTGGATTTCTAGCACAAAACTAGGTGGCTGTTTGGGCCGACACCGAGCTAGCTGCAAGAGTTTTTTCATATCCCAGTGGCACCTGGAACACCAGTGAGACAAAACAGTTCACTCCCCTGGAAAGGGGGCTTAAGCCAGGGAGCCAAGTGGTCTTGCTCAGTGGGTCCCACTCCCACGGAGCCCAGCAAGCTAAGAACCACTGGCTTGAAATTCTCACTGTCAGCACAGCAGTCTGGAGGCAACTTAGGAGGATGGAGCTTGGTGGGGGGAGGGGCATCTGCCATTACTGAGGCTTTAGTAGGCGGTTTTCCCCAGACAGTGGTAAGAAGACTGGGAGGTTTGGACTGGGAGGAATTCGCCACTGTGTAGCAAACCGGCTATGGCCAGACTGCTTCTCTAGATTCCGCCTCACTGGGAAGGGCATCTCTGAAGGAAAGGCAGTAGCCCCAGTCAGGGGCTTCCAGATAAAACTCTCATCTCCCTGGGACAGAGCACCTAGGGTGAGGGGCAGCTGTGGGCGCAGCTTCAGAGGACTTAATCTTTCTTGCCTGCAAGCTCTGGAGAGAGCATCTGATCCTGACAAGGGGGATTCTCCCAGCACAGCGCACCAACTCTGCTAGGGGACAGACTGCCTCCTTGAGTGGGTCCCTGATTCCCGTGCCTCCTGACTGGGAGAAACCTCCCAACAGGGATCGACAGACACCTCATACAGGAGAGCTCCGCCTGGCATCAGGCCAGCGCCCCTCTAGGACGAAGCTTCCAGAGGAAGGAGCAGGCAGCAATCTTTGCTGTTCTGCAGCCTCCACTGGTGACACCTAAGTGCACAGGGTGTGGAGTGGACCTCCAGCAAACCGCAACAGACCTGCAGAAGAGGGGCCTGACTGTTAGAAGAAAAACTAACAAACAGAAAGCAACAACATCAACATCAACAAAAAAGACCCCCACACAAAAACCCCTTCCAAAGGCCATCAGCCTCAAAGACCAAAGGTAGATAAATCCATGAAGATGAGGAAAAACCAGCACAAAAAGGCTGAAAATTCCAAAAACCAGAATACCTCTTCTCCAAATGATCACAACTCCTCTCCAGCAAGGGCACAAAACTAGATGGAAAATGAGATTGATGAATTGACAGAAGCAGGCTTGAGAAGGTGGGTAATAACAAACTCCTCTGAACTGAAGGAGCATGTTCTAATCCAATGCAAGGAAGCTAAGAACCTTGATAAAAGGTTACAGGAACTGCTAAGCAGAATAACCAGTTTAGAAAAGAATATAAATGAGCTGATGGAGCTGAAAAACACAGCACGAGAACTTCACAAGTATCAATAGCTGAATTGATCACGTGGAAGCATACACAAGTATCAGTAGCTGAATTGATCACGTGGAAGAAAGGATATCAGAGATTGAAGATCACCTTACTGAAATAAGGCATGAAGACAAGATTAGAGAAAAAAGAATGAAAAGGAATGAACAAAGACTCCGAGAAATATGTGAAATTTCTTGGGATTATGTGAAAAGACCAAACCTATGATTGATTGGTGTACCTGAAAGTGATGGGGGGAATGGAATCAAGTAGGAAAACACTCTTCAGGATATTATCCAGGAGAACTTCCCCAACCTAGCAAGACAGGCCAGCACTCAAATTCAGGAAATACAGAGAACACCACTAAGATACTCCTCTAGAAGAGCAACCCCAAGACACATAATTGTCAGATTCTCCAAGGTTGAAATGAAGGAAAAAATGTTAAGGGCTGCGAGAGAGAAAGGTCAGGTCACCTACAAAGGGAAGCCCATCAGACTAATAGCGGATCTCTATGCAGAAACCCTACAAGCCAGAAGAGAGTAGGGGCCAATATTCAACATTCTTAAAGAAAAGAATTTTCAACCCAGAATTTCACATCCAGCCAAACTAAGCTTCATAAGCTAAGGAGAAATAAAATCCTTTACAGACAAGCAAATGCCAAGGGATTTTGTCACCACCAGGCCTGTCTTATAAGAGCTCTTGAAGGAGGCACTAAATATGGAAAGAAAAAGTGGTACCAGCCACTGCAAAAACACACCAAAATATAAAGAACAATGATACTATGAAGAACCTGCATCAACTAATGCGCAAAATAACCAGCTAGCATCATGATGACAGGATCCAATTCACACCTAACAATATTAACCTTAAATGTAAATGGGCTAAGTGCCCCAATTAAAAGACACTGACTGGCAAATAGGATACAGAGTCAAGACCCATCCGCGTGTGGTGTTCAGGAGACCCATATCATATGCAAACACTCACATAGGCTCAAAATAAAGGGATGGAGGAATATTTACCAAGCAAATGGAAAGCAAAAAAAGCAGGGATTGCAATCCTAGTCTCTGATGAAACAGACTTTAAACCAACAAAGATCAAAAGAGACAAAGAAGGGCATTACATAATTGTAAAGGAATCAATGCAACAAGAAGAGCTAACTATCCTAAATATATATGCACCCAATACAGGAGCACCCAGATTCATAAAAAAAAGTTCTTAGAGACCTACAAAGAGACTTAGACTCACACACAATAATATTGGGAGCCTTTAACACCCCACTGTCAATATTAGACAGATCAATGAGACAGAAAATTAACAAGGATATTCAGGACTTGAACTCAGCTCTGGACCAAGTGGACCTAATAGACATCTACAGAACTCTCCACCCCAGATCAACAGAATATACATTCTTATCAGCACCGCATAGCACTTACTTTAAAATCGACCACATAATTGGAAGTAAAACACCTTTCAGCAAATGCAAAAGACCTGAAATCATAACAGTCTCTCAGAGAGCAGTGCAATGAAATTAGAACTCAGGATTAAGAAACTCACTCAAAACCGCACAACTACATGGAAATTGAACAACCTGCTCCTGAATGACTCCTGGGTAAATAACGAAATTAACGCAGAAATAAAGAAGTTCCTTGAAACCGACAAGAACAAAGAGACAATGTATCAGATTCTCTGGGACACAGCTAAAGCAGTGGTAAGAGGGAAACTTAAAGCACTAAATGCCTGCATCAGAAAGCTGGAAAGATCTGAAATCGACACCCTAACATCACAATTAAAAGAACTAGAGAAGTAAGAGCAAACAAATTCAAAAGCTAGCAGAAGACAAGAAATAACTAAGATCACAGCAGAACTGAAGGAGATAAAGACACAAAAAACCCTTCAAAAAATCAATGAATCCAGAAGCTGGTTTTTTGAAAAGATTAACAGAATAGATAGACCACTAGCCAGACTAATAAAGAAGAAAAGAGAGAAGAATCAAATAGACATAATAAAAAATGATAAAGGGGATATCACCACTGATACCACAAAAATACAAACTACCATCAGAGAATACTATAAACATCTATATGCAAATAAACTAGAAAATTTAGGAGAAATGGATAAATTCCTGGACAAATACACCCTCCCAAGATTAAACCAGGAAGAAGTCGAATCCCTGAATAGACCAATAACAAGTTCTATAATTGAGGCAGTAATTAATACCCTACCAACCAAAAACAGCCCAGGACCAGATGGATTCACAGCCGAATTCTACCAGAGGTACAAAGAGGAGCTGGTAGCATTCATTTTGAAACTATTCCAAGCAATAGAAAAAGAGGGACTCCTCCCTAACTCGTTTTATGAGGCCAGCATCATCCTGATACCAAAACCTGTCAGAGACACAACAAAAAAAGAGCCACTACATGTTCTCACTCATAAGTGGGAGTTGAACAATGAGAACACATGGACACAAGGTGAAAGACATCACACACCGGGGCCTGTTGGGGGGTGGGGGGCAAGGAGAGGGAGAGCATTAGGACAAATACTTAATGCATGTGGGGCTTAAAACCTAGATGACGGGTTGATAGGTGCAGCAAACCACCATGGCACATGTATACCAACGTAACAAACCTGCACGTTCTGCACATGTATCCCAGAACTTAAAGTAAAAGAAAAAAAGGGAAATTAATTGGCAATTCACCAAGAAAAAATAAATGAAATAAATGATCTATTACTCTATAAAAAGATGTTCAAGCCTAATGATAATATTTAAGAAATAAAAATCAAAACAATAAAAACTCTAGCAAAGTTATATATATTTACCTGTTGTGGAGTGAGGAGAGAAAAGCTGTCATTATAATTGGGAGGGGTATTAGAGGAGGTGAGGCTGGCACTGGGCCTTTCTCAACAAGCAAAAATGGTGGTGGTGGCAGTAGGGGAGCTGACAGTATTCCCATTGTGTCCGGAATTGGTGGGTTCTTGGTCTCACTGACTTCAAGAATGAAGCCGTGGACCCTCGCGGTGAGTGTTACAGCTCTTAAGGTGGCGCGTCTGGAGTCTGTCCCTTCTGATGTTCAGATGTGTTCGGAGTTTCTTCCTTCTGGTGGGTTCGTGGTCTCGCTGGCTCAGGAGTGAAGCTGCAGACCTTCGCGGTGAGTGTTACAGCTCATAAAAGCAGCGTGGACCCAAAGAGTGAGCAGTAGTAAGATTTATTGCCAAGAGCGAAAGAACAAAGCTTCCACAGTGTGGAAGGGGACCCGAGCAGGTTGCCAATGCTGGCTCAGGCAGCCTGCTTTTATTCTCTTATCTGGCCCCACCCACATCCTGCTGATTGGTAGAGCCGAGTGGCCTATTTTGTCAGGGCGCTGATTGGTGCGTTTACAAACCTTGAGCTAGATACAGAGTGCCGATTGGTGTATTTACAATCCTTGAGCTAGACATAAAGGTTCTCCACGTCCTCACCAGAGCAGCTAGATACAGAGTGTTGACTGGTGCACTCACAAACCTTGAGCTAAACACAGGGTGCTGATTGTTGTATTTACAATCCGTGAGCTAGATATAAAGACTCTCCACGTCCTCACCAGAGCAGCTAGATACAGAGTGTCGATTGGTGCACTCACAAACCTTGAGCTAAACACAGGGTGCTGATTGGTGTATTTACAATCCCTGAGCTAGATATAAAGACTCTCCACGTCCCCACCAAACTCAGGAGCCCAGCTGGCTTCACCTAGTGGATCCTGCACCGGGGCTGCAGGTGGAGCTGCCTGCCAGTCCTGCACCGTGTGCTTGCATTCCTCAGCCCTTGGGGGGTGGATGGGACTGGGCGCCGTGGAGCAGGGGGTGGTGCTCGTTGGGGAGGCTCGGGCCACACAGGAGCCCATGGAATGGGTTGGGAGGCTCAGGCATGGCAGGCTGCAGGTCCCGAGCCCTGCCCCACTGGAAGGCAGCTAAGGCCCGGCGAGACATCGAGCACAGCGCCGGTGGGCCGGCACTGCTGGGGGACCCAGTACACCCTCCACAGCCACTGGCCCGGGTGCTAAGTCCCTCATTGCCCGGGGCCAGCAGGGCTGGCCGGCTGCTCTGAGTGCGGGGCCCACCAAGCCCATGCCCACCCGGAACTCCAGCTGGCCCGCAAGCGCCGCACGCAGCCCCGGTTCCCGCTCGCGCCTCTCCCTCCACACCTCCCTGCAAGCTGAGGGAGTGGGCTCCAGCCTTGGCCAGCCCAGAAGGGGGCTCCCACAGTGCACGGGGGGGGGGGCTGAAGGGCTCCTCAAATGCCACCAAAGTGGGAGCCCAGGCAGGGGAAGTGCCGAGAGCAAGCGAGGGCTCTGAGGACTGCCAGCACGCTGTCACCTCTCACCATTATGGAAGTGATGTGACATGAACTTCGTTTTAGAGGTCACAATGGCTGCTCGGTGGAGAACAATTTGGAGGGGTCAAGATTGGAAGCAGCAAGAACTCCAGTCAGGAGTGCAGACTAGAGTTGATGGCGATGTGAACTAAAACAGTGCCAGTGATGGGGGAGAGGACAGTTTATATGGCATTTCTTGTGCCTAAAGAACATTTTTAGCACCAGAAAGCATGACTGTTTTTGAGATTTCTGTCAGAGAGCAATAATCATGCTATATAGGAGAGGCTTGACATCTAGAAATGGATCTTATATCCAGTTTGTACTCTTGGAATTATGAAGACTGTAGTAGGTAATGAAATAGAAGTCACCCACTGTATGTTTGATGAATAGAGCTGAAAACTGTATAGACATAAAATGAGGATCCTTCTAGAATTCATTGGTTGATTTTTTAAAAATTCCAAATGAATTAAAATAGCACTACTTAAATTCCTTTCATGTATTTATCATTAAGTTTTTCAACAAGTAAAATACAGCAGATGTCTTTAAGGGACACCACTATGTATTAACATCATACTCCCCCCCCAGAAAAATGGAGGACTTTTGAGGAAAACTCAAATCACACATTGATCAGTGTATTTCAGATGTAATGGAAATATTACCAAGGCTTCACAAAATTGCATTCAAATAAACTGGATATGAACAAAAGTGTGAGTATTCTTATAAGCCAAGAGGGACTTCATGTTGATTTTGTGCAAGTTTGCTCTGTTTGCCTCGAGAGATGTGAAAATGAGATACTTACCTCCTTTGAGGATGAACCAAACAAATGGCAGTTTGATGACCACATAGAAATAAAACGTTACCTCACTTGGCTTTATGTCTTCCAAGGAATTCCTCCAGAGATTTCTATGAAATTTCAGGACTTGCTGTACAGGCTACTCACAACTGTCTTTTCTTTGCAGACAAGTGCCTAGTCTTTGATATTGACCAGTCCCCCTGTGAGAAAGAGCAGAGGTAAGATGATACTTCCAAGAAAGACCACTAGAGTCTCAGGTCGAAGTGCCCCAAATCCTGCATCCCATGTTCAGGTGGGATGGACATCTGGAAGCCCTTCCTGCCTTTGGTGAGTATTCTATTGTGGTTTCCGCTGGTAATTACAGCCTCACTGGCCAGGACCACCTCCCTGCCAGGCCCTTTGCTAAGTGCTTTGCATGCATCATCCCACTGAATCATCCCAATTTTGTGAGGCAAGTACTATTTATTACTGGGCCCATTGTCAGGAGAAGGACACCATGACTTCAGAGATATTAATTACGTTCTCTAAGACTGGCCAGGATTTATACTTAAGCCCAAACTCTTCCTGTTCTTTGCTGCCGCTAATCTCTCTGCTTTTGTGGCAGGAGTCATAACTCCTTTCTGAGGAAGCTTGGTTGAGATGTTATCAGGAGAAAAGCATGTAAAAATCCTTTTTGAACGTTGTTTCTGACAACTCACTACTAAATTTACAATTAAAATTAATTTATGCAGACAATATACTCTACAAATGACAAGTATTACATACATACATGTTGTTATCACCCCTTTGCATGTAATACGGCACTTAAAGAAGGGAAGTGATTTGCTTAAGGACAAGAATTGCATGTGTGTTGGGGAAGAAGAGACCTGATTTCTCTGCCCCTAGCAGAGCATTGTGATTTAGGTTACTAGAAGTATTACATAAATGGCTGCCTCGCTAAACAACTTTTTGCTCTATCATTTCCTGGTTATTTCAGATGTCATGTCATGCTGAAGCTTTTAAACTTAATAATTAGAGTTTGTTTGTAGTGCCCGAAGGTTGCAGACACAGCTGCGAGTCAGAATGTTTTATTTAAAATGCCGTCAGGAAGACCCATGCTGTTTTTAAATGAGTCCCTTCTGAAACTGGGTTTAGGAGCTTGTTTCTGAAGTTCATTGATCTTCAATTTTGATATGGAGAAAATAATACATCCAAAGACCACCTTTCAGAGTGGTCAACTTTTGACGTTACAAGGATTGAGTAGGAGGTTGAATGCTCTAGGGCCCTTTCTGTGACATATCCTCCTTGTCAGAGGGGCAGGGGTTATCACTATTATGAATACAGTTTAATATTAATGATGTTAAATTAATATTTGCTTTGTTTTTCCTGTGCTTAGTGATAGAGCAGAATTAAAGTTGGTTTTTGATCTTTTAATATCTGAATGTCTTTTTAACTTGTCTCAAAATTGGTCAGTTTAAGAAAATAACATGTAGTGTTAAATCTATTCCTCATTGAGGATTTATTCCACTCTGGAATGAGTGGTGAGGGAGGTTGTGAGATCATCTTCCCCGTGAGTGTTTAGAAACAGACTGGAGAAATCAAATGGTGTAATATAGGGCAACCCTGCAAAGCTCAGTGGGTATGTCTCCTGGAAAAGGCCAGAGAGGAAGGCAGATTGGGAGGTGTGAAAAAAAGGCTGGCCTTGTGATTGAGACCACCATACTAAATGAGGCAGCAGGTCAAGGGGAACACTGTGCAGTTGTTGCCCTCCCTCTGACCTCTGGGGTTCCAGACACCCACTGATGCCCTGCTAAGCTGGACTTGATACTCAACAAGGGTCGCATTTTGCTCTGTCAGGCTGCAAAGGCCCTTTAGATCAGGATGTGGTCCTACCTTCTTTAGTTCTGTGTCCGGAATTGGTGGGTTCTTGGTCCCACTGACTTCAAGAATGAAGCTGCGGACCCTCGCGGTGAGTGTTACAGCTCTTAAGGCGTTGCGTCTGGAATTGTTCGTTCCTCCCGAGTTGTTCCTTCTGACGTTCAGATGTGTTCGGAGTTTCTTCCTTCTGGTGGGTTCGTGGTCTTGCTGGCTTCAGCAGTGAAGCTGCAGACCTTCGTGGTGAGTGTTACAGCTCATAAAGGCGGCGTGGACCCAAAGAGTGAGCAGTAGCAAGATTTATTGCAAAGAGCAAAAGAACAAAGCTTCCACAGTGTGGAAGGGGACCTGAGCGGGTTGCCACTGCTGGCTCGGGCAGCCTGCTTTTATTCTCTTATCTGGGCCCACCCACACCCTGCTGATTGGTCCATTTTACAGAGAGCCGATTGGTCTGTTTTATAGAGAGCTGATTGGTCTGTTTTGACAGGGTGCTGATTGGTGCGTTTACAATCCCTGAGCTAGACACAAAAGTTCTCCACGTCCCCACTAGATTAGCTAGATACAGAGTGTCGATTGGTGTATTTGCAAACCTTGAGCTAGACACAGAGTGCTGATTGGTGCATTTACAAACCTTGAGCTAGATACAGAGTGCCGATTGGTGCATTCACAATCCCTTAGCTAGACACAAGGGTTCTCCAAGTCCCCACCAGACTCAGGAGCCCAGCTGGCTTCACCCAGTGGATCCTGCACCGGGGCTGCAGGTGGAGCTGCCTGCCAGTCCTGCGCCGTGCCCCTGCACTCCTCAGCCCTTGGGTGGTCGATGGGACTGGGCACCGTGGAGCAGGGAGCAGTGCTCGTCGGGGAGGCTCGGGCTATGCAGGAGCCCATGGCAGGGTTGTGGGGAGGCTCAGGCATGGTGGGCTGCAGGACCTGAGCCCTGCCCTGCGGGGAGGCAGCTAAGGCCCGGCGAGAAATCGAGCATAACAGCTGCTGGCCCAGGTGCTAAGCTCCTCACTGCCTAGCGCTTGTGGGCCAGCCGGCCGCTCCGAGTGCAGGGCCTGCCGAGCCCACACCCACCCGGAACTCGTGCTGGCCTGCAAGCACCACGTGCAGCCCCAGTTCCCGCCCGCGCCTCTCCCTCCACATCTCCCCGCAAGCCAAGGGAGCCGGCTCCGGCCTCGGCCAGCCCAGAGAAGGGCTCCCACAGTGCAGCGGCGGGCTGAAGGGCTCCTCAAGTGCGGCCAGAATGGGCGCCGAGGCCAAGGAGGCACCGAGAGTGAGCAAGGGCTGTGAGGGCTGCCAGCACGCTGTCACCTCTCAATCCCCCCTCTAAACAGGACACCCTAACTGCTGTTGGGAATTTGGCCGATGACCGCTCTAGCCTCCAGAGGGGAACTCTCTAGGCCAGGGGAAGTGCCAGCAGGTCAGTCGGTCCAGGGGTCCTCAGTAGAAGTTGTTAGTTGAACTCATTTGGGGTTCCATTTGTAAGACCATCTGTAGCTTGATGGCCTCGATTCTAGAGGAAACAAATTTGACAAGAAGGTTAAAAATACAGGGCCCAAAGGTGAGTAACAGCAAGATGGCTGCCAAGGGACCTAGAAAGGGGAGAAGCCATGTTGCCCAGCTCCAGAGGTTGGTATAAGAATTTGAAAGGCATTGTCTGATTTCAGAAGCCTTTTCCTGTAAATGCCGGGCGGCATCTCATACTATCCCTGACTGGTTAGTGTAAAAACAACACTCTTCCCCTAAGAAGGTGCAGAGTCCTCCTTTCTCAGCAGTGAAGAGGTCTAGGCCTCAGCGGTTTTGGAGAGTCACTGCTGCCAAAGAGTCTATTTGGGATTGTAAAGTAAGAGTAGATTTCATTATTTCTTGCAAACTGTCTGAGAAATCCTTTGAGAGTGTGTGGTAGTAGGATAATGAAGTAGATAAACTGGCTGTTCTGGTTCCTGTAGCAGTAGCCATTCCTAACCCTATAAGTAGGGGTATTAGTTTTATGGCTCTGTGCTGACAGACTTGAGCTTTGAGGCGTACTGATAGAGTCTGATTTCCTGGGGCAATGTTAATGTTGGGACTTAGAAAGACTAAGGTGCAGGTGCCTGTCCAGTTAGTGGGGAGGCAGATATAGGTCGATGTTCCACATACAAAGAACATGCCTTGGCTGGGTAGACAGAACTTTACCCTGGCTTTTAAAGGAGTAGGGTACACTGTTTTTTTCTTTACTATTTCTTTCTCTCTCTCTCTTTGACTTCTTCTTTGTCTCTTCCTCTCTTTTTAACTCTCTCTTTGACTTTCTGTGTCTGTCCCTCTTTGTCTCTGACTCCTTCTCTTTGTCTCTCTGTTTCTTCCTCACTCTCTCTCTTTCTCTGACTTTCTTTTTCTCTCTTTTCTTCTTGCTGGTCTTTCCCTACCTGTGCCAGCCACTTATGCTGCTGTTCTCCCCTCTTCTTCCCATTTTGATGGCTTTGGCAGTGTAAGAGTGCCACCTCCTTGTGTTTTTGCATTGCATGCAATAACTTTATAATTTCCTTGTGGTATTTAATGGGGGTTCCCCCAGAGGTTAGGAACTCCCTCTCTTTCCATATTGCAGCATGGGCATGCAGGATTAGATAAGCATACTTGCTATCTGTATACACATTTATTCTTTTTCCCTTTCCCAGTTCTAAGGCTCAGATAAGTGCCATTAGTTCTGCTAACTGGGCACTGGTCCCTGGGGGAAGAGGCTTACTTTCAAGTATGGTTACATCACTAACTATGGCGTAACCTGCCCTTCGTATCCCATTCTCCACAAATGAACTTCTGTCGGTATATAGGTTAAGGTCAGGATTAGTTAAGGGGACTTCTAAGAGATCATCTTGGGCGGCATAAGTCTGGACTATAATTTGTTGGCAATCATGCTCAATTGGTTTCCCATCCTCTGGGAGAAAAGTGGCAGGGTTGAGGGCCACACACGTGCGTGTTTGAAGCACCAGTCCCTCAAGGAGTGGTGCCTGTTATCTAAGTAAGCGGTTGTCTGATAGCCATAAACTTCCTTTGGCACCTAGTATACCATTTACATTATGAGTAGTCCAGACAGTGAGATCCTTTCCTTGTATTATTTTGATAGCGTCTGACACTAAGATGGCCACTGCTGCAACTACCCTTAAACAGTGAGGCCAGCCTTTTGCTACTACATCAATTTCCTTACTTAGGTATGCCACTGGTTGTGGGGTTGTCCCACAAGTCTGAGTAAGGACTCCAAGAGCTATCCCGGCTCTCTCTGTGATGTATAAAGAGAAGTTTTGTCCTGTGGGAAGGCTTAAAGCTGGAGCTTGTACTACGGCCTGCTTTGAGGTTTTGAAGGCCGTTTCTGCCTCTGGTTCCCATTCTACTAGATGAGTATTTGCCTTCTGTATTTCCATGATTAGAGTATAGAGGGGCCTGTCTACCTCACTGTATCCGGGGATCCATAGTCGGCAAAAGCTGGTAATTCCAAGGAACCCCTGCAACTGTTTTAATGTCTTAGGGTGAGGGTAAGCCAGTATAGGCTGTATTCATTCCTTACTGAGGGCCCTGGTCCCTCTGGCTAAGATTAGGCCTAGATATTTGACCTGCTGTAGGCAAAGCTGGGCCTTCGGCCTAGACACCTTGTACCCTTGATTAGCTAGAAAGTTCAAGAGAGCTAGAGTAGCCTGCTGGCATGAGGCTTCTGAACTGGTAGCCAAAAGTAAATCCACATATTGAAGGACCTCAGTGCCTGGACTTAAGAAGTGGCCTAGATCTTGGGCCAGTGCCTGACCAAACAGATGAGGGCTATCCCTAAACCCTTGGGGCAAGACCGTCCACATAAGTTGGGACGTGTGGTCTGTGGGATCCTCAAAGGCAAAGAGGAACTGGGAGTCAGAGTGCAGGGGAATACAGAAGAAGGCATCCTTGAGGTCCAGAGCCGTGAACCATTCTGCTTCCTCTGGTATTTGAGAGAGCAGGGTATAGGGATTGGGTACAACTGGATATAGAGGAATTACTGCCTCATTGATGAGTCTAAGATCTTGCACTAGTCTCCACTGACCATTCGGTTTTTGCACTCCTAGAATTGGGGTGTTGTAGGGACTGCTGCATTTCCTTACTAAGCCTTGAGCTTTCAAATGTTTAACAATATTCTGTAATCCTTTATTAGCTTCAGGCCTTAAGGAATATTGTCTTTGATAAGGAAAAGTGGTGGGGTCTTTTAGCCTGATTTGGACTGGGTGGGCATTTTTTGCCCTTCCAAATTGTCCTTCCAATGCCCAGACTTCAGGGTTGATTCCCTCCTCAAGTAGGGGACAACAAATGGGTAACTTGTTCCCCATATTCATGTAGATAATAGCTCCAGCCTTGGCTAATATATCCCTCCCTAATAAGGGTGTGGGACTTTCAGGCATAACAAGAAAGGCATGTGAGAAGAGCAAAGTCTCCCAATTACAACTGAGGAGGTGGGAGAAATACCTGGTTACAGGCTGTCCCAGGATTCCTTGGATGGTAACGGACCTTGAGGACAGTCATCCAGGATAGGAGATTAACACTGAGAAGGCCATGCCAGTGTCCAGGAGGAAGTCAATTTCCTGGCCCTCAATAGTTAAACATACCTGGGGCTTAGTGAGGGTGATGACATGAGCTGGTGCTTGCCCTGGGCACCCTCAGTCCTGTTGTTGGATCATCTGGCTGGGGGCTTCTGACCCAGGGAATCTTCATCCTCTGGGGCAGTGCACCTTCCAGTGATTGCCTCTGCATAGTGGACATGGATGAGGGGGCAGCTTGTTTCTCACTGGACAATCTTTTTTGAAGTGTCCTAGTAAACCACACTGATAACAAGCCCTACCAGGTGATTGGCCTGCTCCATTTTCTGTCCTCTCTGAACCACCAAGGTTTGATTGTGTGAGGGCCACGACTAAGGCTGCAGCCTTTCTCTGATCTCACTTTTCCTTTTGGGCCTGTTCCTCTTGATCCCTGTTATAGAACACCGAGGTTGGCAGGTTTAATAATGCCTCTAGATTCTGTTCAGGGCCCAGGGCTTGCTTTTGGAGCTTTCTCCTGATATCTGCAGCTGATTCAGTAGTAAACTTATCTTTTAGAATCAATTGACCCTCGAGTGATTTGGGTGACAGGGGAGTATATTTTCTTAAGGCCTCTCGTAGCCACTCGAGGAAGGAAGAAGGATTTTCTTCCTTTCCCTGAGTTATGGTGGACATCATTGAATAATTCATGGGCTTCTAATTCTCCTTAGTCCTTCTAGAATACGGGTCAACAGATGTTTATGACTCCAGTCCCCATGATCTGAGTCAAGGTCCCAGTGCGGATCCATACTGGGGATGGCTTGCTGACCGGTAGGGAATTTGTCCCTTTCTTCAGCTGTCATTCTATTATTTACTTGACTAAGATACCAGGTATCTCCAAACTCTCAGGCTGCACCTAAAGCCACATTCTTTTCATTAAAGGCCAGGGTTTGATCTAACAGTAGCATGACATCTCTCCAAGCGAGGTCGAAGGTTTGCCCTAGACCCTGTAGGACATCTGTGTACCTATCAGGATCATCTGAAAACTCCCCGAGGTCTGCCTTGATCTGCTTTAAATCAGAGAGGGAGAAGGGGACATGTACCTGGGTTGGGCCAAATTCCCCTCCCCCTAACAGCTTGAAGGGGACATAACCGATAGTCCGGGGGTTTTTGTGGTCCTTTGGAGATTTCTTTGCTTGTTTCCTTCTGGGCAGGGGAGATTAGAGGAGGCTTATCATTAATAGGAAGGGGAGCTATAGGGAGGCTAGGATATGGGGGTAAGCTGAGAGGTCCTCCTGTGGGATGTAAATTGTAAGCTTTGCATGGTTGTGTATTCTCCCTCAATGAAAAGAAAGCTTGGACATAAGGTATTTCACTCCATTTGCCTTCCCTCTTACAGAAAAGGTCAAGCTGCAGGATAGTATTGTAATTTGTACTTCTCTCAGGTGGCCATTTTTCCCCATCAGAGAGAGAATATTGGGGCCAAGGCGTAGTGCAGAAAAAAATGAGCCACCTCTTTTTCAGGGTTTGTGGGTCAAATTGGTCCCAATGGCTTAGGATGCATTTCAAGGGTGAGCCTGTTGATGCCTGAGTGTTTCCCATCTGAAAGACAAAACCGCCCGCAGTTTTGGTTTGTTTCTCCCCCTGCCCAAGAACCTGCAACGTTCCCTGGACCCTGCTGATCGGAATAGTTGTGCTCACTGATGCAGCAGCAGAAACACTAGTTTTCCTCCCAGACCACATGGAGGACCGAAGAAGGTCGGATTTAGTGGCCCTCACTGACGCATTCTCGAAAACCTGCACCCTTGCCTGTCCTCCTAGACCACAAGGAGGACCGACGAAGAAAAATCAGATTTAGTGGCCCTTACCGATGCATTCTCGAAAATCTGTTAGAGTCCTAAGCATTCTCCTGTTAGTACTGGGATTTTACCCCTGTCCTATAAAGGTGTTATGCCCCAAAAATGAAGTGGAGGGCCATGCCCTGAGGGAGGGAAGGGATCTCCACGGTTGGAAGAGTGACACCTTTTGTCCTCACTTATATGAACGGGAAGGATACAATTTCTGAGGCTCCCCATATCCTAGCTTCAGGAATAGCTTTTGTTAGGCCTATTAGTCTGAGGAGAGGAGGGATCATAAAATTCCAGGTAGTCCCCACTATGACGGGGCTTTGGGCAAAAGTTATGTCTTTCTGATTGGTGAGCCTGGGTTCCTAAAGAAGGTAACAGTCCTGGAGTTTATACTAGAAATCATACTTATAGGAGAAACTAGAAAAGCACCAGAGACAGGTAACAATTTTTAGAAGCGGGACTAACCTCGGAGAAGAGAGGCGAGAGGAAGTTTGTCTGGCAGGCATTAGGACCCAGGGGGCAAAGGTCAGGATAGATAGGATAGATGGGCGAGTCTCGCTTGGGCAACATGCCTTTGAGAGTTCCGCTCATGGCCGCAGGGTCAACCAACTTGTCGTTGGGACCCTGGAGCTGCATGGGTTTCCTCTCTGTCGACCCTCGGCTCAGCCCAGAAGTACAGGAAAAGTGGAAGCTGGTTCTAGGCAAACCAACGCTCCTAACTCCGAAGAGTCGGGGGTTGTTAGAGAGCCCTTTCCCAGAAAGCCTGACACCTGTGTCTGTAGTCCGGTGGCCGCGCTAGTCGCTTTTAACTGGCCGACAGGCGCCCGGTATTTAGCCTCCGAATTCTAAGGAAAAATAGGACAGAATAGCAAGCGAAAGGGGTCCGATGGTACTCACTGCTTGGCGATAGGCGATAATCTCTCCGCTCAGTGATAGGCGATGGTCTCACCACTTGGCGATAGTCTCACTGCTTGGCGATAGGCGATGGTCCCTTCGTGGTCACCAAAATGTGTCCAGAATTGGTGGGTTCTTGGTCTCACTGACTTCAAGAATGAAGCCGCAGACCCTTATGGTGAGTGTTATATTTCTTAAAGGCGGCGTGTCCGGAGTTTGTTCCTTCTGATGTTCAGATGTGTTCGGAGTTTCTTCCTTCTGGTGGGTTCGTGGTCTTGCTGGCTCAGGAGTGAAGCTGCAGACCTCCACGGTGAGTGTTACAGCTCTTAAGGCAGTGCGTCTGGAGTTTGTTCCTCCTGGTGGGTTTGTGGTCTCACTGGCTTCAGGAGTGAAGCTGCAGACCTTCGTGGTGAGTGTTACAGCTCATAAAGGCAGTGTGGACCCAAAGAGTGAGCAGCAGCAAGCTTTATTGCAAAGAGAGAAAGAACAAAGCTTCCACAGTGTGGAAGGGGACCCGGGCGGATTGCCACTGCTGGCTCAGGCAGCCTGCTTTTATTCCCTTATCTGGCCCCACTCACATCCTACTGATTGGTCCATTTTACAGAGAGCCGATTGGTCCATTTTGACAGGGTGCTGATTGGTGCGTTTACAATCCCTGAGCTAGACACAGAGTGCTGATTGGGGTATTTACAAACCTTGAGCTAGATACAGAGTACGGATTGGTGCATTTACAATCTCAGCTAGACATAAAGGTTCTCCAAGTCCCCACCAGATTAACTAGATACAGAGTGCCGATTGGTGCATTCACAAATCCTGAGCTAGACACAGGGTGCTGATTGGTGTGTTCACAAACCTTGAGCTAGATACAGAGTGCTGATTGGTGTATTTACAATCCCTTAGCTAGACATAAAGATTCTCCAAGTCCCCACCAGACTCAGGAGCCCAGCTGGCTTCACCCAGTGGATCCCACAGGGGGCCGCAGGTGGAGCTGCCTGCCAGTTCCGCCCAGTGCGCCTGCACTCCTCAGCCCTTGGGCAGTCGATGGGACTGGGCACCCTGGAGCAGGAAGCGGCACTCCTCCGCAAGGCTCCTGCGCACAGGAGCCGACGGCCGGGGCAGGGGGAGCAGGCGGGGGGGCGGGGAGTGGGGCTGGGGTGAGGGGGCAGCGGGGGGGGCGGGGGGTGGGGGGGCGGGGGGCGGGGGGTCGGGGGTCGGGGGGGCGGGGGGCGGGGGGGGCGGGGGGGCGGGGGGTGTCGGTGGTCGGGGGGGGGCGGGGGGGGTGGAGGCTCGGGCATGGCGGTCTGCAGGTCCCAAGCCCTGCCCCACAGGGAGGCAGCTAAGGCCTGGCAAGAAATGGAGCACAGCAGCTGCTGGCCCAGGTGCTAAGCCCTTCACTGCCCGGGCCTTGCGGGCCCACCGGGCCACTCCGAGTGCAGGCCCGCTGAGCCCACGTCCACCCGGAACTTGCGCTGGCCCGCAAGCGCCGCACGCAGCCCCAGTTGCCACCGGTGCCTCTCCCTCCACACCTTCCCACAAGCTGAGGGAACCGGCTCTGGCCTTGGCCAGCCCAGAAAGGGGCTCCCACAGTGCAGCGGTGGGCTGAAGGGCTCCTCAAGCGCGGCCAGAGTGGGCGCCAAGGCCGAGGAGGTGCGGAGTGCGAGGGACGGCTGCGAGGGTTGCCAGCTCGCTGTCACCTCTCAGTTCCACAATAGAGCCATGATTGGACTCAAAAAGACCCCTCTTTTCTGGGATCCATACATTTTCTGGGCTCCATTAGGTCCTGCTTAGGTAGTGCTCAGGGGTCCAGGGAGGGTGGAGAGCCTGTATTGGGGTGGAACCCTTTGACTCGACAAGCTAAGGGCTACGTTGAAGTGGCTTATCTGCACTCCTAGTTCCAGAGACAGTAGTTATCTCGGGCCCCAACATCGCGAGGTCTAGGGAAAAATGCTACCACTCCTCCCCCCTACTTCCGCTGCCACGCTGCCTCCATGCCTGCCTCCCCTCTCTGCCACGCCCCCACCACGCGCTTTGCACTCTGGGGCCCACGCACTTCCCTGAAGAGTCTAGAAGCTGCTCCTCATTTCCAGACTTTCCGGGCGCCCACCAGGCTCCCGGGCTCTCACCGGAGACCACAGGGAGGAGCTTCAAGGTACCCCAAGTCCCTGCGGCCTCCAGCAGTGAAGAGTTCCACAAGGGTGAGTGAAGTCCGTTAATGAAAGCTACTGCAAAGTAAAATGCCTTGGGGTGGCGGCGGGGAGCCAGCCCCTTTGTCCCTCGGTGGCTGAGGAGCCCAAGCTACTCCATCAGAGACATTCCCTGCAGGACCCTCGTTTTCCTGGTCATCCTGGGAAGGTTGGTTGGGATGAGGCAGAAGGAGAGGGGTGGCAGCGGGTAGCTGGGGGTTACACGAGGAAGACCCCCACATTCTGAACCTCCTCCTGCATTGGGCACCATCGTAGGTGCACCATAGGAGGCACCCATTGATTTTTCTTTGGACATTTCGAGAAATTGAAGCAGAGTTGGGAAGAATGGAAAGCTTGCGGTGTCGCGAATAGGCCGGTCTGAGCGGGCGGTTCGGGTGAGAACGCCAGGCTCTGTCCGGCAGGTCTGGGGCGCGTCTCCATTACCACAGTCGGGGACGGTGTGCTGGGGTGGGCGCGTATATCGAGAGGTTTGCCTGGTTTTCAGCAGATTGAGCAGTTTGTACACGTGAAATCTCAGACTTCAGAATTTTCAGGGCAGTAGCGGCTTTTCAAAGGATCTGCTTGAAGTTTTTGTTGTCCTTTGGGTTTGTTTTTTGCTTTTTTGGATTTCAAATGATGAGGAGTTTATGTCAGGATGTGTATTTGGGCACACTTACACGGAGAGCACAGAAGTTGTGGCTACCTTAGAAAATGTGTTTTTTCAAAATGGAGTCAGATTAGCGTGAAAGTGCCAGCAGCCATGTATCTGAAGACCGATAATGGAGGCGAACGTCGGTGCGGTGGCAGGCATCTTAGTCTCAGCTACTGGTTACGGCTGAGTTTGAGACCAGCTAGGGCGGACTTAGCGAGACCTGTTCTCTACAAAAATTAAAAAAAAAAAAAAAATTAGCTGGGCGTGTGGTGCCCAACTAGTCAGGAGGCTGAGGTGGGAGGGATCGCTTGAGCCTGGGAGTTCGAGGTTGCAGTGAGTCATGAATGAACCACGGCACCCCAGCCTGAACAACAGAGCAAGACCCTGTATTTTCAATCAAAACTTCCTTCAAAAATTACAACTCATAAGACAATAATTTATCAGTTACTCATCCATCTTAAGGGAACATAACTTTCCAATGTATAAAATCAAGAATGTAAATTAATCTACCCTGGATTATGTAATATGCATGCCATACACCACACAATATGCCAGGAAAGGCAGGTGGCAAAGTCATGCTCCAAAAGAGATCCAGGAACAGAATCAGGCATCCTGGTTTTTTTGAGGTATCCCTACTGACTGGCTGTGCTTTTCTCTAACCTTAGTTCTTTCAGTAAGTTAAGCTGTATCTAAAGTAGATTTGTTGTGCTTATTTCTCTGCCAGTTCTAGAACAGAGAGTACTGAGGGGTAAAGACACTCAGGCAGCAAAAGAAAATCCTTTCCACCAAACTAAAGAGAATGGGCAGAAAGCATTGGACTCATGACTTTGAAAGTATTCAGGCCAATGTAGCCAGTAGATGCCCTCCAATCTGTCAGTACTTACTTAGAGAGACATCTGTCTTTGAGATTAGCCTAGCACTTCCTTAGGAGAGTTGGCAGTGATGGAGGGAGGATGTGGGGGCGGGAACTGGACCTTTCTTCCATCAGCAAAGAACAGGCGTGAGGGCTGTTCCTCCTTTTCTTTTCCCAGCAAGTCAGGAGCCAGTGGGAAGTGGCTTTCTTTTTTCTTTTTCCTTACTTTTTTTTTTTTTTTTTTTGAGACGGAGTCTCGCTCTCAACCAGGCTGGAGTGCAGTGGCGTGATCTCGGCTCACTGCAAGCTCCACCTGCCAGGTTCACGCCATTCTCCTGCCTCAGCCTGCCAAGTAGCTGGGACTATAGGCGCCCGCTACCATGCCCGGCTAATTTTTTTGTATTTTTAGTAGAGACGGGGTTTCACCATGTTAGCCAGGATGGTCTCGATCTCCTGACCTGGTGATCCGCCCGCCTTCGCCTCCCAAAGTGCTGGGATTGCAGGCATGAGCCACCGCGCCCAGCCAGAAGTGGCTTTCTAATGGCTGGCCTTTATGGGCAGATTTCTTTGCAAAGTAATTCACAGATACCCAGTTTCTTGGGTAATAAGAATTAGACTAGAAATCCTCCTACTCTTAACTGAAAGTTGATAGGGTTGATAAGGTAATTAGGATTATGGGGAGAGCATTTGGTTGTTGGTAGTAAAACGAAAATTTGTGATAAAAGTGTAGTTTAACTCTCCTGGTTTTGGTTTCAACATTTCATTCAACACATATTCAGAAGTTCTGTTAGAGGCACGTTTTGAGCTAAGATACAGGGCAAAGCAACTGAGAATAAAGATGCAGCTTTTAGGGAGTCCATAGGCTAGTGGAGCAGAGAAACGTGCAAACAAATTATTATATCCCATTATTTGCTTTGAGCTATAATATGTGAATAAGAAACCCAGACACTGGACTTCAAAGAGAAGGGAGTGATCAATTTACCCTGGGTTAGGGCCTCAGCCCATCTTCCCCAAAGAGGAGGATTTAGATTGGGTTTTAAGTTATGAGATTAATAACTCTGGAAGGAGAAGGCAGAGGGAGACACACATACTAACAAAATGATGGAGGAGCAAAAATGCCTAGCATTTTCCGAAGCAGGAGGTGACCAGGTGAGGGTGGCTATCCTTGTGACCTTTGAAAGAGGAGGGATCAGTTTGAGGAGTTGCCTTTCATTTCTTGGACATTAGGGAGCCACGGCAGGATTTTAAGAAAGTGATTCCCTGTACAGGTTGATACCCTTTATCCAAAATGCTTGGGACCAAAAGTGTATCAGATTTCAGATTTTGGAATACATGTAATTTGCATTATGCTTACTGGGCGAGCATCCCTAATTTGAAAATCTGAAGTCCAAAAATGTTTCAGTGAGCATTTCCTTTGAGTGTCATATTTACACTTAAAAAGTTTCAGATTTTGTCCGGACGCGGTGGCTCATGCCTGTAATCCCAGCACTTTGGGAGGCTGAGGCAGGTGGATCACCTGAGGTCGGGAGTTTGAGACCAGCCTGACCAACATGGAAAAACCCCGTCTCTACTAAGCCCGGTGCGTGCCTGTAATCCCAGCTACTCGGGATGCTGAGGCAGAAGAATTGCTTGACCTGGGAGGTGGAGGTTGTGGTGAGCCGAAATTGCACCACTGCATTCCAGCCTGGGCAACAAGAGTGAAACTCCGTCTCAAAATAAATAAATAAATAAATAAATAAATAAATAAATAAATAAATAAATAAAATAAAATAAAGTTTCAGATTTTGGAGCATTTCAGATTTTGGATTTTCGATTTTCGAGTCAGGGATGCTCCGCCATACGTACCACACCTGATTTAGAGGTGGACTCATCAGGATTTGCTGGACTGGATTGTTTGGAGGCAGAGTGAAGGAGAGGGAGCTGTTAGCAGTGATCCTACAAGTTTTTGTTTTATGCAACTGATTCCACTTACTGAGATGAGGAGCACCGGGACCAGGAGAAATTTGGGTAAGTTTAGTTTTGGACCTGAGCATAAGGTGCTGGTGAAGCATCTAGGAAGCCACTGGATATGCTTCTAGAGCCAGAGCTCAAAGGAGTAGTCACAGCTGGAAATAAAGATGCAGTGTCATCAAGGTTTCTTTTTGGCAGAGGCTTCTGGGGACTACTAGCACCTCTTTATGGCTCTGGTGTCAGGGAAATGAGTCAATGCCTACCCTGCTCTAGCCATAAAAAGCTGCTGTCTCTAGTCATGCTGATGTGACTTAGACTCTGTCTGAATGTTGATAGGCAAAGGTCTGTGTGACAAAGGCTTCCACTAGATTTTCAAGGAGGTACTCCCCGAAAGTCAGTCTCTTAAAAGACGAGATCTAAGCAATTGTCTTTTTGTTCTGTTTTGTTTTGTTTGTTTGAGACAGGGTCTTTCTCTGTCACCCAGTCTGTAGTACAGTGGCATGATCTTGGCTCACTGCAACCTCTGCCTGCCGGGCTCAAGCGATCCTCTCACCTCAGCCTCCTGAGTAGCTGGGACCACAGGCATATGTCACTATGCCCGGCTAATTTTTGTTTTTTTTGTAGAGATTGTAGGGTTTTGCTATGTTGTCCAGGCTGGTCTTGAGCTCCTGAGCTCAAGTGATCTGCCCACCTCGGCCTCCCAAAGTTCTGGGATTACAGGTGTGAGCCACCACGCCCGAACAATTGTCATATTTTTTAATGGAAAATACAAACTACCTTTGACGTCCCAGTTTACACTGAAACTTTACATTTGCCCCTTGTCCTTTATCAAGGGCTTAAGATGTCGGCAAGGCTTTCTCCAAACACTATATAAATATTAAATTGACTTCCAAATGTTGTTTATGAGAACTAGAATACCGTTCTTGTTATTTGATATGTATTTATGGAGTGTGTGTGTTCTGACTTGAGTCTAGCTAATGTCCCAGTAGGGTAGGATGTTTTGGACGTTGATGAGTTTTTCTTCTGATTCTATTTCTAACAGTTAAGCACATTGTTTAGGTAACTGGTTGTTCCTTGATTATAGAGTGTTCATGGCCACTAATAAATGTCCCCCATATTTAAATATACAAGTTATACCTTTGGGATGGCAGGGAGCTAAGGGCCATCAGCTCTTTTATATGCTAATACCTGAGATCAAGGCACACGATATTATTCAATCAAGCTAATATTTAGCTTTGGAAATTAAAGCATAAATTCATGAATGTGAATAGTGTTCTTCTTTCTGCATTGATATTTAACCATAATGTATGTATGCACACAATGTTCCAAGATTTCTCTTTGTTTTTATTTTTTTGATGATGTATGTTTCACTTGCTGCAATATTTGTTGATTTCATGAATACTACTGATATTTAGGGAAAGGATCCAAGAAGTGTTGAACTCCTAGTGTGTCTTTCTTTAAGCTTGTCTCCTTGTTAAGGTGAACCTTAACATTCAAGGTTATGGTGATCCTTATCATTTGAGACATTTCACCGAATATATGGGTGAGCAATGCACCTTAGACTTTTCGGTGAACTTCTCCATCCGTGTGGTATCTGATCCTCCTGAGAGTGGCCATATGCGGTAGGGAGGCCAGGGCTTAGCACCATTTTGCAGGTACTCAGACAGGCTAGGTGACTTGCCCAAGATCACACAGCTAGTGCAGAGCTGGGACTAGATCCCAAGAATTCTGACCTCAAGAGGGGTGTTGATTTCCATTGATTTTGCAATTCCCCCTACTTAAGTCACTGGATTAATAATTTTAAAGTGTGGATTAAGGCAAGTATATTTTGTTGGCTTGCTCTCCTCTAACTTTAGGTCTCCCAGTTGGGAGAATGAACTTGTAGGTTAATAGTTTCCTAGTAGAAAGCAATAAATATATTCCTTAGTATAGACAATAAATTGTGGCAGTTTCACTCTCCTCCTTGGGCTGCGTCAAGATCACTTTGAAACATTCCTGGGTATTCTTCATACAGGACTTAGGGCTGTTTACTCTTTTCCGTCTCCCATATCAGCCTCCTTTGCCAATCATCTTCAGAAATACAGGTGTAAGCTGTGCTGTAAGGCATGAACCACACAGCACTTTGAAATGAGAAAGCTTTAAAGTAACAGGCAGGAATTTGAGGGGGAAATTGAAAAGTCTTTCTGCACAAAATGATTGTACTTTAAGGTGAAATTCACAAAGTCAATCAACATGAAGAATCTGGAAACTCTCATTGAGAGTTCTTTCATTTTTTTATACATTCCATAAGAAACAAGGTAGAGCTTTCATGTAAAGTTCTAACTTGTGATTAGAGAAGGCATTTGAAGTGTATAGAACAGAGAGTATATTGTAGCTGGCAGCCAGGGCATTTGCAGAGCTTCACGTTAATGGGCAAGTGTCTTAACCATCAGCATTGCGAAAAGGAATGGCACAGGAGTGAGGGCTGAGGGTGGGGTGGGGAGAGGGGCTCTGGCATCAGGTAGCCAAGAGTCAGCAAAAATTAGAGATAATTTTAAGTGAGGAGGTCCATAGCCTTTCTTTCAGGAAGTGGAAGGTTTCCTTGGCCCCTTTTTCTAATTTGAGAACAATGTGGCTCATACATTGTCAACCTTTTCACTCGGTGGTATATATTTTTTGACCTTTTATGTGATATTGATACTTAAATTATATATCCATCTTAAATTAATTTTGTTGCATATAGATTTTTATGTGTGGACATAGCCCTTTTTAAAAAATTATTCAACAGCTTCTAGGAGACAACTTCTCTGCTTTTTGGGACAAGGCAGCCCTGCAGTAGGCAGAACAGTAGGGTAGGATTCAGGAGAACTGGGGGTTAGGCTGGGGATTACTTGAAGATAAGGGATTTAAAGGAAGTTAGGATTCTGTTCCTCTTCTCAAAGTTGAAATAAAGTAAAATAAATTAGGAGAAACCTAATTAGAAACCTAATTGCTAAAGGGTTTGTTTCCCTACTCAGACTTGCCCTGATTTAAAAACTGTATTTACAGAATGTTCACAGCCATGTAAAATAGACTGGAAAGAAATACTCTAATGTGGCAATGTTTCCCTCAGAGTGGTAGAATTATGCTTGTGTTGTCTCTCCTTTCTATTTTGTAAATTTGGCACTCTTTAAAAAAGAAACCTAAAATAAATTTCCTTTTAAAAAATGAAATTCTAAAAAGAAACAAGAAGCCTGGCTCGTTCCCAGCATTCTAAAGGGGAATGATTGTAGAGCTCCACAAAACTGGCCAAGGAGCTACATAGTGATGAAAGGGTTTTGATCTCTTTGGGAAGTATTGTAGGGAACAGCTTTGCTGGCACTCTCACAGCCCCTTTCCTGTGTGGAGATTGGGCTGTGGGACCTTTGTCTTGAGTGGTAAATGCCCAGCATGCCGCCAGAAGCCCTAGCTGTGGTCACTCCCTCATGGAGCACCTTTTCGGTCTGAGGCTGATAATTGTCCTGCTTCTTATGTGGTAAGCTGTCAGGACTGTGGGCTGCCAGCTGCCTTAGCTTTACTAAAAGGAGGTGGTTGATTCATTCTTTTACTGTGGATTGTCAGCTGAATAAAGCGGCCCACCACAGCCTTAGGGACAAAAGCTCTCCATTAGGATTACACTGCCAGGTTGGAGAATGGCCCTTTAAATGCTGTACAGCCTCAAACAGGGGCTGTATTAAGCTGACCACCTTTATGCAAATCTCTCTCCTTTGTCCAAAGGCCCCCTCATGACAGAGGCCAGCTAAGCCTTTATGGACAGATAGGCTTTGTGCAAGGCTGGGGGATCACCCAGGTTAGGTGTTTCCAGGAAGAAAAGTGGATTGAGGCGATTTTGTAAATGTCACTGCTAATAAATTGAACATTGGCAAACTTGCACTTAAGACATTACTTGGGAAGAACAGATTATTAAAATGGAACAAATTGAGGTGCCATAGAGTTCTGGAGTGCTGAAATTGTTGTCCTTTGGCATTATGCAAAACAACATTATGTCTTTATCTGTCTTTTCCAGTTCCTTTCTAGTTTCCTCCCTGATCCTGAGCTGCTTTGTTTTTGTCCAAAGTGGAGAGGCTGCTCCCATCTGTGCTCATCTCCTCCTTAGTTGCTTTGGCTCTTTTCTCTCTCCTTGGTGCTGTGTTTTCCCTCCACCCATCTAATAGAATATTTCCAAGGTCTTATCTTCTTTTCCTCATGTCACTCCCTTGGGGCGCTCAAGTGACTTGTCTAATTTCAAATATTCTCTGTGAACATGTCTTATAGAGTCATGGATTCCCCAAGCTGAAAGAGACTTCCAAGTCATCTGTCCGACTCATGTCTATGTGGTCAAATTGACAATTCTTGTCAAATAGAGGTTGGAGTTTCTTCCATGTTTCATTGATGCCTAAGCATGCAAGAGAACCTAAAGTTGATGACTTTTCTTTCAGTACTTTTCCATGATTCAGTTTTTCTTTAAGAAAAAACACTCTCCCCTTTTGACCTTCAGCTACTTTAGCCTCCACTGCCCCAGGCCCATAACAGTAGCAACACATCTAATTCTTAATCTTTGTTCCTTCTCATATTAGTCTGCCTCCTTCATAGCATGTCTGGGAGTCATCCTCTCTTGCAACCTTTTTCTCTTCTTTCTGCAGCAGCTAACCTCGAACCCCTTCTCAGCCTGTCTGCTTGAGCTCCCCTTGCATCACCTCTTTTAAAATTAGTTTGATCTTGTGAGTCAATTCTCAGAAAATTTGAGTAGTGCCCAGCTACCTCACACAGTAAATAAAAATGTTAACATCTTCAGTTAGAGAATCCAGCCTGACCTGACGACTTTGATTTTCTCATTTGATTTTTCTTAACACCTTTTAACATTCCAGCTGCTCAATTTTTAGAGAATTATTTTGACAGTTGTAAGTTATAAGAGCTATAGCTCTTCTTTGAAATAATAATATTTTAATTTTTCTTTAGGTCCTTTTGATTTACAAAAACCCCCCACAACAACAACAATAATAACAATAGCAATGAAAACACCAGACACAGTGCCTTGCCCATAGTATGTTTGGGGGCATGAATGATGAATAAATAAATAAAAGTATTTGAAATCACTGTAGATAACTTGAGTTGCCCAGAAGCCAGAAATGTAGAACCCGCTGTCCTGGAAACTGTATTCTTTCTTCCTTGGTAAATTCCTACGGCATCAAGTAGAGGAAACCTTAATAAATACGGACTGGGAGTGGCCTAAAATATTCCACTATAATCTGTAATACTTTCAGATTCTTTACGGTTTAAATTTTTCTGTTCATTTATATATGAAAATCTTTCTGTTTAAAAAGTTCTTTAATGAAGTGTTCCAGTATCATTTTCTCTAGATTGTTTTACTGATTGGCTGTCAATATTTTAAATTGAAAAAGGACTGGAGACAGAGAAAAACTTACCTATCAAATTCTTAATTAAATGATTCATGAAGATGTCTTTTAAATGGTTCATTTGAAATATACCTTTATACGAACAGGAATGGCTATCTCCATATTAAGTCATCTGTATAAGTTCGTTCTTGCATTGCTACAAAGAAATGCCTGAGACTGGGTAATTTATAAAGAAAAGAGATTTAATTAACTAACAGTTCTTTAGGTTTTACAGGAAGCATGGTATTGGCTTCTGGATGGAGCTTTTACTCATGGTGGAAAGTGAAGCGGGAGCTTACACATCATGTGGCTAGAGCAAAAGGGGGTGCAGGAAGATGGGGTGGTGACGGGGGGTGGGGGAAGGGCATGCTGGGGGTAGAGGTTGGGGGTGGGGGGTAAGGCAGGGGAAGTTTTGGGGTGGGGGTGGGGGCTGGGGGTGGGATTGGGGGAAGGTGCCACATACTTTTAAATGACCAAATCTCCCAAGAACTCACTCACTATGGAGAAGACAGCACCAAGCCATGAAGGATCCACCCCCATGATCCAGTCACCTCCTACCAGGCCCCACCCCCAACCTCGGGGATTACAATTCAACATGAGATTTGGACAAGGACAGATATTCAAACTATATCATCATCTGTCCTGCATGTTTTCCTACATTTTTTCTATGTCTTAGGTCGTTCTGTTCCTGCATCTCATGATCTCTGGAGAAGTAACAAGTTCTTGATTTTTCACAATTTTCAACTAGCTGAATGTTATTCTTCATAGTTTTACAGGCTATGTTTAGATAGCCTTGTGTTGCTGAGAGAAACTTACCCTATTCGCTGCAGTGATCGGGGAGAGACTGACAATACAGGACTTTGATACAGTACCAAGTAAGGCAGGTGCCATAAGGGTAAAGGCAATGTGCTGTGGAGATGGAGGACAGAGGATCAGAAAAGGCTTATTGGAGAAGATGCTTTGGGGGAAGTGCTTTGAAAGATTTATATTACTTCATTAAGTAAAGATATAGGGAAGGACATTTTAGGCAAGGAGATGATCATGAGCAAAGGCTGGGCAGTATGAATGAAGAGTGAGTGTCTGGATAATAGTGGGTAGTTCCTGGAATTCAGGAATGTTGTGATTGGAAAGGTGAATTGGGTTGTATTGTAGAGAGCCTTGGGTGACAGGCTGAGACAGTTTTATTGTGGTGATGCTTAAAATCTCCAGACAAGAACACATGTGATTGTAATAGGAGAGCACATTCAATAAATATTTGTGGAGAAATCATATATTGAACTTCTTGTATTTCCCCTTTACTAACATGTTGTCTGTAATGAGGCAAGGTAGAAATGAATTTAATAAACCAAACCAAACTCAAACCTGTCTAACTAAGTGGGTTCCAAAGTCCACATGACTACTTTTGCTTGCTTCACAATGGCTTCAAGTGACAAACCTTGTGAGGGGATCTTCCTTGAGGTCACAATTGTGCCAAACAGGTAGTCCCAAGTGCCAGTCACTAGTGAAGTTAAGCACTGGGCATAACTGCCAACTGTGGGCACCTAGCCAGGTTCTTGCCAGATGCTCCTTGGCTGATGTGAATGAAAGTCATCTGTTGAGGAGTGGCTCCAGTTCATGTCACTGGATGATTCTTGAGCTTCTGCCCTGTGCTGGGTGCTGCAGACAGGGAGAAATCAGACCACATTCTGGCCTTGTGCTCATACTCCACTGGGGGAGACAGACAAGGGGTCGAATAGTGATCATACCTCTTAGAAAGTGACAAGTGCCCTGAGACAGTAGCAGACAATGAATTCTAGAGGGTTCAGGGAGAAGGAAGCTGAGGAAAACATTTGTGAGAGTGCATTCTACCTGAATCTGGAAAAACTTGAAAAAAATGATGTACTTTGGGATTCAAGTCCATACATCCAGGTTACACTTAACCTTTACACCCAGTAGATGCTGTGGGGATAGATATATTTTGCCAAACATCAGAAACAGATTGCTCTTTTGGGACTACACTATTTGGCTTTGGCATTGGTATGCTCCAGAGGCAAAAATGGTGTGTCCCTCAGAAAAGGCAAGAATACTATTTGCCTAAAGTGAAGCAAGTCCATAGAATCTGTTAAAAGAAGTTTTTGAACATCAACACTTACATTTTCTTCTTTTTTTATTAAAAAATAGAGACGAGGTCTCGTTGTGTTGCCTAGGCTGGTCTTGAACTCCTGGGCTCAAGGAATCCTCCTGTCTCAGGCTTCCCAAAGTGTTGGGATTACAGGTGTGAGCCACTGCTCCCAGCCATCACGCACTTTTGTATCTATAAACCAAGGTAAAGATTACAAGTAAGAGTTTTTACATTGCAGAAAAAGGAGAATTTCCTTAGAGGCAGATGTAAACACCATCTCTAGGGCTTGTATCAAAGACCACTGGACAAAATAGCATGAGAAAGCTCAGTCCCTTTGGTCAAGTAAACCATCATGGTGATTGCAGGGGGCTGGAATTGGGAGGAGACTAAAGACATTTGACTTCGTGCAAAAGCTAAAAGCAGTTTAAGACCATTTTTTTTTTGGCGGGGGTGGGGGGAGGTGATGAACATTCCCAGTTTCTCCAATCAATAGCATTTCTGTGAGAATTGTAACACTATGAAAAGTCATTTCTAATCTGGAAAGTCTTGGTGGTTGAAAAGTTTCTCTTACCTTTATTTTCAGTTATGTGATTATTGAATTCCCTGGTGTTGTTAGATGGGCTATTTTTTATTTAAAAACATCTCTTTTTTCTAAGATGATCTGGATAGACTATCCAGTGCCCATACATAACACTCATCAGTTTTTCAATCTCTCATTCTCAGGTAAGAAAACGATTTTTGTCTTTCAGACTTTACTTTTGTACTTACCTTTTTATATTTTACTATGTACTTGTAATGGAAGTAAGATTCCTCTGTAATTTGAAACGGATCATCAAGTTGTAAGTGGGGAAAATCTAAGTAATGAGCTGGAATTTTTTTTTTCTTTTTTGAGACGAGGTCTCTCTCTCTCTCTGTCACCCAGGCTGGAGTGCAGTGGCATAATCATGGCTCACTACAGCCTCGACTTCCAGGGCTCAAGCAATTATTCCACCTCAGCCTCCTCAGTAGCCAGTGAATAGCTGGGACTACAGACATGTAGTGCCATGCCCAGCTAATTTATTTTTTATTTTTAAAATTATTTTTATTTTTATTTATTTATTCTTTTGAGACAGAGTCTCACCCTGTCACCCAAGCTGGAGTGCAGTGGCACAGTCTTGGCTCACTGCAACCTCCACCTCCCAGGTTCAAGTGATTCTCCTGCCTCAGCCTCCCAAGTAGCTGGGATTACAGGCACCTGCCACCATACCTAATTTTTTTTTTTTTGTATTTTTAGAAGGGATAGGGTTTCACCATGTTGGCCAGGCTGGTTTCGAACTCCTGACCTCAAGTGATCTGCCCCCCTCGGCTTCTCAAAGTGCTAGGATTACAGATGTGAGCCATGGCGCTCAGTCCTAATTTTTAAATTTTTTTGTAGAGACAGTGTCTCCCTGTATTCTCCAGGCTGGTCTTGAACTCCTGGGCTCAAGCGATCCTCCTGCCTCACCCTCCAAAAGTGTTGGGATTGTAGGCGTGAGCCACCATGCCTAGCAATAAGCTGCATTTTAAAATAATAACACCTGAGTTAGTAATTCATACAATGCTCAGTCAGGCTTAAAGCATAGGCCAAGATGTAACATCATTCAAATAGTCAAAATCAACTCTTATCCTAGTGAATTGATTACATGTGAAATTGTGTAGCATCAATAATAAAATTATCTGTTTATGGATGTTCTTGATTTTCACCAATGACAACTACAGATTTAAAGTGCAAATCATATTTTATCTTGAGATTCTACTTGATCACTTTAAATGTAGCACTCTTCTAATTTCCCTCAGAGAATTATAAAATCAAGTGAAGGAAAGAAGATGTCTTAGTTTTGATAAATTGGTGATTGTAGATCAATAAGAAGTGTGTGTGTGTATGTGTGTGTGTGTGCACACGTGTGTATGTGTACTCAGTTGTAGAACAGTTGCAAACAGAAATGAACTTTAATGTTAATTTTCGCCAACTACTGTAATTTTATGTTTATATAGATATTATATGATTGTATTCTATCAAAACATAGCATATATTTATTGCCATAAATGTAATTTGTTTTTTTACATGATTTGCCATAAATGTAATTTGATACTTCTGTAATTAAAAAGTAAATAGATATAGAAAATAGATTTATAAATCTTAAGATATAACAATTAGAGCTCATTCTCACCCAACTCTTTCAAATGGGGCATTTTTCCAGCTATGCGGCTCGTCAATTCTGTAAATATATTTTTTGAAATTACATGAGACAGCCCAGTGCAGTGGTTGTGCACCTGTAGTCTTAGTTATACGGGAGGCTTAGGTGGGAGGATTGCTTGAACCGAGGAATTATTAATAGAAGCCAGCCTGGGCAATATAGTGAGACCTCGTCTTGAAAGAGAGAGAGAGAGAGTGAGAGAATGAGATTTACATTTCTGTTATGCTAAGTTGCTCATTTAATAAAAAATTCTCAATAGAAACACAAATTATCCTTGCACAGCCTTGAAATTCCATTTTGGGACCATTTCCTTAGTATAGGAATTCTACTGTGGTGGTATATACAGTGAACAGATTTTACCTTGTTTCTGTCTTCAAAGTTATTTCAATGGCAGGGATTAATAGCATATTAATTTATGGCTCATACTGTTTGCCTGAAGGAGACTTATCTTACACAGATAATTCTGACAGAGACATATACCATAATGCACAGTCATTGCAATTGTTTTGTAAAAGAAAGGTTAGGTGAGAGTCTTTATTTATTTATTTATGAGATGAAGTCTTGCTCTGTTGCCCAGGCTGGAGTGCAGTGGTGCGATCTCGACTCACCAAAACCTCCACCTCCCGGGTTCAAGTGATTCTCCTGCCTCAGCCTCCCGAGTAGCTGGGACTACAGGCATCCGCCACCACGCCCAGCAAATTTTTTTTGTATTTTTAGTAGAGACGGGGTTTCACCGTGTTAGCCAGGATGGTCTCGATCTCCTGACCTCGTGATCTGCCCGCCTCAGCCTCCCAAAGTGCTGTGATTATAGGCGTGAGCCACTGCGCCCGGCCCTGAGAGTCCTTTATTCTTCAAGTTGTTTCCCAGGTATTTGGGCAGGCTATGCTGGGGACCTTTATGGGAGCACTTTGAACTGCAACCAGTAAACCAGTTAAAAAGGATCTCTGCTATTACCACATTCATCTTTCCCTGGACCATTCATAAACCTTGGAGGGGATCCTAAGACTAGTATTTTTGTCACAGAGACCATTCAATATTTGTTAGGCTTTCAAAGTTTCCATTTTGTCATGTATAAGCCAAAATGCATGCATAGGTGTTTGAGGATAGAAAGTAAAACAAGACAAAGACACACTGAAGTCATTTTGGAGATTCTCTGTGCTCCTAGATCTATTAAAAGTGCTGAGATGTCTTGTGTCAAGAAATCTGCTTCAGTGTATTTAACCAGCATTTTTCAAATGTTCTCCGCTAAGGAACACTTAATACCTATTTTTATTTTTGCTTAATCCTGTTAACATCTTTTGGTATTCGTGTTCTGCAGGACCAGTGACCTTTAGGAAAGTTGTTGTTACCTGTATGATACCATTTTATATATATGATCAATGGTATTTGGCTCAGCTATATTGAATTCCCCAGGAATAATATTGACCAGCTATTTCTGGGCAAGAAGACCATCAGCTAATTGCAGTGTCAAACTTCTTATGACAACTGGTCATGAATGCTTTTGTGCCAAATTCTCTGATGTGTTGACTAAGGCTCTGGCAGGTTTGAAGGCATCAAAAACTCCTGAGGTATCTCCAGTAGATTCAAAAACTGGCCTTGCAGGCTTAAGAACTTTCTCTGCTGCAGAGACAACAGAAACAAGCCTAACTCCCCAAATCCAGAATGAATCTGTTGACTCAGTCCCCTCTGATCTTAGATGCTGTTGCTTGGGGATGACATTTGCCAGAGATTTCTCCCCTCTCCCTCTCCTCTGAGTGGCTTTGAGATGGTGGGTTTTGATAACTGAGTTCACCTCGTTGGAGAGAAAGTGTGGACACCAGCATCACAACTGTGGTGAACAAAAAGTCTCCTCCCCTTCCAAGGAAGCTGGGAAGGTGGATTGCTTCACTGAAGAGTTAAAGAAAAGAGTTTTAGAATATATTATTTGATTTTTTTTCTTTTTTCAGGATCATCTGTTGGGCACTTAAGTCACAGACCAAATCCCATTCCATGTTCCTGAGAACCCGTCCTTTAAAATACTGCAGAAAAATGGGTTTGCCTGTAGTTTGACAAATTAACTTTTCTTTAAGGAAACAGTAAAATGTGATTTTCCCATTCAGCAAAACTTAGAAATTCTTTGCATCAAATTTCAGTGAGTTTTATTTTTAGTGTATATGATTGGAATTCTGTTTAATACATAATTTTGAAAAGTCAGCATCTGTTTATATTGTGTATAAGATAGATCCAGTGTGGACAATGTCATATAAAATGTTAATCTTACAAACCGGTAAAGGCTTCAAGTTTAACTTAAGCCTGTTACTAACTTTGCAAAATTTTTTAATAAGGTGAGTGACTAGAAAAACCCTAGTTTCTATAGATTTTAATAAACTCAAGTGAGGAAATATATATAAAATGAAGTTTTACCCTTACATGAGTAATAATAGAAGTTTTAAACTGTTATGCAGATCTGTAGAATCCAAGTCAAAGGATAAGTTGTTATTCAGCTTTTGTAAGGAGCAAAGGAATAACTGTAGGAAGCTTAAAAGCTGTAGACATTTTAGGGAAAGAGGCATAGTGAAATGGACATGAGAGTAATGTAATCTTGACTCAATTTTAACTTTTTAAGCAATCATTTGCAAACCCCAATGCTTTAACTAATATTAAAACATGATTATTTCATTCATTTATTTATTCATTGAATAAAAATTATTGGGAGAAAGTGAAGATGGGAGGTGTGGAGGAGATGTGCAGGAAAGAAAGAGCCTCTATTCTGGGTTGTTGGAGGCTGTCATTTAGTACTTCACATTATTTTTCTTGTTAGACAAGATTACACATGTTGGATTGCCTCAGTGGATTGAAATGGAAATTCTATTGAAATATAATGGGTGAAAATAGTTTTTCTTCTATAATGGTTTGCTCTCTTTATCTCAGTAGCAGTGCAGTCTGTTTTCTCTGTGAGTCTAAGAATGACAGCCTGAGCTTTTCATTAGCCAGGGAACCCTGAGCTTCACTCTAGCAGAGTTCAGGGCATTTAAGAAAAAGTATGATTACTTTAACCCAGGTACTTCCCTGCTGTCCATAACACCAGATGCTGACCCTCTGTGCTTCTGTTTCTGTATTCCATCTGTGCTCTTCATTTTTATTTCTCCCTCTTAGCTTCCAGAACACTTTACGTATAACTTTTTAATGGAATTTATAAATTTTGACCTTGTATTCTAGTTATCTATTTACAAGTCTGATCTCCAAAGAGCAGAACAAATTGGCTTCATCTCTTTATTCTCCAGAGTCAGCCACAGAGTCCACACTTAGAAAATGTCTATAAAATGAATTAATGTTAAATGAATAAGTGGAATTTTTACAGAGGACTCTTCCGGAAAGATGTGTTACATGATGTGTGTTATCTTTAGTTCCACAAACGAGTCTCTACTTTTTATATAAAAGCTATCTGGTAAAGAGAACCAGGATATTAGAATATGGGATTTTCTCCTGTTGACCTTTTCCTTCGAACATGCTCCCTTTACATCATTTCTTTTTTTCTTTTTTTTTTTTTTTTTTGGTGGAAGTAGTCTATATATTATTTTGGATAGTGATTACACTTGTCAGAATTCATGAGACTGAAAATATGTGTATTGTATATTGTTATATCTCAATTAAAATATTTTAGAAAATAATACAATATAAACATGCAATACAATAAATACAATAATATAATACAATACAGTAAACATAATGATATATGTCTCTCTTGATATGGAAAGATGTTCATGGTATAATGTTAAGTAAATTAACTTGGTTAAAAACTCTGGCTACCATAACCCTTTGTGCATATATATCAAGGTAGTGAGTTTTTAAATTTTATTCTTTAATGTCTTTCACATTTTTCAACTTATTTTGAATGAGTATTTTACCAATAAAGTATTGTTTACTATACAGTAAAAAATTTAAAGTACATCCCCTGCTTATTAAAACTGCAGAAATTATTGAACCATATGAGAAGTTTATTTTTATTTCTATTAAATTACGAGGCTGCCAGATCACTTGAGGTCAGGAGTTCAAGACTAGCCTGGCCAACATGGCGAAACCCCATCTCCACAAAAAATACAAAAATTAGCTGGGTGTGGTGGCACATGCCTGTAATCCCAGCTACTCGGGAGGCTGAGGCACAAGAACTGCTTGAACCTGGGAGGCGGAGGTGGCAGCGAGCCAAGACTGCACCACTGCACTCCAGCCTAGGCAACAGAGTAAAGCTCTGTATCAAAAAAAAAAAAAAAAAAAAAAAAAAGTAACAGAACTGTAGCTTAAAAATAGTCATGAAAATTTATTTAAAAATGTCTTGGGGCCAAGTGCAGTGGCTCACACCTATAATCCCTGTGCTTTGGGAGACCAATGCAGGAGGATCCCCTCAGGCCAGGGGTTTGAGGACCAGCCTGGGAAATATAGTAAAACCTATCTCTACAAAATTATAAAAATTAGCTAGGCATGGTGGCATGCACCTGTAGGTCCTAGCTACTCAGGAGTCTGAGGTAGAGTATCACTTGAGCCCGGAGTTTGAGGTTGCAGTGAGCTATGATAGCACCACTGCACTCCAGCCTGAGTGACAAAGGCCCTGTCTCTAAAATTAATTAATTAATTTAATTTAATAGAAATACATCTTTTCTTATAGATGAACTATCAGTTACATGTTTTGAGTTTCTCATTCTTCATTTTTGGTAAATTCTCTGGTTGATTTCTTTTGGAGAGGAACCCATATTAGAACTTGGGGACAAAATGATGAAAAAGGAGAGAGGAAAAGAGCAGGATACAGGAATAGTGTCCACTAATGAACCCTAGAAAGAGAGGCCATGAACAGCCAGCTCTGTCAACTCAATTTTGCATAGCTCTCAGTTCAATGAGTAGCTGAAATAGATAGGATAGAGTTACAGTGTGTGAAGAGTAGACAGGAAAATTTCTCTAGGAGGTGTTCAGGGGCAATATTCCCAATAATATGTCCTTGAATCTTTTTTTTTTCTTTTTCCTTTTTTTTTTTTTTTTTTGAGAAGGAGTCTCGCTCTGTTGCCCAGGCTGGAGTGCAGTGGCACGATCTCAGCTCACTGCAACCTCCGCCTCCCGGGTTCACGTGATTCACCTGCCTCAGCCTCCCGAATAGCTGGGATTACAGGTGTGTGTCACCACGCCCGGCTAATTTTTTGTATTTTTAGTAGAGACGGGGTTTCACCGTGTTAGCCGGGGTGGTCTCTCTCCTGACCTCGTGATCCACCACCTTGGCCTTCCAAAGTGCTGGGATTACAGGCTTGAGCCACCGCACCTGGCCCCCGCTTTTTTTTGAGACAAAGTCTCACTCTGTCACCTAGGCTGGAGTACAGTGAGTGGCACAATCATGGCTCCCTGCAGCCTTGACCTCCCAGGCTCAAGTGATCCTCCTGCCTCAGCCTCCTGAGTAGCTGGGACTACAGACCTGTACCACCATGCCTGGCCTGTCTTTGGATCTTGAGTGTATCTAAGAGTATCAGCCTTGGTTCAGTGTCATGGTCCACTCAGATATGACAGCAACAAACACCCAAAGGGGCTTTAGGAGAGCTCTAGGTGGGAGAGAGATGTAGCAGGGGCCTAGAACTCAAATACTGGAGGGGGAAGTGATGAGGCAAGGATGGAATGCACTTCAAGATTCTTACCTCCTCCGAAGCCTAAAATGCTGCTGCACTTCAGCTTTGATACTGTCTAGAGGTTTGAAGTGCACTGGACTGTCACTCCTTGCTATAGACCAGGAATTCTCAAATATTCAAATCCCGTGTCTTAGCAATCACTGTCAAGGGACTGAGCTCTTAACATGATGGAAACCAAACTCTCTCTCCTATTTTTTTTTCAACGAACAACACTGATGTGTTTACAGACACTTTGTCAGCATAGTTATGATTTTTTGTGAGTTTCAAGAGCAAGATCAATTGCTGAAAAGTTATTGGACATAAATGTAATTGCTACAGAACATCAAAGTAATTTGTTGATAGGCAAGGGAACCAGAATTGGGAGAAATGTGGGATGTTCGTGCTTAGTCCTAGTGAGCTGAAGGTCACAGATGGAAATTGGGGGTGGGTGTAAGCAGGGTGGTTGGGAAACAACACGTGACACTTGCAGATGGGCAAGAGTGTTGAAAAAGGGCCAATGCTAAGTAATGAAAAGGCAGTACACTACAGCAAGTGAGTGCTCAGGCACTGCCATGGACTCCCAGGATGGCCTTGGGAAAGTTAGCAAAAATATTTGGAACCCATTTTCCTCATGTGTAAAATGGGGAACATAATGCCTGGGATGTGTAGTAAGTGTTTAATAAATATCACTTAATGTTATTACTATCTTTAATTATTCTAAAATCTTATACTTTTCTACTGCTATAAATCTAAATTCACTAACTATGGTTGCATATGAGCCCCATTCCAAGGGAGGTTTATTGCTTAAATATAAAAGTAACATAAGGAGGATGGTTTCATCTCCAAGGAACTCTTATAACAAGGGACCTGAAGACAGATTCCCTGTCAAGTCCCAGCGTAGTTTTTTTTGTGTGTGTGCTTTGGAAGAAGAATGATAGTAACATACTCTTCATAATTAATTAAAAAACTGGCAATATTTTTCAGTTCTACCTGTCTTTTAGATTTCACAGACTGTTTTAATCTTGATGAAATCCTTTCTAATTGTGGAGTTATAATGATTGACTTCAATGCCTCTCCTTATTGACTGTGAACTTTGTGAGGACAGAGACTGTGGCATCTTCATCTCTGGATTCTCACACTTGATATTGCTAAGGCTGGCTCGGAGTATGCACTTTGTGAATGTATTGGGAATAAATGCAGTACTTCAGCTTTTTGACTTAAGGTGCTTTCATGTGTCCCAGTCCTAGAAGAATTCAGGCTAAGTCTAAGGGAAATCAAAAGAAGATCTAAAAGAGATAAAAATTTACTGATAGTTCTATCAGTTCTCAGCTAGATTTTTATAAGATGTCAATTTGGAGAAGAGTATGAATTTAATGGATTAATAGAACAACAAGGTTGGTATATAGGCACATTCCTAGTGAGCAGAAGGTCACAAATGGATGGAAATTGTGACATAGCTAGAAATGTAAGGACCATTAACAATAACTTTGGAATTCCCCTCTGAATCCCACAGTAGACCACTCTCATTGGGAAGTGAAGGCTAGCCTTTGAAATACAGATTGAAGAAATCAATCAGGGAAAGATAGCACCAGACAATACATCCAGAAGAAAAGCAGAAGCTTTTCTTTTCTTCATATCAGGGGTTTATTGCTTCCTATACAGATTGATTTCTGTGTTTAATATTAGGACATGCTTTGGGAATAATGAAAAACATTAAGTTCTACAGGCTGATTGAATTCCACTTAAAATCTTACAATTCGTGTTTGTCACCTGGATATCTATAGGTCTTATTCACTAGGTTTTATTGTCCAGCTACTGTAACTAGCCGTGATAATGTGTACATTTGAGTAGCAGACTTCAGATTAATTTTCCTTTTTCAGGAAGTAAAGTCCTGCAAGGATGTCTTGTTATTTTACTGGAAATCAAAGGGATGATGAACTTTCCTTTGCCTGTTGGGGGTGGAGGTAGCCCTGGACAGTTATAGATAGTGTGAGACAGCACTTTAACCACTAGATGCAAGAAACTTGGAATTGATTTGTCTTGTAAATGCTTCCACAGGCCATTACCCATTCTCTAACCCTTTGAAACATCCTTAGACATGATGGGGTTGGTAAACTTCACACAGAATTCACTACGGAAATTAAATATGCTGGATTTCTCTGGAATTATTTATTCTGTAAAATCCTAGGACTCCTAGGGACCACATCTCTTTGATTTTGGTATTCTAAATTCTCATTTCCTCTATTTTGTCATCTCATTGTATAGGACCATATTCTGTCACTGCACTTTGCAAAGAGAAGGGTGAGCTGTTAAGGAAACATAGTTTGTACCAAGTTTTCTATATCATCTTTTGTACTTACATACATTTAATTTGATTGAACAAATACCCAATGCTTTGTGTCTGTGGTGCACAGTTCTAGATGTTTTAGGATATAGAAAATGGAATAAGCCTTCCCTGTCCTGAGGAAGCTTACATTCTAGTGGAAGAATAAGAAAAATGCACATAAAGGGCAAGGTTTAGTAGGGGTAATCCAGGAAGACTTCTTGGAAACAGTGGCATAGGTATATAAGGAAATCCAGTGTACTTTTTAATTCTTATACCAGACTCTCTGGATTCAAATCTTTGATCTACTACTTACTAGCTGGTTGATCTTGGGCTACCTTTCTGTGACTCAGTTTTTTCATCTATAAAGTGAAGATAACATCAGATCATACCTCAAAAAGATCTGAGAATCAAATAAATTACTTGCTGCAGAGGGCTTCAAGCAGGGCCTTTCCAGTAGTCTGGGATAATGGGGGACCCAGGGGAAGGCTTTAAGTGGAAGGACAGATCAAGTCAGTGTATAAGATCATATTGGCCGCTGGTTGAGGATGGACTAGAGGGGGCAAAAATGGAGACCATGGAGGAAGAGGTGGTTGCAGGAATTGAGGTGAAAGGGCCTGAGCTTGAGGCCTGGCATTGAGGATTGGTAGGAGCAGGCAAGTGTGAGTGATAGTACAGAGATGGGATCCAAGGACAGACAGGCTATGGTTGCTGGTCAGTTGGGCCCAAACCAGGGCAGAGAAGGAAGAGATGTTATGAAAATTGACTTGGCAACCATCATTTGCAAGAATAGATTGATGATATTCATGCTTGAGTATTTTGTCGTATAACTGGGATTTTCTCTGCTAATATCCAGGTAAATATGAATACCTGGCTTTCTACTCCTTTCAGAGGATTGTTATACAATAAATGTAGAAATTTAATTCTACCGAATTTTTGTTGTTTCAACCAAGGAAGGAGAATGTTGCATTCTGTTGATAAATAAGGGAGGGAAATTAACAAACATTTAATTACCTGCCTGATACTGATCAGCAGAATTCTTACATGGCTTAGGGATTCTGGAGGAAAGGGTTGTGGGAAGGGCACTCAGTTTGACCATGGAAGAGGAAGCAGATTGCTTTGGGGCTTCATGTACAACCCAGGAAAATGCTAGGGGACAGGATGTAGAAGACTGCATCTGAGAGGGTAGCTAGAGAGCTTTCCTGGGCAAGAGTGAATGTGAAGGCTGTTACAAAAGCTTAGGTGGTGTTGTCCAGAGAATGTAGTGGTTATAAACTGAATTCTAAAGTTTCCCACTTATTCATATACTCACTTTCACATCAGTTGGGCCTCCAAAATAGTTTAGAGAGCTTTTAGAGTAATCACTTCAGAGTTTAGTAAGAGAGAAAGAAAGTGGGTAGCGTAGCAAGAGAGAGAAAGATCACCTTCCTTGAGAGTTGAAAAGCACTACAGAGGAGATGGTGAAGCAAATGTTTACAGACTGATTTTCCAGTGCTGTCAGGTACTAGCTATGTAACTTCAGACAAGCTACTTAAACTCTGAGTCTCAGTACCCTCATGTGGGAAATGGGAGTAACAGCACCTATCGAACAGGGCTGTTGTAAGGATTAAATGGTGACTGGTGAAATACACAGGACCTAGTATGTATGTAGTAATCTCAGTAAATGTTGGTTATTTTGGCTCTACCTCTGCTGCCACTGCCCTACTTCAAGGCCCCAACCTCTCCCAGCTGAACTCCCTGGGTCTTCTAACTTAAGTGCTTCTCAAAGGTTAGTGTGCATAGACATGGCTTAGAGAACTTGATGCCGTGATGATTCTGATTGTAAATGTCCGGGGCATCCCTAGAACTTGCCATCTTCTGTGAAGCTTCTAGTTCGGTATTGATTACTCTCTTGCCCCTTGCCCTGAATCAGTGGATTTATACAGGTGCCAGTCTTCCCCACAAGCCTGTGTACTGCCAGGGTGTGGCAGGGACAGGAGTTGAATTGCTGAGATTTCAGAACTGGCAGGAACACAGAAGGGTTTTATGGACTTAATTAGAATAAGACTGGGATTAATCGTTTAATGGATTGCTGATCTGTTTTAGAGCCTGCAGAAATTTTTGCTGGACCATCTAGAAACTTGAAATATTCTGCCGGAATGTTCAGGGATGCCAGAAATCTTCTGTTTCTTTAGTATTCCTTATTGTCTCAGACTAAGAGAACATGACATATGAATTCCCAAAAGGGGGAAATCAGTAAGAAACACCCTTTTAAATCTGACTTTGTTTCTTTACAGATCTGGGTTTGCCTTTTTTTTTTTTTTTTTGTACCTATCTTTTAGGAACAGGATTAGGATTAGCTGGGTGAGAGGAGGTGTTCAGCAAACTTTGACCATTTGCATTTTTACAGGTAAGACTCAGCGTTCCCTCATTCATTTATTCATCCACCAAACATTTATTCAACATGGGTTTTCTACCAGGCACAGTTTAGGGTGCTAGGAATATAATAAGTGACAAAATTGGCCTGACCCTGTTCTCAGAAGGGGCCACAAAATATGCACCTGTGCTCAGAATGCACCTCAGCTTTGGTCTAGGAAAGACTGGGCATTTTTCCTATGCAGGTATGTGTGTATGTGTGTGTGCGTGCTTCCGTGGAATTGAGTTCATTTTCTTCATTGCTTGGATTCCCTCACAACGTTGGCTCAGGTCAGGGTCTATGCTTGTGCAGTGAGAGCTTACTGAAAGAACTAAGGTTAGAGAAAAGCACAGCCAGTCAGTAGGGATACCTCAAAAACACCAGGATGCCTGATTCTGTTCCTGGATCTCTTTTGGAGCATGACTTTGCCACCTGCCTTTCCTGGCGTATTGTGTGGTGTATGGCATGCATATTACGTAATCCAGGGTAGATTAATTTACATTCTTGATTTTATCCGTTGGAAAGTTATATTCCCTTAAGATGGATGAGTAACTGATAAAATATTGTCTTATGAGTTGTAATTTTTGAAGGAATTTTGATTGAAAATAAATTGGAAATTTCCACTGACTTGGTTGATATGTTTATATCATACACATTTAACATCATTACTGTCTACTTGAGAATTGTAAATATTTCATTCTTTCTCACTGATTAAATGCCTTTAATAAACCTTATATGAGAAGAGAAGATGACTTCACTCACATTGATGAAATGTGCCATAATGCATTTTCCCCTATAAACTTAAAACAAATTCCTGGAACCATATTGAGATTTGAAAGACCATTTTCCTTTGCTTGAGCAATTGTTTATAAAGAGTGTGTACGTGTCTCTCTCTATAGAAAGACAGAGTTGATCCCTGATAGTGCGCAGCAATTTTTATAACTACAAATATATGATGTGATTATCTTCCACAATAGCATTTTCAATACTTTGAGGTTTTTACTTTAAAATAAACAAATATTGTAACCAAAGTAATTTCCAAAGATGTAGTAGTCTCTGCATTCTGCTTTTCTTCTGACCTTCTCTGGTTTTCTTTAAAATTCCATGTAAACATCTTAAATGATGTTTACATGAGTCAAACACTTTCTGGCCATTACTGCACTGGGAGGCCACAGAGTTTTCTTTCTCTCTGTCAGTCTGGCTAAGCTGACTGACAGACTGGGTGAGGGAGGACAGACTGATCTGCAGAGCACATTTCTGGGTGCTGCTGAAATAGTACTCATTCTGACAAATCGCTGATTAGGCCTGCCAGGAACTGCCTGTGATTTAGGCAACCCCACAGAGATTCCTGGGTTCTAGAGCACTAACTAGTTAACTTTAACCTCTTCAGATGTGGAAGAGTGAGGATATGTTCTCTCTTAGTCTCTCTTTATGAAAGATAGAATATTGTTCATGATCATACTTTTTGCACCATTAGAAATTACTGCTAACATTTGCAACTTAATTCTGCTCAATTAGGCCCAGAAACTCCAATCCTTGCATTACTCTTTCTCTGGGACTTTTAATACACCTGCCCATTGCCTGCTGAAGATTCATTCCAGCCACTTGGCTTCTCTACTTTTTTTCTCAGTGAGCTTTCCCCACATCCCTGCCCCAACTTCTTCACTTAGTCAATCTTTACATCACAGTTCTACACGTCAAGTACTGTGGCTAATATTCTTAGTGTCTCTTGTTCTCCTTGGTGCTCAGAAACACTCGGAGCAAGGACTGATCTGATCACCCCCTTTCCCCATTCCTACATGTGGGCTGCTGTGTGTTATTGGGGACAATGTCACTTCTGCGCAGATCATTACCACTACAGGGTTATCCTCTTCTGCCACATGTTGCACATTACGCGGGCATACATTAGGTGCCATGATACCCTGACTCTGCACCTAGACCTGAGACAGCACTTATTCATGACATGTTAGACTTACCTGGTAGGCCCACTGCATGGAGATTGGTCTCCACACAGTTCTCTCATTGTTGCAACAACAGGTGATGTGAAGAAACCTCTCTGTATTGCCAAATTTTTGCCATCACTGCCCCCTCTGAGAAGACTGCATCCTTCTCACAGTCTTTTAGATTTTATACTGCTATTAACAATCGCTAATGAAAGCCATAATTTATTGGGTGGTTGCTATGAGTCAGTCATAGTGCTAGCCACTTCATATACATTAACTTAATTCTCATAAAAACCTTGGCATGTAGGTATTATAACCCCCATTTTAAAGTTGAGATAATTGAGACTCATAGAAGTTAAGGACCAAAGGTCACACATCTACAAACAGGTAGAGAGTTGGGATTTAAACCCAGGTCCAATTGATTCCAGAGCCCAGTCTCTTCACTCTTCAACACTGGTGTCCACATTATTTTTGAGAGGAGTTTCTTAATTCTGAATGGCACACATACTAATTGTAACAAACTTTAAAAATATAAAAAAAATGTACTTGCTCATTGTTCTATCACTAAAAGACACCTTGTGAATGCTTTGCTTTTATTTCTCATTCTGTTTTCTACACAATATTGCATTTGATCATTTGCTTAACATGATTGGGTTCATATAGCACATACAATCCTGTAACCTTTTCCAGACAACATTATAAGTATTTTTCGTAATACAGATTCTCTGAAAACATGCTTTTCACTAGCCTCTGCATTGATTACAAAACATGAAAAATCTACTGGGGAGTGTCACAAATGAGATATTCCATGAAATAAGAAATGTAATCTGGGGTGGGAGGATAAAGGGAGCTTGGACTCCTAGTCCTGGGCAAATGTTACTCTATTTGAAAATGAAGAATGCCACAAATATAGACATTTCACATGGAACTGCACTAAAATTCAACTTTAAAAGGCAGAACAGGCAAAGGTGGATGAGTACAAGTTATTTATCTGAATTTGTGAAGGATTTGTTGGAAAGGACATCAGCCCTGAGATATGTAAGTAAACTCATGAATTACAGTGCTTTAGTCTTTATTTTAAACTCTTTCCTAGTCCCCTAGGTTTGCATTCAGAAAGTCATGATCTTGCAATTCTTGCTCCTCAGCCTGGTTTCTCTCCTTCCACGGCTGTCAGGTGTAGTAAAAATTTGGCATTGTAAAGTAGTCCATGGATGGTGGAAGATTTAATACCTTGAACCTAACCCCATAGTAAATGGGTCCTGGACTGATTCTCAGGACATGTTCCACTTTCACTTTTTATTTTTACTTTTATTTTTACTTTTATTTGAGATGGTCTCACTCTGTCGCCCAGGCTGGAGTGCAGTGGTGCCATGTCATCTCACTGCAACCTCCGCCTCCCAGGCTCAAGCGATCCTCCCACCTCAGCCTCCACAGTAGCTGAGTCTACAGGTGCGCGCCATCATGCCCAGCTTATTTCTTATATTTTCACCGTGTTGCCCAGGCTGGGCTTGAACTCCTGGGCTCAAGCTATCCTCCTGCCTTGACCTCCCGAAGTGCCGGGATTGCAGGTGTGAGCCACTGCACCCAGCCAGGACATGCTTCACTTTGATTCTAATTCAGGATTACAACTTTAGTGTCATTTAGTCCTGAAATATTTGTTCTGGGAGATATGGCACATGACATGTATGTCACATAGGTCCCAGATAGAACTCCTGCAACATGTTTCAGGAACATTAGCAACAGGAGCCCAGATTTTGATCAGTAAGTCACTTGTCTCTAGAAAAGGTTGGTATTGCTGTGGAGCTTGAGCTGTAAGTCTGATATTTGGGTCTTGGAAGTTTTGAGACTGAGAGAGTTAGACTGAGGATTCTTTTGACTGTGGGCCTTATCCCAATTAGACACTGATACATCTATATTATCATAGTAGTCATGCCGGAAAGTATATATCTAAGTGATTCTCAACTACAGAGAGCCAATGATGAATTAAATCCACCTATTCAGTGTGTCTTCTTGTAAACTAAAACAAATATCTATGTATGTATAGATGTGTGTGTACACACACATCTATCATACGTTTTTCCAGAAAATTAAAAATGGATGAGAACAACACTCCCCACAAAACCTCTTAGAAGAAATGTTTGCAAGTGTGACCCTCCTGACCTTTATATTATACTTCAGTAATACAATTTGATGGGATTTTAGATTATTTCCCATTGATTTTGGAAAAATGTACTTATGTAAACAGCTATTTCCAACCAATTAATTATTATTTTGCATAGGAGGGCTGACTATTCTTGGCCTGAGAGCTTTTAATTAGCCTTATTCTTTTTCAATCTTTCCATGTTCTTTCACCGACATAAGTTTCTGAATCTGTTGTTTTAGAATGAATTACTGAGTGGAGAAGGTGCAAAGTCCATTAGCAGTTAGGTGTTTGAGCCTACCTTGCCCAGTAGGTAAGGAGAGTGGTCAGGTGTTTATCTGTGGATTTTGAGTGTGTGCTCTGTGTGAAGCTGTGTGCTGTTGGAGGTATCAAAGATATGTAAAGCATGGCTCCTGTCTTCAAAGAACTTGTAAACAAATTTTGTTGCCCCAAAACACAGAAAGGGCTATATTAAACACACACACATACTCTCTCTCTCTCTTTTTTTGTCTCTCTCCATGGTAAAACTTCAAAATTTTAATGCCTCTTTTATCATAAATCAAATTTCAGTTTATGTTGTCTCTTCTCTGCTATATGTATGTGTTTACCATTATTGATTAGCCTGAATACAGTAGCTTTATAATAAGCTTTGATGTCTAGTAGGCACACCCTTTATATTGCTGTTGTTCTTCAAAGTTATTGTAGGTATTTTGGCCCTTTACTTTCCACAGGAATTTTGTAATTAACTTGTGAAGTTACATAGAAAAACAAAGCAAAGCAAAACAAAAAAACTTACTGGTCTGATCAGAATTATGTTAATTTGTACATTAGTTGGGAAGATCTGATAAATTGATGATATTGAGACATCCCTTACACAGACTTCGCATTGTCACTGCATTTATTTTATGTGATTCAATAAAGCCTTATTATTTCTAGTGTAGTATTTCTGTGCAGTTTTGTTAAATTAGCTACTAAGCACTGGATAGTTTCCTTTCTATATGAAGGAACCTATAAATGTTATTTAAGAACATGAAAAACGGGTTTGAATAATTGTAGAGAGAGAACTTTTCTTGATGGAAATATATACCATAAAGATGTATAAATGTAATTTTAATAAATTACAATTAGATTATTGAAGTTTTTGGAATTTAAAATTAATTTTTATAGTAAATCATTTTGAAATATTTTCCAATTTTCTTTGGGGTTTCTTCTTTGACCCACAGATTGTTTAGAAGTATGACATTTAACTTCCAAATATTTGAGGGGTTTCCAGATATTTGTGTGTTTAGTATTACTAATTTAATCCTGTTGTGGTCAGAGAACAAAATCTGTGTGATTTTAATGCTTTAAATTTATTGAAACAGTAGATGTTGAATCTTATTGAATGTTCCATATACAGTGGAAGATAATGTACGTTCCATAGCTGCCTGGATGTGGTGTTCTGTAAATATTATTGCTGGTAATGTTAAGTCTTCGATATCCTTACTTATTTTCTCTTTATTTATTCTATTGATTACTAAGGGGAGTATTTAAATTACCAACTCTTAATTGTGGATTTATTTATTTCTTCTTTCATTTATGTCCGTTTTTACTTCACTGTAAAGCTTTGTAGTTAGATGTAAACATATTTAGGGTTGTTAAGTTTTCTTGATTGACTTCCTTTATCATTATGAAATGTCCCTTCTTTTCCCTAGTGATATATTTATCCTAGAGTCTACTTTGTGTAATATTAATATAGTCACCCAAATCTTTTATTATTAGGGCTGAGTGGTATATATGTTTTTATCCCACTTTTTTGTAGTTATTTAAGTTTATTTTTTTATTTTATTTTTTAAAATTTTATTATTATACTCTAAGTTCTAGGGTACATGTGCACAATGTGCAGGTTTGATATATAGGTATACATGTGTCATATTGGTTTGCTGCACCCATCAACTCGTCATTTACATTAGGTATTTCTCCTAATGCTATCCCTCCCCCAACCCCCCACCCCTGACAGGCCCCAGTGTGTGATATTCCCTGCCCTGTGTCCAAGTGTTCTCATTGTTTGATTCCCACCTGTGAGTGAGAACATGCGGTGTATAGTTTTCTGTCCTTGTGATAGTTTGCTGGGAATGATGGTTCCCAGCTTCTTCCATGTCCCCGCAAAGGACATGAACCCATCCTTTTTTATGGCTGCATACTATTCCATGGCGTATATGTGCCACATTTTCTGAATCCAGTCTATCATTGATGGACATTTGGGTTGGTTCCAAGTCACTACTATTGTGAATAGTGCTGCAATAAACATATGTGTGCATGTGTCTTTATAGTAGCATGATTTATAATCCTTTGGGTATATACCCAGTAATGGGATTGCTGGGTCAAATGGTATTTCTAGTTCTAGATCCTTGAGGAATCATCACACTGTCTTCCACAGTGGTTAATCCCACTTTTAACCTGTGTCTTTATAATTAAATTGAGTTTCTTATAGACGATACATATAGTTTGGTCTTGCTTTTTAAAAATCTAATCAACAATCCTAAACTACATTTGTGTGTTTAGCCCATTGATAATTTATATTATTATTATTATTTTGAGACGGAGTCTCACTCTGTCACCCAGGCTGGAATGCAGTGGCACGGTCTCGGCTCACTGCAATCTCGGCCTCCTGGATTCATGCCATTCTCCTGCCTCAGCCTCCTGAGCAGCTGGGACTACAGGTGCCCGCCACCATGCCTGGCCAATTTTTCGTATTTTTAGTAGAGACCGGGTTTCACTGTGTTAGCCAGGATGGTCTCGATCTCCTGACCTCGTGATCCACCCACCTCAGCCTCCCAAAGTGCTAGGATTACAGGCGTGAGCCACCGTGCCCGGCTGATAATTTATATTATTATGAGTATGTTTTGATTTAAGTCTACCATCTTACTATATGTTTTCTGTTTGTCCTATTTGATTGATGTTTCCATTGTCTTCTTTTTTCTGCTTTCTTTTGGATTAAATGAGCTTTTAGTTAGTATTCCATTTTATCTCTTTTTTGATTTATAATCTATATCTGTGCCTTTTATTTGTTGTCTAGGCAGTTTGTCATATACATCTTTAATTTATTACAGTCTGCCATGGATTAATATTGTGCCACTTCATGTATAATGTAAGAAGCTTACAACAGCAGATTTCTATTTTCCACCCTCCCGTCCTTTGTGCTATCATTGTCACGGGTTTTACTTCAGCATATATTATAAACTTTAGAATATTTTGCTTTTACATCAATTATCTTTTATAGAAATAAATTAAAGAAGATAAACATTCTTTTATATTTATGAACATATATATTCTTGCCAGTGCTTTTCATTCCTTTGTGTAGATCTGAGATTCCACCTGGGATCATTTTCCTTCTACCTGAAGTACTTCCTTTAATATTTCTATTAAAGCTGGTATGCTTCTCATTGACTTCTTTCAGATTTTGTTCACCTGAAAATATCTTTAGTTTTCTCAAAGGGTGTATTTTTGCTGGATGTAGAATTCTAGGTTGATTTTCCAACCCCCCCTTCCCAGCACTTTAAAGATGTTTCATTGTCTTTTGGTTTGAGTTGTTCTGATGGGAAGCCAGAGAGAAAACATTATTTTTCCTCCTGTATTAAATGTATCTTTTATTTCTGTTTGCTTTAAGATTTCTGTTTAAAATTGGTTTTCAGCAATTTGTTTTAGTTTTTCTTTGTGTTTATTTTATTGGGTTCACCAATATTCTTGGATATATGAGTTTATATTTTTCATCCAGTATGGCAAAAAAATTGGTAATTATTTTTCCAAAAAATATTTTTGCCTCCCTCTTCTGGGAATCTAGTTACTTATATTTTAGATTGCCTGATACCATCCCACACTGAGAGAGACTCTGCTCCTTTTCCTCTACTCTGGCTGGATACAACTCAAATGTCTTCCACCTAGGCATGAACTGTGGTGGTTATTTAGTTTTGTATTCATACCATTTGTTCTCTCCCTGGTAGTTTTGATCTTTGACTGGTCTTGTAGAATGTCACCTTGCAGGCCGGGCGCAGTGGCTTACGCCTGTAATCCCAGGACTTTGGGAGGCTGAGGCGGGCGGATCACGAGGTCAGGAGATGGAGACCATCCTGGCTAACATGGTGAAACCCCGTCTCTACTAAAAATACAAAAAAAAAAAAATGTACCCGGCGTTGTGGCAGGCCCCTGTAGTCCCGGCTACTCGGGAAGTTGAGGCAGGAGAATGGCATGAACCCGGGAGGCAGAGCTTGCAGTGAGCCGAGATCGTGCCACTGTACTCCAGCCCTGGCGACAGAGTGAGACTCTGTCTCAAAAAACACAACAAAAAACAAAAAACATGTGTGCAGATTTCTGGAACTCTTTTTCCCCCAGAGCTCCCTTCTTTCTGATACTCTGCTCCACAAATTGTAACCATCTTTCTTGGTTTTCTGAACTCTTAGGTCTGTTTCCTAAAACTTAATGAGACCACTTTATTCTGGTTGAGATCCTTCTCCCTCAATCATGGTCTGGAAGTGCCCTCAGGTAGAAATCTGGGATTTCTGTGGAGCTCTTCTCATTTTTGCTCTTATCTCAAAGATCACAGGCATGTGCTACCTGCTTTCCAGTGTCTTAGAACAGGCATTTCCTATAATTTGTCCAGTTTCCTAATTGTTCATGGCAGGGGGACTGTTCCCACATCAGTTATTCTAGAGTGATAAACAGCAATCCTGTCTTAGTCTGTTTTCTGTTGTTATAACAGAATACCTGAGACTGGGTAATTTATAAAGAAAAGGGGTTTATTTAACTCAAGGTTCTGCAGGATGAGAAGTTCAAGGGGATGGCCCTAGCTTCTGGCAAGGGATTTTGCGCTACATCACAACATGGCAGAGAAAGTCTAAGGGGAAGGGGACATGTGCAAAAAGTGAGGCAGGCAGGAGGAGGAACTTAAGCTTCTAACAACCCAGTCTCTCAGAAATTAATCCATTCCCCTGAGAAGTAATCCTGTATCAAGAGAGTGAGAACTCACGACCAGGAGAATGGCACCAAGCCATTCATAACCCAAACCTTCTCACTAGGCTCCACCTTCCAGCATTGCCTCTTTTTAAGGATCAAATTTCAACATGAGTTTTGGTGGAGACAGGAAACCACAACCAAGCCATAGCAGACCTCTGTAACTTTTTGTTGCTATTGTATGTTTTAAAAATATTTCCTAATTTTGGTTGCTGGTATGTAGGAACAAATTAATTTTTAAATATTAATCTTGTACACAGCAACCTTGCTGGACTATTTTATTTCTAATAATTTGCAGAATTTCTTAGGTTTTCTATGTAGATAATCAGAGTGTTCATGAATGCAACCACTCTTTTTTTTCCTGAAGCTAAAAAATTCCTTTAATGTTCTACCTTTAGGAGGTTTGTATGTTTCTGGTTGACATATTTTATCAGGTTAAGGAACTTCCTGTCTATTCCTAGTCTGTTAAGAATATTTTCAAAAATCATATGTGTGTATTAAATTACATCAAATGTGTTTTTCTGAATCTACTGAGATGATCACATGCTTTTTCTCTTTTTAACTGGGATGTTGAATTATATATTTTTTCTAATGTGAAAGTATCCTGATATTTCTGGATTAACTCCACTTTCTTAATACCCTGCTGGTTTGGGTTTTTACAATTTATTTAGAACTTTTTCATATGGATCATAAACAAAACTGACATAAAATTTCTCTTTTTGATGCTGCCTTTCTCTGGTTTGGTATGAAGAATATACTAGCATTATAAAATAGATTGGGTAATTTCTCTTTTTATGTGTTTTCTAGTGTAATCTGCATGGGATAGGAGATACCTATCAGTTCTCTAAATGTTTAGAAGCATCCATTTGCGAAATCATCAGGTTTTGTTTAGATTTGTTTAGGTTATTTTCTGTGGATGGATTTTTAACTACCAAATTTATTTATTTAGATTTGTAGAGTTTATTCAGGTTTTCTTTGTATCCTTAAATAGGTTTGGGTAAAATTCATTTTCCAAGGCAGTATCCCATTTTATCTGTTTCTCTGTTTTCAAATTTATGGGTATAACGTTGATCATACTGCTTTTTACTATGTTGTATTTATAATATGCCCTTTCATTCCAAAATGTGTCCTCTCCCATGTTTCTTGATTAATCTTGTATAACAATGCTTTATTTATTTCACTACTTTTTATTTTAAGAAAGCATTTTAAGATTTCTGTTTTATCTTTATTTTTATTGCATTATTTTCTGGTCCTATCTATTATTTTCTTCTCCTTTCTTTAGCTTTACTTTTATTTTTAAATTATTTTGTTTACTAATTTATTAATTTTGTTTGTTTGTTTGTATGAAATGGAGTCTCACTCAGTCGCCTAGGCTGGAGTGCAGTGGTGCGATCTCAGCTCACTGCAATCTCTGCCTCCCAGGTTCAAGCAATTCTCCTGCCTCAGCCTCCAGAGTAGCTGGGATTATAGGTGCCTGCCACCACGCCCAGCTATGTTTTGTATTTTAGTAGAGAGAGGGTTTTACCATGTTGCCGAGGCTAGTCTCAAACTCCTGACTTCAGGTAATCTGCCCGCCTCGGCCTCCCAAAGTGCTGAGATTACAGGCGTGAGCCACTGCGCCCGGCCAACTTACTAATTTTGTTTACTAACTTGTTTACTAGTTTTTGTTTGCTTTTTTTCCTAATAGGCATTTAAGACTAAAAGCTTTGGTACTACTTTAGCTGCATTTTACTTTAATATATTTGTAATATGTGGTATACTTGTAATACTTTAGTTCTGAGTATTTTCTGCTTTTCAGAGCTATTTAGGAAGTTTTGTTATTTTGAATGTTCAAATCGATCAGGTTTTGTATTGTCTTTTTATTATTGATTTCTAATTTAATTGTATTTGGGCCAGAAAATATGGTCTATATGATAATATTCTTTGGTATGTATTGATCTTTTTTATGGCTTAGAATGGCTTAGCTGTTTTTTGTGCTCTGAGATTTCACTGTGATATTTCTAGGTGTGGTTTTATTTTGATTTATCCAGATTGGGTCACATTTTCCATTCTGGAAAATTTAAAATTATCTCCTTACTGCTCATCTCCCCTTGCTATTATGCCCATCTGGAACCCCTCTTAGATATATACTGTGCCTTCCCATTTTGTCCTTCATGTCTCATAACCTCTTGTTTCATATTTTCTAACCCATTTCTCCTACTGTATGGCAAGTTTCCTCATAGCTCTGTTCCACTTACTAATTTCCCTATCTGATGTTTCTAATACATTGTTCAATCCATCTTTTAAAAATTAGTTTCATTGAATATATCTATTTATATAATTTCTAATTCATCTTTGTCCACATCTATTTGAAGTTCTTGGGGGATTCATACTGTTGGGGTATGTGTGTCCCTTATTTTGGGGACTGATAGATTATTATTATTATTATTTTAGTATTTATTGATCATTCTTGGGTGTTTCTTGGAGAGGGGGATTTGGCAGGGTCATAGGACAATAGTGGAGGGAAGGTCAGCAGATAAACATGTGAACAAAGGTCTCTGGTTTTCCTAGGCAGAGGGCCCTGCCGCCTTCCGCAGTGTTTGTGTCCCTGGGTACTTGAGATTAGGGAGTGGTGATGACTCTTAACCAGTATGCTGCCTTCAAGCATCTGTTTAACAAAGCACATCTTGCACCGCCCTTAATCCATTTAACCCTTAGTGGACACAGCATATGTTTCAGAGAGCATGGGGTTGGGGGTAAGGTTATAGATTAACAGCATCCCAAGGCAGAAGAATTTTTCTTAGTACAGAACAAAATGGAGTCTCCTATGTCTACTTCTTTCTACACAGACACAGTAACAATCTGATCTCTCTTTCTTTTCCCCACATTTCCCCCTTTTCTATTCGACAAAACCGCCATCGTCATCATGGCCCGTTCTCAATGAGCTGTTGGGTACACCTCCCAGATGGGGCAGCGGCCGGGCAGAGGGACTCCTCACTTCCCAGACGGGGCGGCAGGGCAGAGGCGCCCCCCACCTCCCGGACGGGGCGGCTGGCCGGGCGGGGGCTGCCCGCCACCTCCCGGACTGGGCGGCTGCCGGGCGGAGACGCTCCTCACTTCCCAGACGGGGCGGCTGCCGGGTGGAGGGGCTCCTCACTTCTCAGACGGGGCGGCCGGTCAGAGACGCTCCTCACCTCCCAGACGGGGTGGCGGCGGGGCAGAGACACTCCTCAGTTCCCAGATGGGGTCGCGGCCGGGCAGAGGCGCTCCTCACATCTCAGACGGGGCAGACGGGCAGAGGCGCTCCCCACATCCCAGACAATGGGCGGCCGGGCAGAGACGCTCCTCACCTCCTAGATGGGATGACGGCTGGGAAGAGGCGCTCCTCACTTCCCAGACTGGGCGGCCGGGCAGAGGGCCTCCTCACATCCCAGACGATGGGCAGCCAGGCAGAGACGCTCCTCACTTCCTAGACGGGGTGGCGGCCGGGCAGAGGCTGCAATCTTGGCACTTTGGGAGGCCAAGGCAGGCGGCTGGGAGGTGGAGGTTGTAGCGAGCCGAGATCACGCCACTGCACACCAGCCTGGGCAACATTGAGCACTGAGTGAGCGAGACTCTGTTTGCAATCCCGGCACCTCGGGACGCCGAGGCTGGCAGATCACTCGCGGTCAGGAGCTGGAGACCAGCCCGGCCAACAAGGCGAAACCCCGTCTCCACCAAAAAATACGAAAACCAGTCAGGCGTGGCGGCGTGCGCCTGCAATCCCAGGCACTCGACAGGCTGAGGCAGGAGAATCAGTCAGGGAGGTTGCAGTGAGTCGAGATGGTGGCAGTACAGTCCAGCCTTAGCTCGGCATCAGAGGGAGACCGTGCAAAGAGAGAGACGAGGGAGAGGGAGAGGGAGACCGTGCAAAGAGGGAGACGGGAGCGAGAGAGGGGGAGGGGGAGGGGGAGAGATTATTTCCTTATGTATTTTCTAATTTTGAATGGTGAGCTCATCTTCAACAGTGCCTTATTTGTGGAAATTCTGTGGAATCTGTCTTTAGAAAGTATGTCTCCAGAAGGGGTTTATCTTTGCTTTTTCTGGAACCCCAAGGTTGATTCAGTATGGTGGTGTCTTTTCTCCTGTACCCAGAGAACATGCTGAGACAGACAAGCTTCCTGTTTTCTTCTTTTGTTGGTAGGAGGATTTTTTTTTTCAATGTAATGTTAGCCTCTGGGAGTCCTGGCTACATGTAGGGAGAGGTGGTGAGTTTTAATTCCACTTCGCTGTTTGGGTTATTTTTTATCCAATTTTTCTTTTCAATGTAATGTTAGCCTCTGGGAGTTCTGGCTATACATAGGGAGAGGTGGTGATTTTTAGTTTCACTTCCCTGTTCAGGTTATTTTTTATCTAGGAGAGCATTAACACCAAGCACGGGTTCATATTTTGTGCTCAGTACCGTTCCAGTGTTTGACTCCCTGAACTTTCCCTTACTTAGAGAACATTTAAAGGATGTTTGCTATATTTTAATCACTTTTTTGTAACACATATGTATTGGGATGCCATTGACATCTACCTTGAGGCTTTGGCCTTGAGGTGATGTGTGAGTCTAATTGTATAGCTCAAAGCAGAGGACTTCAGTGATTTCAGGGCTATTGTTTTATATGTCAAGGATTTCTGTGAACATCAACAATAATGCAAATTTTTCCCTTTTGTGGCATGTACACGCTTGGCATGAAGCTTTCAAACTGCATCTGTCTTCATTTCCTTAAATTTTCTCAAAGTTAGTGAAAGTTAAATGAATTTAAGGGTATGGAATTAAAACACAAATTAAGGGTATGGAATTAAAATACAAATATTTGGTTTTTTTTTTGGTTAAGTGGTGTAACCACAGAATGTTTTTGTAACTTTTACAAATATATTCATTTGTAATGTTATTATCAAAAATATTCATTGGGGATTATGCAATAAAGCAAGTCTTCAACATCTACATAACATATGAGAGTGTTATTGGTACTTAATGAAAGCCTATCTTTAAAAGAAGTAGACATTCCTTGAGGGAAAAGTGTTACACAATTGAGAATTTTGATTAGTCTTATTGCTTTACTGTGATTCACCATAGACTGATCTCTTAGTAAAATGTTGCTTCACTTTGATTTCAGGAGTCTTCCTACGTCACTGAATAATGAATGAAGATGAGAGGGGAAAAGAGAAGAGGTATGCATTCATAACTGACTGACATTTCTGTCAAAGCCCTCTCCCTCGTCCTGTGTTCCCGTTTCACATCTAGCAAAATGCTACTTCCTCAGGGAAGCCTGATTCACTCAGAGAAATGTGGTTTCTCCAGTGTTTTTTTTTCATAACTCTCAGCTCCAGCTCTATTATAATACTTAGCACATCACCTGTTTACCTGACAGCCCTCTTCCTCAAACTGTGTCCTCCATGCCTTGCACAGTGCCTGCCCAGAGCTGACTCTAAGGGTTGTCAAATGACTGACAAGTATACAGTCCCTGATATTTTTAGAAGACAGTTTTTGAGCCTTGGCTTGCCTACAGCTTAAATTCATTTGTGTTTGAGAAGATAAATTAACTTACTTTTCCAGATCAAACTTCTAAAATAAATTCAAGTACACTGATCAAAAAGTTTTTGTCAAAAGTTTGCAGTATGATCTGTGGTATCCAATGGATACATTTGATACATTGTGGAATGGCTAAATCCAGCTAATTGATATATGCATTACCTCACATACTTAACTTTTTCTGATGAGACCACATAAAATCTACTCTCTTAGCAATTCTCAAGTGTACAATATACTGTTATTTACTGTAGTCACCATGATGTGCAATAGAACTCTTGAACTTACTCTAACTGAAATCTTATATCCTTTGTCCAACATCTCCCCACTCCTTCATCTCTTACTTTTGATGAAGGTTCATAGCTAGATTCTGCCTCTATCTTTGCTACCCACTTTATTCTGTTTGTAACAAACAACCATAGGGATCTTGTAAAAACCTAACATGTCACTCTCCTGCTTAAAAGCACTTCATGGGCTGGGCACGCTGGCTCACACCTGTCATCTTGGCACTTTGGGAGGCCGAGGTGGGTGGATCACCTGAGGTCAGGAGTTCAAGACCAGCCTGGCCAACGTGGTGAAACCCCGTCTCTACTAAAAATACAAAAAATTAACTGGGTGTGATGGCAGGTACCTGTAGTCCCGGCTACTCGGGAGGCTGAGGCAAGACAATGGCTTGAACCTGGAAGGCGGAGGTTGTAGTGAGCTGAGATTGCGCCACTGCACTCCAGCCTGGGAGACAGAGCAAGACTCCATCTCAAAATAATAATAATAATAAGAAGAAGAAGAAGAAGAATTAAAAGCACTTCATGTTTTACTCAGCATAAAATACCAACTTCTTACCATATACCCTACATGATCTGGCCCTTCCTGTCTCTCAGGCTTCACTTCCTACTGCTTTAACCCCTGGTCATCCCACTGCAGCCACTCTGGGATCTTGTCATCTCTTTAAATAGGCAAAATGATTTCCTGTTTCATGTTGCACTTACTGTTTCATCTCCCTGAGACGGTTTGGTCCCGTGTCTTCACATGGTTGCTTTCTTGTCAATCAAATCTTAGCTCAGATGTTACCTTCCTAATACCTTCCTAGTAAGGCTTTTCTTGATCACCCGATCTTACGAATTATTGTACTTGCAGATACCTGAAACTGTCTGTTCTGTTGTCTATGTGTTGATTATCTGTCTACGCTGCCCCGTCAGTCTGTAAGATACAAAAGAACAGTCACCTTATTTTTCTTGTTTATGCTATATCCTAAACCTGTAAAGCAGAATATGACCCATAGCAGGAGCTCTGTAAACATTCGTTAAATAAATGAATAAAAGAGGTTCACTTTAACAACAGGTACTGAATCCCTGCCATGACCTAAGTACTATGTTAGACGTTGGGGATATGATGAAGAACTGGATATGATGCACACCTTAGAGAATAAACAAAAACAAGTTCATGGGTAATAGTAAAGTAGAAAAGTCCTTTATGATTTATTTATAAAATACAGTGGTTATCCTTTCTTGGCAATATATGAACTCCCCTCTCTTTTTTATTTCTTTGAATGAAGTCTAGGAGATGAAAGTTATGAGATGGAACTGGAAGGCAATGGAGAAATTTCTTCAGAAATTGACTATGGAAGAGTGTCATGGGTTGTTTCTTGAGTTTGAAGAGCTATGCCTAGAATTGAGTTTCCAAGCTGGGACAGTGGTCAGGATCACTGATCCTGACTCATTTATGCAGTTGGCATGGTTTACTTTTCATGTTACTCCTATTTCACACCCAGTTACACACCCTATTTTCATTCCCTCATCAGTGAGGGCTCTAAAGCTCTCTTTATGCATGGCCTCCCTCTTACCCAACTCTACTCCTAGGAAAGAGTCAGAGACTCATGCCTGTCAAGAAAGCAATAGCCACTGTCAACATTATCCTTGTCATAGGATTTTACATTTTTAATAGAGATCAAAGTTGTATGCTATGGGTCTCATTTTTCTGTGAGGAGAAGGAACTAATGTTTATTGACATGAAGCATTAAAATCACTTGAGATTGGAGGGCTGTGTTAGTGAAGTCCCTTTGCTAGTGAAGTTAGTGGAGTAGGGTGGAGTTGGGGAGGTAGAGAGGAGCACATGTTGACAGCAAAGACTAAGCACAGGAGCAGAAACACACTTCTCATTGAGGAAACCAGAAAACCCTGAAGAATGTGATAGGACAGATGGGGGAGAGGACAGTACCAGGAGCTTTGAAGAGATAAAAGATAAGGCTTGAAGATATTCTAGTTAAGGAACCTTGTGCAAAGCTTAAATAGATGAAGCTAAAGAGTGGAATTTCATAATTTAGTTAGGACTAGGGAAGGGCTTTGGGAGTCTGGATCTGCTTAGAACCCCTTGACTTACCTGGCAGATTATGGATACTGGGTTTTGGTAGAATTCAAGAGGAAAAAAAGAACTAGAAGTTGAAAAATCATAAAATTGTTGGACAGGTCATAATGTGTGTGGTAGAAATTGAGTTGGATGATCTTCAAAGTCTTTTTCAATTCCAAACACTTCTGGGTTTATGATCATTTATATACAATTAGTTAGCCAACATCAGATCCTTCATTAGCACTCAGCATTTTCTCATAAGAGTCTTTTCTATAAATTAAGTATAACTTTGAAAAATCTAATACCCATAGCTAATCATTTTAATGTGACACTGTTCTGTACTTTCTTCCTTTTTCTAAAAAGACAAAGTCAATCCAAAAAGCTCTCAAAGGAAATTAAACTGGATTCCATCATTTCCTACCTATGATTACTTCAACCAAGTGACGCTACAGGTAAGAGGGCTTTTGTTCTTTGATTACTTCATATGTTGAATACATGTAATAGAAGACAAAGAATAGTGTTTGTCAAAGTGTGATTAGGAGATCATATGCATTAGAATCAACCAGGGAGCTTGATAACTTAAATCGTCTGAATCAGACTCTCAAACCTGTTAGGGCCGGGAGTTTGCATTTCTCTCAAGCTCCCTGGATGCTTCCTATGCCAACTGAGTTTTGAGAACCACTGATTTTGAGTGACAACAAACACAAACAAGTCTTCGCATAGGTTAGTGGCAAGTTAAGTGGTTATCTGGTAGACTAGTTCAACATAGATGGTTATACTCTAATGAATTAGCCTTCAAGTAGTTTCTCCCCCCTCAAGAATGTAAGGTGTTTATAGTTTCTGTCTCCAAGAGAACTGGTTAGTTTCACAAGCCACAAACTGCACTCTGAAGAACCATATTCCTTTGAGTGGGACAGACAGGGATACAGATTTTGCCTTTGTCCCTTACTTGCTGTATGTCTTGACTGAATTACCATCTCTGAGCCTTGATTTCTTTCTCTTTAAAATGGGTAAAAATTATCTTTATCTCATTGAGATGATGTGAGAATAAAATAAAGTGAACATGTGTAAAATATATAGTACAGCGTTTGGCAATATTAGACGCCTGGAAATTATCCGTCCAGTCCCTTTTCTCCTTCAGTACTGGCTGACCACCCAGCACTATGACCATTAGTGGTCATAAAGGTGTGTGAGAAAGGCATTGTGTGAGTGAATCTTTTCAAACCTATCCCAATGTTAGGGGCAAAATTCTGACTGTGAATGAATGGAGCCATATTGTAATATTCTACTTCATTTTTCTTCCTTTTAAGAAACAGACTCTCACTTTTTTTTGTGACACAGGGTCTCACTGTGTCATCCAGGTTGGAGTGCAGTTGTGTGATTGTGGCTCACTGCAGCCTCAAACTTCTGGGCCCAAGCAATTCCCCCAACTCAGCCCCCAAAGTAGCTGGGACCAGAGGTGCACACTACTATGTTCAGCTCATTATGTTTCATTACATCTCACTCTGTCACCCAGGCTGGTCTCCCAAGCTCCTGGGCTCAAGCGATCCACCTTGGCCTCCCAAAGTGCTGGGATTACATGCGTGAGCCACTGCACCTGACTCTCTCTCAATTTTATTAGAGGTTTTGTTTTAGGAATCCTATACACAAATATTTGCTAAATAGAGGACTTAAAATGTGTTATGTGAAATCCTGTTACCAATTTTATGAAACCAGATGCTTATTTGAAATATTTTAGAAGCTAGACAAGGTATAAATACACCCTAGAGGGATAATTATGTTCACAACTACAGAACATATGGCATTCAAGTGGAAGGATCAGAATTTCTTGGGTAATTCCCTCCTTTCCACTTTTTTCCCCTCCATTAGGCTTTAATAACTTCCCTAGAAAAGTCTGTTCTTTATTCTTTATTCATGAAGTTTTTTCTTGAAATAAACAAGCCCAGTCTGGCTAATCAGAGCTGACTTCAACCAGGGAGATGGAAACATCAGGGAATCTGAGAAGAGGGACAGTAGAGGGCTCTTTCTCTTCACTTTCCAGTTTCATTACAGCTTTGGCCATTCTTTTGAAGCATGAAAGAAAGCGGGGTTTGGAGGGCAAGAGAGCAAGGTGACTTTGTTTCTTATGGCTTGTATTTCAGAGCAGTGACTTAGCTTTGGATGTTTCCTTCCTGTTTGCCATACTGTTGGTCAAACGTAACAGCCTCCTGACATCTGCATAACAACCTACACTGTGCTCTCATGTAGAGTAGCCGATTTCATCCTCATAAGAAGCCTATGATTAACTTAATAATGATGTTGATCCCTTTTACTGCAGGAAAGAGGAGACCAAAGCTGGGAGAGCTTGCACCTTGCCCAAATCCAAGACCTGTTGAGTAGCACAGCCGAGTAGCACACCATGTTTTCTCACTTACACTCCAGCCCATGGGGGTCCAGACTAACTCAGAGCAAACCGTCTCAGTAGAGAATGTGGTAATCAAAATGCCAAAAGCAAGCAGACATACAGAAAATGAGTAGAGAAGCAAAGTGCCTTACCAGATCTGCCTAGACTCTTTTCTGAACCTATGTGTTTGGGAGGTCACTTCAGGCATGTGGCAATTTTGGATGTCATCTTTTGATGTCTAATGGGAAATAGCAAACACCCAGTTTTAAAAGTTTTTACTTAAAATTTTATCTTACAAAAATATACATAACATATAGTAACACTTAAAAAAATAGTACAGGTGACACCGAGCTTAAGAAATAGAGCATTACCAGATCCTTTGAAATCCCTTTGTCGTAATCTTCTTCTTCCACACCACTTCTTCCCTACTATTTCCTGAGTTCTGTATCAATATTTCTTTGCTTTGCTTTGTATTTTTAGGACATGTGTATGCATCTCTAAGTGATATGTTGTTTTCTTTTGCATGATTTTCACCTTTATATAAATGGAATTATATTGGATGTATTCTTCTCTGACTTGATATTTTTGCTCAACCTTTCTTTTTCAATTCATCCATGATATTGCATGTAACTCTAGTGCATTCATTTTTACTTCTGTATTCTTGTTAGAACATACTACACAATTACTTACCCATTTTGCTGTTGATGGGCACTAGAAATCTGTTTTAGCTCATGCTCCTTAGGAAGTAGAGGCTGAAGCAAAATTTATATGCTAAGGTTTTAGTGGGATATGCAATCTCAGGATAGCGAGGGTGAGGGGGAAAGTAAGGCAGGGAAGAAGGGAACTGAAATATAGGGTAGTTTATTACCAAGCTGGATAGAGCTTCACAAGAACACACAGCGGGTTGTTCAGTCACTCTTAAAACTATGTAAAAGGCACCACACCTTGAAATAGTCTGTATAGGGGAGGAAGGGAAAATACTGTATCTACCAGTTCCTTTCTTTCTCCTGTCATTAGTCAAAAGTCACACCCAGGATGTTAGCAATTCTGTCCTTTGGGTTACCTGGCTTTTCTGGAAACCCAATGGGGAACCCAGATCCCATGCTCCGAGGTGGATGAAGTTACTGCCTTCATGAATCCAGTCCCTTTGGATGGATACTGAAGCACCTAGTGCTGGCGGAGTTAGGAGACTAGGTTGGGACTGCAAAAGCAAAGCTAACATCCCTGGCTTGATTGAGGGTGGGATGGGGTATGAATCTTGAGGAGGCGCATAAACTGAGTCTGGTATAGCTGTAGGTTTTTGTTATTGTGAGCAGGTTTGGTTTGAACGTTTTTGTTCATATATCCTCTTCCATATAAGCAAGAGTGTTTCTAGGTGTATGTCTAGGAGTGAGATTGCTGGAGGGTAGGGTGGAGTGGTAGGGTCGCTCCCTCTACATGAAAATGACAATGCTTTTCAAGTGACTCTGTTTCACTGTGTATTTCACTGTTCTTTTATATTCTTAGTAGTAGTGGATGAAAGTTCTTATTGCTCCACATCCTTGCTAACAATTTATTGTCTAATTTTTAAATTTTTGTCAATTGGGTGGGAATGGAATGGCGTCTTGTTTCATTACAAATGACAATGAGCCTCTTTTCACCAATTTTGAGGCCACTTGTGTTTCCTCTTCTATGAGATGCTTGTTTCTAGCCTTTGCTCAGTTTCTTATGGTATTGTTCTTTCTAATTATTCATATGTTGGAGATTTTTAAAATAGATTCTGGAAACGAATCACTTGCTAGTTATGTGTTGCAAAATTCTTGTTCTAGTTTGTAGCTTGCCTTTTCACAATTTAAGGTGACTTTTGACAAATTATTAATTTTAAAGTAATCAAATTTACCAATCAAAGGGTGTTTACTTTCCTGTTTAAAAAATCCTTACCTACCACAAGGTAATAAATATATTCTCTTATATTTTATTTTAAAAGCTTTAACGTTTTATCTATTATATTTAATGTGTTCATACTTTTTGAGTTATTTCTTGTGTATGCCATGAAGGAGAAACATCACAAAGATAAGAGAATATTCTAAACTAGTGATTTCATTCTTTAATGATGATGTGATTGGTTATATTTTTTACTTCTTCCCAAGTCACTTTTTGCAATTTATATGTTTTTAAGACTTGCTTTCAAATTTATTGGCATAAAGTTGTTCATAATATTCTCTTATCTTCATAATGTCTAAAGCTTCTGTAATGATATCCACTTTTCACTCCTAATATTGTTTGTGTTTTTTGCCCCATGATTCATCTTACCAGAGGTTTGTCGATTTTAATGTTCTTTTCAAAGAATTGACTTTTAACATTCTTGATTCTGTCCATTGTGTCATTATTTTTTGTTTTATTAATTTCTGCTCTTATTTTTATTATTTACTTTTTTCTACTTTTTGGGGTTCATTTTTTGTTCTCTAACAATTTTAGATTATTTAATTCATTGATTTGTAACCAATTTTCTTTTCTAATATATACATTTAGGCGAAGATTCCCAAGTGTTGTTTTAGCTGCTTTTCACAGGTCTCAATAAATAGTGTTTAAAAAATTATTCTATTATAAATACTTTGTAATCTCCATTATTACTTATTATTTGGCCTATTTTTTTATTACGGTAAAATGTATATAACACGAATTTACCGTTTAATCACTTTTAAATGTAGAATTCAGTGGCATTAAGTACATTCACATTATTGTGCAACCATCACCACCATCCATTTCCAGCTTTGAAAATCTTGCGTAACTGAAACTCTGTACTCAAACAATAACTCCCCATTCTCACTTTCTCCCAGTTCCTGGTAACCACCTTTCTACTTTCTGCATCTATCAATTTGGCTATCCTAGGAACTTCATATAAATGGAATCATACAGTAATGTCCTTTTGTGACATGTTTCGCTTAGTATAATATCTTCATGTTTCATCCATGTTGTAGTATGTGGCAAAATTCTCTTTCCTTTTAAGGCTGAATAATATTTTGTTGTTTGTTACGCATTTTGGTTATACATTCATCTGTTGGACACTTAGATTGTTTACACCTTTTGGCCATTATGAATAATGCTTCTGTGAGCATAGGTGTACACATACCTGTTTGAGTCCCTGCTTTCAGGGTGTTTTTTTTTTTTTTCACTATACACTCAGAAGTGGAAATGCTGAATCACATGATAGTTCTATGTTTAGTTATTTGAGAGACTGCCGTAGAGTTTTCTATAGCAGCTTTGTCATTTTATACTACCATCAATAGTGCATAGGGGTTTCAATTTCTTCATATCTTGTCCCAAAACTATTTGTTTTGTTTTAATCATAGCCCATCCTAATGGGTTTGAGGAGTTCATGACTTTATACAAATAGAGAATCCTGCTTCAATTATTTGGGCTTCCTGAATCTTAAGATTGGTGTATTTTATTACTTCTGGATAATTTTCCACCTATATCTCACTGAGTATTTCCTCTTCTCTGTTATATTATCTCCTTCAGGAACACTGATCAGACATATGTTGGACTTTCTGATTCTCTTCTCCATGAAATGAATTTATCTTATTTTTCCATTTGTATCTCCTTGTGTTACATTCTGAGTCATTTCCTCAGCTCTTTCCAGCTCAAAAATTTTATTTCTGGCTGTGTTCTAACATGCTACTTAACCTATACATTAAGTTTCTAATTTTGATGACAATATCATCTATAGACATTTTGTTTGATTATGTTTTATATCTCACGAGTCAGTTTTGAGTCTCTTGTTTCTTCATATTTCTAGTGCCCTGTGTTATTTATTTAAGCCTATTAAGCATACTTATTTTGTATTCTGTATCTGATAATTCCAATAAGTTATTTTTAAATATGATTCTTTATTTTATTATGTCTGTTGCCTCTTATTCGTAATGCTTCATCTCTTCCTGTGTTTTATTTTTATTATAAGCTCATATTATTTGTAATTTTATCTACATGAATTCTTTGAACCCTCACTTTAAAATAATTCTCTAGATGTGATTTTGATTTCCTTTTATTAGACATATGGGGTCAGGATCACTTTAAACTAAATATTAGACTTTGGTTGTTGAGGGCCACACAGGTAGTATATGAATTCTAGCTCCAAGTTTGTGTGAAGGTGGGCTTCTGCTTAGTACCTCCTAAAGTTGACTATTTTCTCTTTTCCTACTCTTCCCAGGATGGAGGCTGAGGCAGACATGCACATTCCCTGTCTCCTTTCACTGGATAAGATTTTTCTGTTTTACCTGTTGAAAGTGTCTCCCTTTTGGAGACCTGGCTTTGTACTGTGGTCTTTGATTTCACCTCCTACCTTGTACAGGCCTCGGCTTTGCTTTTGTCCCCCAAGCTCTAGGCTATCAGTGTTGGAAGATAGTCTCAAGGCAAATACAGGGTCTAATATTCTCCAGTGTCTTAATTCTCACAATCTAGTCATTTCTGATATCAGGTTATTTCCCTTACTTTACCAGTAGCTTGGTCCTGTTTTGAAAAATAAGTTTTAATCTATTTTATTCATCATTTTAGATATTCTCTACCAGGAGGCATTTGTCTGGCTATTGAATCCATCATACAGCAGGAAAGTGATGGCAATATCCATATTTATAAGGAGATGACTAACCTAACCACAAATGAAAGTGTCCTTAAAATATTTTTAACATTTTTGAAATTAAGTGTTCTTAAAGTGAAACAACCTACACATGGAAATGAATCTTCTTAGCTTGCATTGGAGAATTTCATGTTAATTGGGTGTACATTGAAATTTGTTTAAGTGACACATCATTTGATAAACATTTCATGCTTAAGGTTAAGTAGATTCTGTGTAGGAGGCAGAATAATGGAATTTTAATTAAGTCTGTGCCTACTTTATTGATATTTAAGGACTGGGGTGCATTTCAGTGTGCTATTATAATTATCTATGCATTTAGCAATAAAACTATCATTTTATTATTGTTCCACTATTTAATTACATTATTATTCTCTCGTCATTAGTTATTAGATGGCTTTATGATTACACTGAGCACAGATGGAGTGATCATTTGTGTGGCTGAAAACATCTCTTCTCTTCTTGGACATTTACCAGTAAGTTCTTTCTACTTTTGGGAAAGTGGATCATTCTGGTTTGTTGTTTAGGGGTTCATTATTTATTTTCTTTTTTTATTATACTTTAAGTTTTAGAGTACATGTGCACAACGTGCAGGTTTGTTTCATATGGATACATGTGCCATGTTGGTGTGCTGCACCCATTAACTCTTCATTTAATATTAGGTGTATCTCCTAATGCTATCCCTCCCCCCTCCCCCCACCCTACAACAGGCCCCAGTGTGTGATGTTCCCCTTCCTGTGTCCATGTGTTCTCATTGTTCAATTCCCACCTATGAGTGAGAACATGCGGTGTTTGGTTTTTTGTCCTTGCCATAGTTTGCTGAGAATGATGGTTTCCAGCTTCATCCATGTCCCTACAAAGGACATGAACTCATCCTTTTTTATGGCTGCATAGTATTCCCTGTTGTATATGTGCCACATTTTCTTAATCCAGCCTATCATGTTGGACATTTGGCTGGTTCCAAGTCTTTGCTATTGTGAATAGTGCCACAGTAAACATACGAGTGCGTGTGTCTTTATAGCAGCATGATTTATAATCCTTTGGGTATATACCCAGTAATGGGATGGCTGGGTCAAATGGTATTTCTAGTTCTAGATCCCTGAGGAATCGCCACACTGACTTCCACAATGGTTGAACTAGTTTACAGTCCCACCGACAGTGTAAAAGTGTTCCTATTTCTCCACATCCTCTCCAGCACCTGTCGTTTCCTGACTTTTTAATGATCGCCATTCTAACTGGTGAGAGATGGTATCTCGTTGTGGTTTTGATTTGCATTTCTCTGATGGCCAGTGATGCTGAGCATTTTTTCATGTGTCTTTTGGCTGCATAAATGTCTTCTTTTGAGAAGTGTCTGTTCATATCCTTCGCCCACTTGTTGATGGGGCTGTTTGTTTTTTTCTTGTAAATTTGTTTGAGTTCATTGTAGATTCTGGATATTAGCCCTTTGTCAGATGAGTAGATTGCAAAAATTTTCTCCCGTTCTGTAGGTTGCCTGTTCACTCTGATGGTAGTTTCTTTTGCTGTGCAGAAGCTCTTTAGTTTAATTAGATTCCATTTGTCAATTTTGGCTTCTGTTGCCATTGCCTTTGGTGTTTTAGACATGAAGTCCTAGCCCATGCCTATGTCCTGAATGGTATTGTCTAGGTTTTCTTCTAGGGTTTTTATGGTTTTAGGTCTAACATTTAAGTCTTTAAACCATCTTGAATTAATTTTTGTATAAGGTGTAAGGAAGCGATCCAGTTTCAGCTTTCAACATATGGCTAGCCCGTTTTCCCAGCACCATTTGTTAAATAGAGAATCCTTTCTCCACTTCTTGTTTTTGTCAGGTTTGTCAAAGATCGGACAGTTGTAGATACGTGGCATTATTTCTGAGGGCTCTGTTCTGTTCCATTGGTCTATATCTCTGTTTTGGTACCAGTACCATGCTGTTTTGGTTACTGTAGCCTTGTAGTATAATTTGAAGTCAGGTAGTATGATGCCTCCAGCTTTGTTCTTTTGGCTTAGGATTGACTTGGCAATGTGGGCTCTTTTTTGGTTCCATATGAACTTTAAAGTAGTTTTTTCCAATTCTGTGAAGAAAGTCCTTGGTAGCTTGATGGGGATGGCATTGAATCTATAAATTACCTTGGGCAGTATGGCCATTTTCACGATATTGATTCTTCCTACCCATGAGCATGGAATGTTCTTCCATTTGTTTGTATCCTCTTTTATTTCCTTGAGCAGTGGTTTGTAGTTCTCCTTGAAGAGGTCCTTCACATCCCTTGTAAGTTGGATTCCTAGGTATTTTATTCACTTTGAAGCAATTGCGAATGGGAGTTCACTCATGATTTGGCTCTCTTGTTTGTCTGATATTGGTGTATGAGAATGCTGGTGATTTTTGCACATTGATTTTGTATCCTGAGACTTTGCTGAAATTGCTTATCAGCTTAAGGAGGTTTTGGGGTATTTTCAGAAGCATAAAGCTCATCAGAGAAGATGTTTTCAATGTTGTCAAAATGTGTCCCTGTTTTATTGTCATTTCCATTGGTTTCAGAGTACTATAGATTGGGTGTCTTTGTAAACAACACAAATTTATATTTTATAGTTTTAGAGTCTGAGAAGTCGAAGATTAAGGTGCCAAGAGATTTGGTGTCTAGTGAGGGCCCAATCTCTGCTTCATAGACATCCTTATTCTTACTATAACTTCATATAGTAGAAGAAGCGAGGGAGCTCTTTTTTTTTTTTAAGATTGGGTCTCACTCTTGTCACCCAGGCTGGAGTGCAATGGTGCGATCTCGGCTCACTGCAACCTCTGCCTCCTGGGTTCAAGTGATTCTCCTGCCTCAGCCTCCTGAGTAGCAGGGATTATAGGCACGCATCACCACGCCTGGCTAATTTTTGTATTTTTAATAGAGACGGGGTTTCACCATGTTGGCCAAGCTGGTCTCGAACTCCTGACCTCAAGCGATCCGCCCATCTCGGCCTCCCAAAGTGCTGGGATTAAAAGCGTGAGCCACCATGCCCAGCCTAGGGGTTTCTTTTATAAGGATACTAATCCCATTAATCATCTCCAAAGGCCCCACCTCTTAATATAATACCATCACATTGACAGCTAGATTACTTCAATATATAAATTTTTGGGGGACATAAACATTCAATCTGTAGCAAGGCCTTCATATTCCACTTATACGTGTGTTTGAAGAGGGGTTACCTAGAATACATTTACCAACAACCCTCCCACACAAACTGTCTGCCATTGGCATGGTTGTGTTAGCAAAAAGTTTTGGGAGAGGATATGAAGAAATTGAAACCCCTATTCACTAATGGTAGTAGTGTAAAACAATCATATCTCCGTTGTTGTTTTCATTACATATTCCTCATTCCACAGAGTTGTCTCAAGAACTTGACAAACCCTAATCCAGAAATCTATAGTACTCAAATTTGGAACATGGAAATTAATAGAAGCTAGGTTAGATTATCTTGTAGTTAGGTTGGAAGTGGATTAAAAATATGTCACTATTTTAGCCAGGCCAGTTGGCATGTTCCGTGGCCTTCTTGGAAGCTCAGAGTCCTTATACCCTTTTAAAAAAAATTACAGATGCTAGAATCGATCTCTTTTATTTCTCATTCTCTTTCATTTTTTAAAAAAACAGTTTACATTTCCAAATTCAGCTTATATTTGTAGGATACCAAAACAGCTAAATGAAATAGTAGAGATATTTATTGGATTGCACTTTAGTATATTTAAATCATAGAAGGAAAAGAGTCTTTTAAAATATATATTAAAAGAGGGAATGTACGAGTATGATCCACTACAGCTTAAATTTTATTATAATGAAGACCAGAAAACCACCCAAATTCTTGTGGCATCAGATATTGCTTAAACCAAATTGGTCATTGGCTGAGACTGGTGACTTTTTCTTATTATGTGAAGATTTATCATAGTGATGGTGTTAGTTATGATATGATCTTGCTTCTTTATGTATTTGGTTCAAAGTTTTCCCTATCAAGAAGCTCTTTCACCCTTCAACATTTGAGGTACCACACACACACACGCCCCCCAAAACCACAAGGTCTAGAGAGGTGTCTGGGACATGTGCTTTGAACTGCCAGCCTTAAACAATAGACTTGATTTACCTGAGATCAGTGTACTTAAAAATAAATGTATAACTATTACATTTGTACATAAACATTAAATGGGAATTAAGTTATATATTCCTATAAAACAAGGTTAAAAACGACTACACCTGAGGCATAGTTTCACACTTCCTCATTGAATCCCAACTGTTCTTAATTTTTCAAAACAGGCAATCTTTTTCTCAGGCTTTGATTAAAAATTTCATTTTATAAGTCATCCAACTTATATTATAAAATGGAGACTGAACCATTTCTAGAGTGTCTGCGTGGCTCCAGGAATCTTCAGTTTCATTACATATCAGGGCACCTCTGTCTATGGAGCAACTCCAAACTAATAGCATGGTGTGATGGAAAGAACTTGGTCTTCGGAATCAAATAATCTAGAGATTAAAATTTAGCTTTGTTTCTCTCTAACTGCCTGACCTTTAGTTTCTCTTCTATAAGTGGGGAAATAATATTACTTAGAGAGTGCTGGGAGATGAATTAGTATAAATAACGTGATTGGCTAAGGCCCATCTGATCAGTGACATTTATACAGAGACCTGAATGGAGTATGTGTGATATGCAGGTAACTGGAGCAAGTGTCTTTCAGACAGAGGAGGAAGCTTATGTAAGAGCCTGAAAGCAGGAAAAGGTACAGCAAAGAGGACAGTGTAACTGGAGTGCTGTGAGCAAAAGGAAAATAGAGATGATAAAGTCAGAGCAGTAACAGGAGAAGTAACATCCCTTTTCCTCTGAGATGGGAGGAAGCCATTGGGGAGGTTGGAGCAGATGAAAGAAATGATCTAACTTAAGTTTTATCAGAATCGCTTTGGCTGTTATGTCAAGAATTGGCTATGAGGGGCAGGCATGGAAGTACAGAGTCCACTTGGAGGGCCATAGATGGTAGTGGGTTGGATTAATGTGGCAGTGGAAGCATTTTGTAGGTAAAATAAGTTGTTTTGCTGATGTATTGGAAGAGGGGTGTGACACAGAGATAAGATGTGTCCAAGTTATGCTGTTACAACACATACCATGAATAAAATGATGCCCATTATCATCATGATCATGGTATTAAACTTTTATCTGAAACCTGCCATCATATTTTCCCAATCATTGATTTCATTGACAGTTTTTTTTTTCCTTTGGAAAAACTCATAGTCATTTGTAGTAGTAAGTTCCAGTCACTGCCCCCTGTTCTTAGCAGCCTGCCCTCCTACTCACCCTACTCTGTCATTCCCCCTGAAAATAAAATCAAATCTGGGAGTTTACATATATTTATTCTCTTTTGCAGTTCTAAAGCAAATGAAACTTTTAAAACGTACACTACATCTGAAAAAATTCTCAGCATTGAATCTTTAAGAGATTAAAACTTAGCAGGTTTTGAACATAGGTACATGGTTAGTTTGTGATAACTGTGATGAGATTTGCCCTATTTTCCCTGAGAAGCTTACCGCATAGTAGAGATTTAGTAGTGATGAGTCTCATTTGATTTGAGATGCTGCCTAAATCTCCTGCAGAGGATCTTATCCTTCCCTGTGCCCTATACAGTTGAATAGTTTTCTAATGCATGTATAATATGAGTGTCTTTGGCAGGAAAAAAGATGCTTCTTGCCTAGGTTCTCAGTAAATGTCATGAAGTCCTCAGTAAATTTCTTAATTCTTTCTTTTTTTGACGTGACTGAGACTCACCACACTAATATTTGTGTGACAACTAATAGATATTTGCAAACTTGGCTTTTGAAAAACCACCTTAGTTTTTCGCTGGTATTTATCCTTGCTTCATTAAGCTCTAAGTACCTTGATCTTTCTACCTTGTGTAATAAGAAGAGCAAATGCTAAAAATTTACAAAAATAACATGAGGTCGATCATGCTTTCAGGTCTCCTCCCTTTTTCTAACTAAGGAACAAGGCCACTGGAACAGATCCAGTGTTTCAATTAGCGGTTAATTATAAGGCTTATTGTCACTATTCCTATCCCTAGAGAGGCAATAAGAAACTCATTACCACTAGTCACATCCAAGAGAATGTAGACTATCAAAAGATAGCTCACTTTGAACTCTTTTAAGTGACAATGCTATCTTCATTTTTCAACTAATGAAAGAACTTACGAGACATAGCACTTTGTACCTCTTGTTAGGGTATTATTTTATACTCTACATCATAATTGATTGTGCATATTTAATCTGCCCTACTAGACTATGTGCTCATTGGAATTCGTTGTCAGGTTCATCTTTTGTAACCCTTATAAGAAATAAGTATAAAATCTTATTCAGTGAATTACTTCATGTAGAATGTCCAAAATACAGGAACTGGTCCAGTAGCAAATTTTCTGTTCCTGATGCAAACTGGACTTGAGGCAGCTATGGTGTAGTAAAAGGAACAATAGACATGGAATTGGATGGAGCTTTCATGTCAGTTTCATTTCTGCATTTCTGAACTCTCAACAATTGGAGAAGCCTTAATTTGCTGATGAATAAAACAAGGGATAATTCTTACTCTCCCAGGGGATTAAGTGAGCTTGTATATGTGAACATACCTAGAACAGTGACTGGCATGGAGCAATTGTTTATCGTGTGTTAGATGAGTGAATGAATGAGTGGTCTCCACAGAGGTAACCCAGTTTGGCATCTAAAGTCTATTTTATAACTAAACCAACAAAAGTGTTTTTATTGAAAAGTTAAATTTAGTGAAAAAAATCTACATTTCTTTTGGGAAGTCAGTATTTTACTGTGTGACTTTCACTGTCAAGATGTATTGCCTGTTAATTCCATAATGTTTTGTTTGCTAGATTAAGGTAATATTTCTATCCTTAATCAAGCCAAGCTTGATTGAGACAGCATCTGTCTGCTAATTTGATCATTGACCAGTTCATAGGCTGGCTTCTACAAATGGGCCATAAAGATATATTTCTAAATAGTGACTGTAGATTATTAATGCTAATCAGTTAAAAAATCATTGGAATTTGTGGTTCATCACACAAAGCCATTATTCAGCTACAAGGAATACTTTATTACTTTGTTGCTATCACATTAAAGCCTCATTACTTCTATATCTGATATTCAATTTATCCATGTCTCACCGTATTTCAGCTACATGATACGGTATTATTCATTCATTCAACCAATATTTACTGAGTGCTTACCAGTGCCAAGCTCTGTTCTAGGTGTTGAAGATATAGCAATGAATAAGACAGGCAAGGTCTCTGTTATACTGCAATTTACATTTTAATGGGGAAGGTAGATAATAAACAGATAACAAAAAAGGCAATAAGAGAATGTCAAGGAGTTGGTGCTATGTAAAATACTTTTGAGTAAAGACCTGTATTAAGTGAGAGAGAAAGCCATTGCAAATATTTGGGAACGAGTGCTTCACATTTCAGGAGGAGTTAGTTTAAGGGCTCTGAGATGAGTATTTGCTCTCATTGTGTTTGGATGTGAATGAGGAGTTGGGTGTACCTGGAGTGCAGTGAGAGAGAGAGAGAGAGAAAGCAGATAAGGTCAATAGCAGCAAGGAACCAGAATATAGAGTGGTGAAAGCCCTTATAAAGACTTTGGCTTTTATTCAGAATGACTTGGATAATCAGTAGAAAATTTGGAATGAGCATAGGAATAGCATGATGTGGCTCATGTTTGGAAAGAATCATGCTGGCTGTTCTATAGAGAATGGAGTGGTGGCAGGGGCATGGCAAGAATAGATGCAGGGAGAGCAGTTACGGCTACTGCAGTAATCCAAACTGGAAATGAGACTTGGACCAAGTGGCGAAAAGTGAACTGAGCCTGTATGTGTTTTGAAAATTGATCCATTAGAGATTGCTGATGGACTGGATATTGAGTTTGAGAGATAAAAGGCAAGTCAAGGACAAGTAAATGGGTAAATGGTGGTTGCCATTACTGATATTGGGAAGACCGAGGGAGGAACATATTTTGTCAAAGAAAAGATCAGTTCTTTTTGGATATCTTAAAGTTGAAATCCGATTAGACATCCAAGTTGAGTTATCATGGGGGCAAGAGACGACTATCTGTGAGTCATTAACAGATAGGTGGTATTTAATGAGATGGAAGTGGAAGAGACCACGTAGGGAAACAGGCCTAATGACTATAAGCCCTGGCACTCCGATGCCTAGTATTCAGGAAGCAAGACTAAGATCTAGCAAATTGTGAAGGAGTAGCCTTTGAGGTAGAAGTATATCCTCATGTGTGTGGTGTCCTGGAAGTCAAGTAAATGTATCAAGGGAAAAGGAAGGATCAATTGCATCAAATGCTGAGACGCTTGGTAAGATGAGGGCTGAGAAGTGATGATTTGATTTGGCAATATGGAGGGCACTAGTGACCTTGACAAAAGCAGTTTCAGTGGAGTGGAGTGGTTAGATATAAACTTCATTAGTGTGGTTTCAAGAAAGAGCGAGAAGTGAAGAAAGGGGAGGTAACAAGTGTCGTTTCATTTCAGGAATTTTTGTTCCAAAGTGGACCAGATAAGCAGAGTTATAATTGAAGTGAGAGGCGGTAATGTAAAGGAAGGTTATGCATGTTTCGAATTTTGTGTTGTTTTTGTTTTCCTGATTATTTTTAAAATTTCTTATTCATGTATAAATTTGTACATAACTCCAGATAAGTAGAATTATAATTGAAGGGAGAGGCGGTAATGTAAAGGAAGGTTATGCGTTTTTAGAATTTTGTGTTGTTGTTTTTGTTTTCCTGATTATTTTTAAAGTTTCTTATTGATATGTAATATTTGTACATATGTATGGCGTACATGTGATATTTCAATACATGCATAGAGTGTGTAATGACCAAATAGATGACAGATATCATAGCATGTATAGTACAGCATTTTGTATGCTTATGGGAACACCCAGTTGAGAGGGAAAGAAAACTTGATGTGTGGGGTAGGGTGAGACTTTCTAGAACAATGTCTTTTCATAGTCTACAGAAAAATGGGATGCAGTGCACAGGTGAAGGAGTGAAATTCAGGTAGGAGCTTATTCATTGGAAGAGGAGGGAAAGCAGGTCTCTAGGCACAGGAACAGATAGGTTGGTAGATTTGGTGTCAGATGTTGACATTTCCCATTTTTTTTTCACTGAAACAAGAAATTAGGTCAGCTGAAAATGAAGGAAGGCTCGGGGGTCGGAGGTTTGAAGGAGGAAAAAGAGTAGGGGAGCAAATTGTCTAAATAAATGATTTTTGGGCAGACTTGAATACTTATTTCAAATAATATACTGCTTAGTTGTGGGTTTTTCTTCATTTACATTCAATTGCTTGGGTGAAGGTGTAGATAAATGAAAGGTTGGAAGTAACTAGAGTCAAAATTTTCCCAGGCAAATATGGTAGAGGGAAAGAGCACATAGGAGGTGGTGCTCATAAAGTAGGATAATGGGAATTGTATTTTTTAGAGGTACAACAGGTATAACTGTACATGGCTGAGGTGGGGCAGAGCATAAGCTCACTGGAGGTAAGGAGATAGAGGAACTGAACAGTATTAACACAGATAAAAAAGTTTACTCTCTCCCTCTTCCCCTCCTTTTTCCCTCCACCTCCTCCTCTCCTCTCCTGCCAGGCTGAGATTGTGGGCAAAAAATTATTAAGCCTTCTGCCTGATGAAGAGAAAGATGAAGTCTACCAAAAGATTATTCTCAAATTTCCTTTACTAAACTCAGGTATGTATATTTTTAAAAGTAGTAAATTCTTAGGTTTTAAGGGACAAGTAACAATCGCTCAATGGATTAATTTCTAAAAAGATATTAGAGCACATACGGCTGTTGATCATATATTAATTTACTTTTATATAATATTACAAACTCTATTTCTAGTGTTAAAAAAATCTCTCCTCCATTAAATCTTATTCCTCACCACAGACCCTGAGTATTGTAGCATTTGTACAATTGCATTAGTGCTATATAAATGATGGACCATTGTATATAGCGTTCTAGCTGGTGCCCTACTCTACTGATACAACATAGCTAGCTATGTAAGTGCTAATGTTCGTGGAAAGAAAATAATATTTTTGTAAAATCTAATCGAAGAAAGACATTGGTCATATGAAATAATCCAGTAGAATATGGTAAAGTACAAATGTAGACTTGTTTTGTATTTCTTCTCTTTTTACTAGAAACACATATTGAATTTTGCTGTCATTTAAAAAGAGGAAATGTCGAACATGGTGATAGTTCTGCTTACGAAAACGTGAAATTTATTGTGAATGTAAGAGATATTTGTAATGGTAAGCAGTTCTGTTTATCTTATCTATATGACATTTATGAGTCATGTAGCCTCACATTACTAACATAAATGCTCTTCTGCTTGGTACTTGCAAACTGTCTGATATCCCTATGGCCACAGTTTCTGACTACTCACATTACTTAGACTTTTAAAAATTAACAGTGAAATTTACAAGGTGGGGGACACTGAGTTGTTAAGGATGGCTCTTTCTTTTTATAAAACAAGGAAATGATTGCAAAAATATAACAAAAGAAGTTTAATGCATATCCAAGCTTAAAATAAAGGGGACTCTGTGGGTCTATGTGTACCAGAAATTAAAGTTTAAAGCAGTATGACAGTGGTAAGAAGCAGCTGATTTTGTGGTGGCCTCGGTGGATTTTAAGTCATGCATAGGCTCCATTGGCTGGGGTCGGGAATTCTAACACCCAGTCAAGCACCAGTATATAAAACCTAGAGATCAATGAAGTGATCAATAAAGTTCTGTCCATTGACCCAGAGGAATAGTGAGTAGGTTTATCATCTCTCTGGGAATTTGAATGGACAAAATGTGCCATTTACAAGAAACCAAAACCCAAATTTTTGTCGCGTGTGGATATAGGGTCCATTTTACAAATTTTGAGGTTTCAGAAACTGCAAGCTGAGAAATTAACATAAATTAATTAATATTAACTGGTTTGGAGCCATTAAAATATCTGGGACTTGAATCAGAGGTAAATAGCCCAAATAGCTAACAAATATATGAAAAGATACTCCAACTCACTAATAAGCAAAGAATGAAACATTTAAAAACCAGTGACATTAGCACTCTACACCCATCAGAATGGGAAAAATTAGAAGTTTGAATAATACCAAATATTGATGAACATGTGAGAAATGAATAAATAAATAAATGAAATTAACTCACGCAAAAGGTGGCTGATATATTTGTCATGATTCTTGGAAATTAAAAGTCATACCTTTTGAAAAAATCTTACTTGACTCTGTGTGCACAGATTACACACACACACACACACACACACACACACACTCCCACACACTCTACCCATATGGTCTATATAAAAGAGAGGAGCCACATCTCTTTTGGAGACTAAAATATCCATCCACAGGGTAATAACGGAAGACTGAAAACCAACCTTAACTCTCAATATTTGATTCTCAGTAATAAATTCTTTATGTTTTGATGGGGAGGGTGGCTGAAAAGGAAAGAAGACAGGAAAAATCCCATGGCTCAGAATTTTGAAAATTGTCAATGGGTTAGCAAACAGCACATGGATGTGTCAGGTATTTGTCTTCTTGTTTAACTGGTCCACCTTTCTGTTTTCACATGTGTGTCTATCTTCCTTAGAGTTTCCTGTGGTCTTTAGTGGCTTGTTTTCCAGCCACCTCTGTGCTGACTTTGCTGCATGTGTTCCTCAGGAGGATCGGCTTTATCTTGTGGGAAATGTTTGCATTCTCAGGACTCAGCTCCTGCAGGTGGGTATACTGTGTTTGTGCTTCCCCCGCTGTGGCGATGTGGGCTTCCTTTGAAGGGTCACTTCCCCTTTGGTCTGTCAGCCACTGGACAACATTGCTAAATTACTCAGTGTGTGCAGAGGGTTGTGCTGGGATATGTAAATAAGGAAAATCAGCTCCTATGTTTCAGAAGGTGAACATCTCAGTGAAAATTTAGACACACTCGAAAGAGATGCACAATCATTTACAAGTAGTCTTGACATAATATAAAATATTATAAAATGTAGGTGCTGGGGACTGGAACACATGAAGAGAAATGAGCATTTTGGCAGGTAGATGAAGGAAGGCTTCTTATACTACGTGAGTTTTGAGGCAGCTCCACCACAACCCCATTGGGTAGCTGATTGTAAAGGCTTCTGCTCTCTTTGTGTTCTCTAATATAGCATTCACAAATTCTAGCTCTAAAAAGAATTCACTTTGGAATTCATCTGATAGATTCAGCTTCCATTAATTTTTCCATTCAGTAACATATATAGTAAGTACCTACTGTGTTACAGGTACTGTGCTAGGTGCCAGAGAGACATTAGGGGAGATAGACAATAGCTAAATAATATTGGAAGGTGCCCTGAAGGATGACAGAATAATGTGCTAATGACTAGTGCGGGTGGGGAGTTCAGACAGAGTGGTCAGGGAAGGTCCTTTTCGGATAATTTGTCTTTTGAGCAGAGACCCCTAGGGATGCTAACTAAGAAAGGAAGGCAACGCAGGTAGATGGTTCAACATCTGTAAAAGACCTAAGGTAGTAACTAGCTTGGAGAGTTCCAAGTAACAAAGTAAGTTATGTGACCAGAATAAGGTGAAAGGGGGAAGGAGCAGCAGAAAATAAGATCCAATAGATAGGCAGGGGACAGATTATGTAGAACTTTGAGATCCATGGTAATCAGTTTGGGTTTTATTTCAAGTGCATTGGAAAGCAGGAAGGTGACATGATCTGATTTTCTTTTTTAAAGGTCAGGCTGAATACTGGCTGAGAAATGGAGTACAGAGAAACAAGAACAGAAGCAAGAATACCTAAGTGAAAGATGATAGGGGCTTGGACTATGATTGTAGTAATGGAGATACAAGTATTCTGACTTGGGATGTATTTTGGAGGTAGTGCCCTTGCTGATGAGTTAGAAGTGTCTAGGAGAAGGGAGAGAAACATCTCGTGGAGGATTTTTAGCTTTTTGGCTTGTGGAACTCAGCAAATGGAGGTGCCATTAACTGATTTTAGCAAGACTGGGACAATGTGGATCAGGCAGTGTGGGAGGCTAGAATCAAGAGCACTGTTCGGGCCATGTTAATATTGTGTTGATGTTACAACATAAAACATCTCCAACTCATTACCTTATAAGGGAAGGCTCTGATCCAGATTTCCTGTGTTCAGATCCTTTCCCTACCAGCTCTGTGACCTTGGCCAAGTCACATCCTTTAGCCTCAGTTTCTTTTTCTATAAATGGCAGTCATAGTACCTTCTATTAGGGTTGTAAGGAGTAAATAAGACAGTTTCTCCTATATGGTAAGCACTCAGTAAATGTGAGCTATTACAGTTGTTGTGATCATTGTTATTACTGTCATTATTACTGCCAGTGATCCAGAGAGGGCAACATGCTTGCTTTACTTTTCATCTCTGGTTTAAAACGTGGGCTTTTCAGACCACATTTTAGAAACTGTGGAGGGGGCCTTTACATTCAATTTTAGAACAAGTAATATATGTCATCATTTCTTCAAATTAAAGATGGTAAGAAAAGTAGTATAGAAGAAAGGCAGTTTAAGGAAGTTGCCTAATTCAGTTGCCCCATTCATTATTCCGTCTTTGTAGCCCTCTGGGATTTGAACTGTCACATCTGCCATGAGAATACAGACATCCCATTTTGGAAGTCAACCCCAGTAACTACTTCCTTTTCTGAGAAACAGAAAAACATCTGATTTGGCCCAATACCTTGGTAGCCCTTACAGCACAAGGAACTCTATTTGTGTTCTAGTCCAGTTTCTCTCTGGGTTTATAGGATGTTTGTTCCATATTAGTGGACATTTTGGAGAAAAAAATCTTGTGCAAACAGGCGGGCTTTTGGAGGAAGATTTTTTTCACAGCGTGACTGTGTAGTACAGTGGGAAGAGGGATGAACTCACAGTTCAAACTTTGAAATTCTGCTCCTGGATCTACTAGCTCTATTTCTTGGGTCAAATCATTATATCTCTAATCCTCAGTTTTCAAATCTGTAAAACTCCAGTGCATTTCTCACATTGATATGCAGATTATTTGTAACATTGGATATGAGCATGCCTCCAAAATTAATATATGCTGTGCATTTTTACTATTTATATACATATTAAATGTCTAAATATTTGAATTTTTCTGCAGCAACTTTACACTTCAAAGGCAGTCAGTGATGAAGCTGTACTTACACAAGATTCAGATGAGGAACCTTTTGTGGGAGAGCTCAGGTGAGAGGTAGTATTGATAAAGCTAATGAAGATCTAGAATTCAATTTTACTAAACGAAACTAAAACAAGAGAAATAACACCTACAGATATTTTTTTTCCCATCAAAATGAAAATGAAAAAAGAAACAAACGGGCCAGGGATGGTGGCTCATGCCTGTAGTCCCAGAACTTTGGGAGGCTGAGGCAGGAGGATCCCCTGAGCCCAAGAGTTTGAGACCAGCTTGAGCAACATAGTGAGATCCTATTTCTACAAAAAATACAAAAAAAATTAGCCAAGCATGGTGGCATGTGCTTGTAGTCCTAGCTATTTGGGATACTGATGTGGGAGGATCAGTTGAGCCCGGGATATCAAGTCTGCAGTGAGCAGTGATCATGCCACTGCACTCCAGCCTGGGCAACAGAGTGAGACCCTGTCTCTAAATAAATAAATAAAACCAGAATAGCAGTCTACTAGTCTGAACTTCCTTTCCCAGCTCATATAATTCACATTTTTCCAACAGAATGTAAATACAGGTGATTGGCTTTTTATTTTTTATTTTTTAAAAAAAGCATTAAAGCAATAAATAGAGAAAACTTAACTGACCCAGGCATGTAATGACTTTCAAATTAAGGTAATGCATTTTAATATACTACTTCATTACTTTTTTTTCTTGAAAAGAAAGGTAATGTTTAGACACTTTTAAATGGTAGAAGAGCAAGTATGCATTGTGGTAACTGCTAATTATACAGGCATTCCTCTTTTGTGAATCTAATGTGTTCTTTAAAATTTGTTTACTAACACATTTTCAGAGAATAGAAGCAAATATTCCACTATTTCACGTGAGAAAAGTAAAAATATATTCCTAACCCCCAGGAAAATGCCGATTAATTTGCCAGATACCACTAAAACCCCTTTATAAACTTATTTAACAACCCACAAAGGATTTCTGTAAAATATAAATTATTTATAATACTATATAGTTATTCAGCATTTGATAAACTCATTGTTTGGCACATTTGTATGTAGTAAGCCACAATAGCATACACTATACAGTGTCTAGTATTGGGAGGGGATTACATTTTCCTTCTACGTTGCAGTGTACATGTACTGGTAAATAAATAATGAAGTAATATATTAAATATATTAAAGATGTGCACTGTATGCCAGTAATATTTAGCAAAATAAAATAAGCAAACAAGAGAACTTTGCAAGAGATTTCTTGGGATCAAAGGCATGCTTGCATGAGGTCTGATGGTGAGAAGAGTGAGCTGGAAGCTGTGGTCACGGTTACTATTCGGGGGCAGGAGGAGGTAAGGAAGCCAGAGCTGGTGAAGGAATGAGTTAAACAGGAAATATTTGAGGCTCATCTGGATTTAAGAGAAGGCAGGGAGAATCTTCCATTCCCATCAGAAGAGTACAGAGGTGATTGGTTGTCAACCTTTAGCTGATGCTACACACAGAGCAGTGGGATGAGAAACAGAACTCATGGTGGCTAGCTATTTACATCCCCTTTGCTTGATTAAAAATTCTTGCTAACATAAAGCTGCATTTGTATTAATAATTGTGTAATTGTGTGTTGAATGTGACAATGTGACATGTCTGCTCATGCCATGATCACATTTATTTGTACCAGCATGCTGTTTTTATGGAATCTAATTTTTATTTTTATTTATTTATTTTTAAATTTTTATTTATTATTTATTTATTTATTATACTTTAAGTTTTAGGGTACATGTGCACAACGTGCAGGTTAGTTACATATGTATACATGTGGCATGTTGGTGTGCTGCACCCATTAACTCTTCATTTAACATTAGGTATATCTCCTAATGCTATCCCTCCCCACTCCCCCCACCCCACAACAGGCCCCAGTGTGTGATGTTCCCCTTCTTGTGTCCATGTGTTCTTATTGTTCGGTTCCCACCTGTGAGTGAGGACATGCAGTGTTTGGTTTTTTGTCCTTGCCATAGTTTGCTGAGAATGATGGTTTCCAGCTTCATCCATGTCCCTACAAAGGACATGAACACATCTTTTTTATGGCTGCATGGTATTCCATGGTGTGTATGTGCCACATTTTCTTAATCCAGTCTATCATTGATGGACATTTGGGCTGGTTCCAAGTCTTTGCTATTGTGAATAGTGCCGCAGTAAACATATGTGTGCACGTGTCTTTATAGCAGCATGATTTATAATCCTTTGGGTATATACCCAGTAATGGGATGGCTGGGTCAAATGGTATTTCTAGTTCTAGATCCTTGAGGAATTGCCACACTGTCTTCCACAATGGTTGAACTAGTTCACAGTCCCACCGACAGTGTAAAAGTGTTCCTATTTCTCCACATCCTCTCCAGCACCTGTTCTTTCCTGACTTTTTAATGATCGCCATTCTAACTGGTGTGAGATGGTATCTCGTTGTGGTTTTGATTTGCATTTCTCTGATGGCCAGTGATGCTGAGCATTTTTTCATGTGTCTTTTGGCTGCATAAATGTCTTCTTTTGAGAAGTGTCTGTTCATATCCTTCGCCCACTTGTTGATGGGGCTGTTTGTTTTTTTCTTGTAAATTTGTTTGAGTTCATTGTAGATTCTGGATATTAGCCCTTTGTCAGATGAGTAGATTGCAAAAATTTTCTCCCATTCTGTAGGTTGCCTGTTCACTCTGATGGTAGTTTCTTTTGCTGTGCAGAAGCTCTTTAGTTTAATTAGATCCCATTTGTCAATTTTGGCTTTTGTTGCCATTGCTTTTGGTGTTTTAGACATGAAGTCCTAGCCCATGCCTATGTCCTGAATGGTATTGTCTAGGTTTTCTTCTAGAGTTTTTATGGTTTTAGGTCTAACATTTAAGTCTTTAATCCATCTGGAATTAATTTTTGTATAAGGTGTAAGGAAGCGATCCAGTTTCAGCTTTATACATATGTCTAGCCAGTTTTCCCAGCACCATTTGTTAAATAGGGAATCCTTTCCCCATTTCTTGTTTTTGTCAGGTTTGTCAAAGATCAGATAGTTGTAGATATGCGGCATTATTCTGTTCCATTGGTCTATATCTCTGTTTTGGTACCAGTACCATGCTGTTTTGGTTACTGTAGCCTTGTAGTATAGTTTGAAGTCAGGTAGCATGATGCCTCCAGCTTTGTTCTTTTGGCTTAGGATTGACTTGGCAATGCGGGCTCTTTTTTGGTCCCATATGAACTTTAAAGTAGTTTTTTCCAATTCTGTGAAGAAAGTCATTGGTAGCTTGATGGGGATGGCATTGAATCCATAAATTACCTTGGGCAGTATGGCCATTTTCACAATATTGATTATTCCTACCCATGAGCATGGAATGTTCTTCTGTTTGTTTGTATCCTCTTTTATTTCATTGAGCAGTGGTTTGTAGTTCTCCTTGAAGAGGTCCTTCACATCCCTTGTAAGTTGGATTCCTAGGTATTTTATTCTCTTTGAAGCAATTGTGAATGAGAGTTAACTCATGATTTGGCTCTCTGTTTGTCTGTTATTGGTGTATAAGAATGCTTGTGATTTTTGCATATTGATTTTTTATCCTGAGACTTTGCTGAAGTTGCCTATCAGCTTAAGGAGATTTTGGGCTGAGACTTCAGCAAAGTCTCAGGATATTTTTATTTTTTATTTTTTGAGATGGAGTCTCACTCTGTCGCCCAGGCTGGAATGCAGTGGTGCAATCTCGGCTCGCTGCAACCTCCACCTGCCGGGTTCAAGCGATTCTCCTGCCTCAGCCTCCTGAGTAGCTGGGATTACAGGCACGTACCACCACGCCTGGCTACTTTTTATATTTTTAGTAGGGACGGGGTTTCACCATGTTGGTCAGGCTGGTCTCGAACTCCTGACCTCATGATCCGCCCGCCTCGGCCTCCCAAAGTGCTGGGATTAAAGGTGTGATCCACTGCGACCAGCCAGAATCTAAATTTTACGTGAATCTTCAGTGTTTTATGTTTGGCTCCTAGGAGTGGGGAGCACGTGCACGACCAAGCTTAAGACTTCTAGCCAGTCTCTGAATGTGCTTTATTGCTCCCAGCTTTTCTTGTAGTACATGGACTTCAATAGGCCTGTTAGTCTTGCCCACTTCCTTCATTAGTTTCTCTAGTTTCTTAGATGACCTTTTACTGAATAATGTGGAACGTAAGATACCTACAAGACAACATGTTTAAACAACATGAACTCAAGTTTTGCTATAAGGAGAATGACTGAGACACAATAGCAGCACACTGACATGCTCTTGTCTAGGCATGCATGACTTAAACATATTCTTGCATGCACCCTAAAACAGATTTATTTAGCAGGTTTGGGTAATGAATTTTGTTTAAAAACTAGCATATCAGTGTAGCAAATATTCAGATAGTGAGAGTTTAGAGAACAAAGATACTCATATTTTATTTAAAGGTAGAGTTTAATTGGATGAAAAATATTCTGATGCAGCAAGGAGCCAGCTACCACATCTATGCCGTAATCTTCATAAGATACATAATAAAAGTGTTTTCTGAAGGCTTAAAATTATATCATTTCTAATTTTGTAAGAAATTATGACTCAAATGTGGGTGAACGCACACTCTTTCCCCTAAAGTTCAAAACTAGACAATGGATTGTTTATCATGTAGGAAGTAAGATAGAAAATGACACTTAGGGAAAAAGCGGATGCATTTAATGAAGAAAAGTCTGATTAATTCCAGACTGCTTGTCCCTCTCATATCCCTCCCTCCTCCAACTCCATGGCCACTACTTTGGCCCCAGTCTCTTCAGCTCTCATGTGATGGATTGTTGGTGGACCTGGCTGGCCCACTAACCTGAACTCTGTAAGGCAGGACCTGTCACCCTCACCCTTGTCTGAGCACAGAACCTGACAATGAGTAGGCAGAAGTGACATCTGCTCATTAACTGATTGGTTACTTGATCTTATCAAAATGGTAATACATTCCGGGCCATGAGATCTCTCAAACATTATGCAGTATTGTTAGAAAAAAAGTGCAAACCAGTACCCTATTGCTTGATTTTTTCATAGACTTGTCCCTTGTCCCCATGATATTTTCAATTAAAAAGGAGAAGAGATTGCATCATATCAGGGTTGTAATTTTTAGTTATTAATAGTCTGGCTTCCATTTTACCCTCTGGGGGATAGTTAGAAAAGCAATTGTTCACAAAGGTCGTAGGGACCCACAGCTCCCAAAATGTTTCCCTTATCTTGGTAATTCCATTTTTTAAGATTAAGAAGCATCCTGCTAAGTTTTCTCTATGCTTATGAAGGAAACACAAAGGTGGGAATTTGAAGTATTTAGAAGAAAGGGTGTATTTCCACATAGAATGTCCTGTTTGTGCAGGTTTAAGATTTGAGGCTTAAAAATCTTTCATTTCAGGAGAGGGCCTGAACAGCTGGGGTATTTTTCATTGAGGCTACAGGTGTACCGGAGTGGAAAGTCTTGCTTTCTTGGACTATTGAAGGTAGAAAGAAGTAAGGGATTTGTGAGTCAGTGAGGGGCAGGCAAAAAAGTGAATACTGAGTAGCCCTCTGCTGTCTTGCTACTGCTAAGAGTCAGAAGTAAGCAACTAAGGTACTCTTTGGATTTGCCCAGTTGCATGTATTGGTAAGGCCCAAATTCCTATCATAGCATCATCTTTTAACACAGTGCAATTTGTTCTTTATACTTCATCATGTTATTTTATGTTTATTAACTCAGTTATTTTCTACATATCTATAAGGTAGATTTTAGACTCATTGTACAGGTGAGAAAGTGCACTCACAGAGGATGTATGATTCACCCAAACTCACACAGCTGGTTAGGCAGTATAGCTGTATTTGGGACCTAAGTTATCCTGGGCTGCATTCCACGAGGACACCAGTTTCAGGAGCTGTGGCCGGTATGTGATTCAAGGGAGAAAACTCAAGGAGTCTTTGGAAAGTATGTGACCAGGGATGTTACTAAGAGAAAACATTTTTCTTTTTAATTTCACCTTAAACTTAGAGGGAGGAGAATATACCGATTAGTTAGCCCTAATACTTTTTACAAAGATGGCACATTTTCACCCAAAAGTAAAGTAGAAAACACTGGAAAATCAAATGATGAGTATTTCCCAGGTTCTAGTAGCTGTTACCTGTGCTTGCAAAGTCCTCAGAAACTCTGCTATAGGACTGGAATTGGTCCCTGGGGAGACTCCATCTGTCAGCAACTCCACCAGAAAGAATGTTCCTGCCTAATTCCTCTTTCAGTGAAGAGACACCTTGTACAAAGGTGTGGGGAAAATTTTGCAAAGATGTACAATGGTCCTAGTTAGTGAGGTTTTGTTGTACCGAGTCTTTTTACCATACTATACTATACCGTATTGACTCCATTCCTTATGTCTGTCCCATCTTGAGCAGAGGAGGGGCCTTGCACATCATTGTAAATGTGGCTAGCATGCCTAGTCTTATCACTTTAGTCCCAGTGAAACTTATTTATTCATACAGAAAATAGTTAGCATCTGCTATGTGGAAGTTTCTGTTCCAAGATTTAAGGATATGGTAGTGAGCAAAAGTCCTTATCTTCGTGGTCATTACATTCTGGTGGAGGAGAAAGATAATAAACAAGTCAATAGACTATAGAGCAGGTGAGATGATGAGGGCCAAGGGAAAAAAAATTGAGCAGTGAAAGGGGTATAGGGAATGTTATTGGGGGGAAGTTAAATACTACTAGATTTTGAAATGGCATTTTATAGGTTAAAAATGGAGTAATATTGGCAATTCCCTGTGGTTCCTTTGTGGCCAGAAAGGGCCTCAACAAGCAGGTGACTTGAGTTAACATCTGAAAGGAGTGGAGGAGCAAGCCTTGTGGATTTTGGAGGAGATATTCCAGACAGAAGGAAGAGCAGATGCAAGGTCCTTGAGGCAGAAGTACATGGCAGAAGCATATGTTTGAGAAACAGCAAAGGAGCCAGCATAGCTGGAGCAGAGTCACCAGAGAGGAACATTCAGAGCATGCAGGGCCTGTGAGCAACTGTGAGGGAAGGACCCAGGATCGTGTCAGCTCGACCCTGCCTTGTGGAATAGCTCCTGCTAGAGTCATTCACCATTATTTCTCTTGTTTTTCAATGCCGTGTGGAGACTCAGTCAACACTACCTGCTCTCCCTTTGCACGTTACTTGGCTATTTCTACTAATTCTACTCTACTAATTCTACCTATCACCTTTGGCAAATACTGTGGAGGTCTTGTAATATAGTTTTAAAACAACATAAAATTAGGATTTTTAAAAACTATAATGCTCAGGTTTTATTTCTCAGTTTTGCCATTTACAGTTTGTGTGATCTTGGAGAAGCCTGTTAAGTCTTATGTTCTTTATCTATAAATGATGAAGATAATTACTGCAGAATGGGTGTGAGGCTCAAATAAAAAAAAAAAGAAATAAGATCTATATGTTTTGTAAAATACTATGCAAAGTCAAATTATTATGGATTAGAAAGTCCTTCCAAATATGGAGTAATTATAATTTAACACTATAGTCCTTACTAATCTATGCAGACACCATTAACTACAAAGGGCTACCTGTGAACATAGCAGACAGTCATGATCTGAAGTTTGTGTCTGGTGATTTCTTCAATATTCTTTTTATTTTTCTATAAATTTAAGGTAGTTCTTTTTTTTTCTGCTTAAAGCCAGTACATTTGAAACCTCCATACTGAGATGGTACTCTCTCCATGAACAACCGAGTCATTCCATGAAGAGCATCCATGTCTCCTTGCAGGGTGAAGTGGGTGCGGCCCAACTTTGAATATGATGAAACTTCCAGCTTGGAGGCCACATACAGCCAGATGACTCTGTGCTCCGACACCCACCAGACAGATACTCACATGCTGACACCTGGTGTTAGCAGATAAGGAAAGGAGTTGGGGCTTTTCAGGCTTACATCCAGGGAAAGAACCCTTGAGCCCATTTCCACGCAGCTGTATTTGTTAGATTTGAAGCCAGCCCCTTGGTGTACATTTAACTAATCATATTAGTAGCATGTACAGGGTCTGGTCCTTGAAAAGGACAGACATCAAAAGACACAGGTAGAAGGGATAGCAGTCTCAGGATCCTGGGTTTTATATATCATTTTCTTTATGATGTGATCTCTAGCCAACCCATACTCCATCTTCAGCTACATGACAAATTATTTTGATCATCTAAATGCATAAAATCATTAAACTATTAGATTTGCAATTGATAAGAGCAGTTTTGTTGTTAATATTTTTTGAAAAGCTCTGTGTAAGGGTTTGTACTAAAGACTTATTGAAGCAGCACTGAAATTACTGAGGTTTAGACACTAATGAAAAAAGTCTAATAAATATAAAAGTTTAAAAAAACTGGGACAAATTATCTGATATATTTGCCTATTTTATGAAAAGCAATTTTAAATAAATATTCTCACAGCTGCATATTCTTCTCAAGTAATAATGTTATTTTTTTCTCACAGTATTCATTTGCCATTCCACAATATAGTTGCCCAGCTTGTGTGTTGGTCATCTGAAGATGTGGAATGGGATTCATCCAGCTCTCTTTTCACTTAATGATTTTGGCTTTACCTCTTTCTTATCTTGAGACATTCTTTTGCTTTAGCTCCATTGCCATTTTTAAAATTTCTTTTTATTTTTTAACTTTTTATTTGAATATTGGCAGGAACTATATGTGTCCTCTTTTACCTATACTCACAACTTTTTACAGCTTGCCCCATTTGCTTTATTATCATTCTCTCCTCTTCTCTCCTTCTCTCAACTTCTCCCCATCTTTTCTTCCCTCTCTCTTCTCTCTCTCTTCATATAGATAGATATTTTGTGTGTGTGTAATTTATTATAAACTGTGGAGATACACCTCTATTTCTCAAATACTTCTATGTATTTCCTATGTTCAAGTTTATTATAATACATAACCTTAGTATGGTTATAATATCAGGAATTTTGGTATCTGTGGAATATTATTATCATCTATTCCACAGTCCATATTCAAATTTTGTCAGTTATCTTTTGTAGCTTTTTTTTTGGTATAGGATCCAATTTAGGATCACGATTACATTTAGTTGTCATATGTCTTTAAACTGGAATAGTTTCCCAGACTTCCTTTGATATTCTTAACTTTGAAATTTGTGATGAGTGCAGACTAAATATTTTATGGAATGTCCCTCCATTTGGGTTTGTCTGATGTGTCTTCTTAACTAGAGTCAAGTTACGCATTTTTATCAGGAATACCACAGAAGCAATGTTGTATTCTCAGTACGACATATCAAAAGATAGATGGTGTTGATATTTCTCATAAGCTGATGTGAACTTTGATCACATGGTTAAAGAGATGTCCACCAAGTTTCTCACCTGTAAAGTAAAATTTCCCTTTGTAAATTTTAAGTAACTTATGGGAAAGTACTTGAAGACATGTAAATATTCTGTTCCTCAAGAAATTTTTACCCACTAGTCTTAGTACCTGTTGATAATTTTCTAACAGCATCATACCTTCTACATTTATTGGTTGGCATTTTGGTTAGGAAGTTTCCCCTCTGCCTCATTAATTGAATCGTTATTTATTTATTCACTGGCTTATAATATACTACTATTATTACTTATTTTAATGCTCACATTGTCTCAGAATTGGCCAGTGGGAGCCTCTTCCAGCTGACTCATCTCTTTTTAATGTGCCCTGTCATTCTTTGAGCATCACCCTTACTACCTGGCACAAGACTTTTCAGGTTCATTTTGTATTTTCTCTGCCTCAGAGAAATCAGCCAGTTCTCTAAGTCTTAGTCTGAGCAACTCCAGCTTCTTTAATCAGAAGTATTTAGAAACCAAGATCTAGGCATTAGTTCTGGTCATCATTACTTGTGTGCCACTGCTTTTAAGTGCTTTCAGAACTAGGAAACAAATACACATGTACCTACATATAAAGATACATATCTATATGTATGTGTACCTTTGTGTATGAGTGTATATAAAATAATACAAATCATGAGTTCATAGTGATGCTTCAGATTCTAAGCCAACACCATAGGGTTCATTCTAGTCTTCTCATTTCTGTATTTGCAACACTCTTTTCCAATAGTCACAAAGGCCTGGCCCCACTGTCCTCAATATAGTTACTTACTTGCTCAAATATCAAATGCACAGAAAGTAGTTTCAGGGTTGCCAACTTATGTCATTGCAAAAAGAAAACCTTCTAAATTGAGTTTAATAGTATTTACATTTGTAAAGTAAAATTTACATGTAGTAAAATACACCTATCTTAAGTCTATCATTCCATGAGCTTTGAATGGAGAAGCCCGTGTAAACCTCATTCCTGTCAAGATGGTACAGTGTACATCATGGTGGCTATGGTTAATAACAATGTATTTTATGTTTGAAAATTGTTAAGAGAGTAGATTTTAAGTGTTTTCACTACAAAAATGATAAGTATGTGAGGTAATGCTTGCATATTTTAAATAGCTTGATTTAGCCATCCCGCAGTGTATACATATGTCAAAACATTATATTGTACACCAGAAATACATATATAATTTTTACTTCTTAATTAAAAATTTTTAAAGATATACAATGTTTTCAGCACACTAGAAGCCTTCTTTGTGCCCCTTCTCTGTCATCCTCCCACCTAGAGGCAACTGCTATTTTGAATTTTTTCACTCTAGATTAATTTTGCCTTTACTAGAACTTCATAAAAATAGAACCATACAGTATATACTCTGTTGATTCTGCCTTCTAACCCAGCATAAGTTGTACGTATCAGTAGTTCATTCTTTTTGTTGCTGAGGAGTATTCTATTGTATGACTATACCACAATTTGTTACGTATTTTCCTTTTGATGGACATTTTTTTCTAGTTTTGGATTATTACAAATAAAGCTGCAATGAACGTTCTTTAAAAAAAGTCTTTCTGTGGATATGTATTTTCTTTTTCTTTCTTTCTTTTTTTTAATTTGTTGAGAAATTTCTCGCTCTGTCGCCCAGGCTGAAGTGCAGTGGCGTGATCTCAGCTCACTGGAACTTCCACCTCCCAGGTTCAAATGATTCTCCTGCCTCAGCCTCCTGAGTAGCTGGGATTACAGGTGCCTGCCACCAGGCCTGGCTAAATTTTGTATTTTTAGTAGGGATGGGGTTTCACCATGTTGGCCAGACTGGTCTTGAACTCCTTACCTCAGGTGATCCACCTGCCTTGGCCTCCCAAAGTGCTAGGATTACAGGCATGAGCCACCGTGCCCAGCCTGTATTTTCATTTTTAAAATTATTTCTTAAACAATCTATCTGTTAAATTGTGCAGTAAATTTTTTTTTTCCTCTTGGTATACAGTTCTGTGGATTTTAAGAAAGCTATAGATTCATTCAACCACCACCATAATCAGAATACAGAACAGTTCCATCATCCCTCAAAAAACTTCCTTGTCCTGCCTATTTATTGTCAGCCCTACCCCACCTCACCCCTAACCCATTTCAACCACTGATCTATACTTCATCCTTATAGTTTTGTGTTTTTGAGAATGTCATATAAATGGAGTCATACAGTATGTAATCTTTAGAGACTGGCTTCTTTCTCTCAACACAATTCCTTTAAGATTCATCCGAGTGGTTGCATGCATCAAAAACTTTTTACTGATGAGTTGCATTTCATTGTAGGTATGTACCACAGTTTATTATTTCACCTGCTGAAGGACTTCTGTGTTATTGCCAGTTTTCTGGCGGTTATGAATAGTACCGTGATAAACGTGTACAAGATTTTGGTAAACGTGTTTTCATTTCTCTAGGGTAGATAGGAATAGAATTGTTAGTACATACAGTAATTGTATGTTCAACTTTATAAGAAACTACCAAATCCTTTTCCAGGGTGGTTGTGCCATTTTGCATTCCTACTGGCAATGTATGGGAGTTTTTGTTTGTTTTTTGTTTGTTTGTTTGTTTTCTGGAGACAGAGTCTCGCTCTTGTCCAGGCTGGAATGCAATGGCCTGATCTCGGCTCACTGCAACCTGTGCCTCCTGGGCTCAAGTGATTCTCCTGCCTCAGCCTCCTGGTAGCCGGAATTACAGGTGCTCACCACTACGCCTGGCTAATTTTTGTATTTTTGGTAGAGGGGAGGTTTCACCATGTTGGTCTCAACCTCCTTACCTCAGGTGATCTGCCCGCCTCGGCCTCCCAAAATACTGAGATTACAGGTGTGAGCCACCACACCCAGCTTGTATGGGAGTTATTATTGCTTCACTTCCTCCTGAGTGCTAGGTGTTGTCATTTTTCAAAATTTTAGCCACTAATAGGCACACAGTGGTATTGAATTATGGTTTTAATTTGCATTCCCCCTAAGGACTAATAATATTGAATATCTTTTCATCACTTTCCATCATTACATCTTTGACAAAGTGTATGTTTGAATCTTTTGCCTAATTTTAAAATTTTGTTGTTTGTTTTCTTACTGAATTTTGAGAATTCTTTTTTCAGTTTCATTTTTTATTCACAAAATATTTTCTCATATTCATTGCCTTTAATCTTTGCAACATCCTGCAAACATTGTTCTAATATTAATTTTGCAAAGTCAGAGCAGTAAAAATTAAAAATGTAGTCTCCAAAGCTAACAGTCTGGGTTCAAATTCTGGGTTTGTCACTTATTGCTGTATTAACTTTAGCAGCTTGACTTCCTTGAACCTTGATATCCTCAACTATGAAATCATACTCATACAAAACGATCATTCTCAGCAAATTATCACAAGGACAGAAAACCAAACACCGCATGTTCTCACTCATAGGTGGAATTGAGAAATGAGAACACTTGAACACAAGGCAGGGAACATCACACACTGGGGCCTTTTGGGGAGTGGGGGGCTGGGGGAGAGATAGCATTAGGAGAAATACCTAATGTAAATGACGAGTTGATGGATGCAGCAAACCAACATGGCACACGTATACATATGTAACAAACCTGCACATTGTGCTCGTGTACCCTAGAACTTAAAGTAAAAAAAAAAAAAAGAAAAGAAAACAATAACAACACTTACTGAGTGCTTACTGTGTATCAGGCATGGTTCAGAGTATTTTAAACACATCTTAACTCATTTCGTCCTCACCACAGTCTATGAGTTTTGAGAATTCTTTATGCATTCTGGATACAAGTTATTTGTTCAATATTTGATGTGCAAGTACTTTCTCAAGTCTGGGGCTTCTATTTTCATTCTCAACAGTGTATTTTGCAGAACAAAGGGTTTTTATTTTAAGAAAGGAATATTTTGTCATTTTTTTTCTCTGATAGATTGCTTTTGGTGACATGTCTTAAGAATTCATTACCGAACCAAGACCACATAAACTTTTTTTTTCCCAAAAGTTTTATCATTCTGGATTTTAAGTTTGTATCTACGATCTACTTTGAGTTACTATTTTTATAAGGTGTGAGATTTAGGTCAAAGTTCATTGTTTTTGGTATATGGATGTCCAGTTGTTCCAGTATCATTTGTTGAAATATGATGTTGTTACCGTCCTGCTCAAAAACTTTCGGTGCTTTCTCCATTGCACTTGGAATAAAATCCAGACTCCTTTTGTATGGTCTGTAAAGCATACTGCTTTCATGCCTACTTATTTCTGAAACCTCATTTTGTGTTGTATTCCCTTTTGTCTGTCAGACTTCAGCCTCCCTGGCTTCTCTTTTCTGTGAATTCTCAACACTCTTTTCCAGCGTAGAGCCTTTGCACAAGTTTGTGTCCTCAACCTGAAATATTTTTCCATTATGTTGTTCAATAGTTGCCTTATATTGGTTCCCCTAAGTTTATTTTTTATTCTCTCCCCTGGCATTCTGCCCTTTTCCTTAATCATACTTATTACAATTTTTAACTTTATAGTTATCTCTAAACTAATCACTCATTGTCTGGATTTCCCATGAAACTGTAAGATCCATGAGACTGTGTTTGCAGTGCCCAGTACTGTGCCTATCCTCATAAAACTTGCTGTCTAGTGCTGAGATGTACAACGAAACGAGAAACTACAATACTACAAGAAACTACACCATTCTGCATACATGCCATTTAAGTTCATTCACTATTTCTACATGGACTAAAATGTTTTTCCCCACTATATTTTGTATACCTGAATCCTTCTCACCCCTCAAGAAACAGTTCCATCTTCCCTCTCTGAGAAGTTCCTCCTGGTGCCCAGTTCGGAAGAGCTCTTCCTCCCTGCTTTCTACTCTCGTACTGACACTCTCCACTTTGCCTTGAGATCACAGAGACTGACTTAGCTCTTCTCCTAGAAAATCAAAAGCTTGCTGAGAGTGGGATTGCATTCAGCTTGTGTCTCCCTCAGTACACAGACTAGCTCATTTTATTCAATTAATTCATTTTCTGATTTCTAGAATACAGTCATGTGTTTAGCTATGGGTCCATCTTGCCATTGGAAACTAACAGAGCTGATTTTCAGAACAAAAAGAGAAAACAAGGCCAAACTTCAAATCATATCTCATATTTGCACAGCCAACACAGGCCATTAGAGTTTTAATAAATAGCAAAGACATAAAACGTTTTCTTTTAACATATGCTGGGACTCGACTGGTCTCTTGTTGCTTTATTTCCCCGCCTGGCTCAATAATAGTCCTATAAAAGTGACAGAAAAACCATATACCATGTTACCTTAGAGGGATGACTGAGACAGTTACAAAAATAGGAAGACTCAGATGCCAAATAAAACATGGGATGTTTGGCAAAACCTTAGCATGAACATATGTACCTAGTCCAGGCGCTCTGAAGTTACTGGATGTATTAAAAAGAAGTTGGTCCTGCCCTGTTTTATGATGTAAAAGTGTGTGTGTGTTTGTGTGTGTCTTGTTTCATTGAAGTGAAAGCAAATCATTTTGACTGAATAGTGACAAATATTAATTCATAAAATAGTTTTTAGACTGGAAAAATATTTGATAATGGATCCAAATATGAAAATAATGAAATATAAAAGTCAATATAGTACCTTACAAACTGTAGAAATTATATCTGAGCTGTCAGTTCTAGTCCTTCAAAAACCCTGTCCTCTTTGAGTGAGAGATGCATCCCTATAGAACATCCTGTCCTCAGTTGGAAGGCTTGGCCTTAAGGGCTTATTAGTTAGTGGGAACAGAGCAAACTTTCTTTATATCTTACCACACAGTGCTGGTCTTAGTATAGTCTTGTGTCTGATTTATGAATTTCTCCTGGAATGAATTTTCCACAAATATATGATGGGGAACTGTGTAGCCTTGACATTCATTCTGCCCATGAATGTCTTTAGTGTTAGCAGCTGGCATCCAGGCATATTCCAGTGACTCACCAACCAAAGCTATATGTTGCCTTCTCTACGTTTGAAAAGGGGCAGGGGGCGGACCACAGAACACTAATCAGATTCTAAAGTTGCCTTCATGTTTACTTAATATTTCTACACTGCTCAGAGGAAGCCAATATCAGCAATATTCTTTTTGAGATGACAAAACCTTGAAACTTTTTTGGTTATTTTTATAGCAATAGAGTTTTTGTTGACTTAGTATTCATTTTTCTGTTTTCTCTTTATTATTTGACATTAGGGCAACTCTTACCACAGATTAATTGCTCTTCGGGGTACATCAGACTAAGATTTCTACCATGTTGATGATTTGTGTTTACTTTTTAAGTGTGATGAATATTGTGTATTACTTGTTTTTTTTTAATTCTGGTGAGGAAATACCACCAAGTGCTGTTCGGTGTTTTTCCTCTTTTGATGTGTTTGTGGAAAACTGGTGTAACCAAAAAAAAAGCACATTAGAGGAGTTCAAAATGGCCCTTTAGAGAGTGCTGATTTCTATGAAATGGATAGATTTTTAGTTGTATATTAGCAGTGATTTGAAGCAAGTCTTTACCATACAGCTAAAAGAAGAATTGAATTTTCTTAGCTATGCCATAAAAGTAATTACCTGCCAGATAAAAGGGACCTCATGTTATAAATAGTAGAAACTCAACATTTTGTTTTAAATCTTCATTTTCTAATACGTGAAATTATCTGAACTAATCTATATGGTGTAGGTTCAGTTATGTATCAGCTTCAGATATATCAGTTATATATATGTTAACCCACAAAAAGAATATGATTTTGAAAGCCATAAGAATCCATATCTGTGTCTCGTACAGGAAAACAGGAAGGCTGAAATGGAAAGATGCTTATAGACCCTAACTCATTGTCTCATGAAAGTCAGTCCTCTTCATGCTATGGCCAGGGAGCAGTGAGGGTTGTGGTGCTCAGGATAGGGAATTGGAGAGGAGAAGGGTACATTATTTCCTGAGTCATCTTGTTTCACTTTCTGCCTATCTCTCAATCCCAACACACACCATAGACGTGTGCACACGCGTACTTACACACACACACACACACACACACACGCGCGCGCGCGTATACCAGACATTTTCCTTCCCCATCCTTTTAGGCCCTGAAGTAATAAATTACTCTGCTGGAGAGGACGGGTAAATTCAAATAGCACACTCCTTCCATTCAGAATATCTTAATGAAATATCATACTTTTCCCCTCACATCAAAAAAGACAGAACTTTTTGTGACTAAAAGTTAATTTCTTAAGCCAAAAGAAAATTTCTGGAAGCAGTCACTCAGGAAGTTTCCTAAAACATTTATATGCTAAGATGGTAAACGATGGGATTTGTTGTCCCTTTGTTAGCAGGAAGGCATGATCTTGAGCAGCTTCAGGTCCATCAAGATCTTTCCCAAGTGAGAACGCAATGGGCTTTTCTGGCTGTAAGTTGTCCATTGCCTCTGCTGTCATTGGAGAGAAAGAAACCAATCACCTGCTCGTGTTTTTTCAAATTACAAAATCCATTCTTACATTGTAAAAAAACAGGCTGCTGCTGATTTTGGCTCACAGGCCATAGTTTGGATCCCTTATCTATTCAGTATACTAAGTATCTGTTCATATCAATATATTATTCTTGATTATATGCAATGACTACATTCTTGATTATAGTCAATGGATATATTCTTATTTTCAACATTTTAAGGAATGTTTAATTTGTAAAAAGTTAAAAGTCACAGAATGGTTTACCATTCTTATGAATAAAAACAGAATTTCAGGATTTCATATGAATGTTTCTAGTTCATGCTAATTTAATAATACACTTTTAAAGAATGCATTTTCTAATTTTTCAATGATTTAGCATGTTTTCAGATTTTATCACCAATATCATCAAATGACTTATTTGCCAAATTTACCATTTTCCCCAAACTTATATCTTTGAACTCTGATAAAACTTAATGACTTAGAGTGGATTGAAATATTTTAACAGTTTTTGAAGATACTTAGGATATATTGTGCTTGGCCAATTTTTCTATTAACATTTTAGGAAAGGTTCCATTTGTCTGTACCCCAGGTCCCTTACTGCTGCAGCTGAATTGAGCAGGGGACAAGAGAGGGGAACTTGCAATGGGGAAAAGAAACAAAGGAGAGCCAGCATCCAGCACAGCTTGGGCTTCCAACCCCTGAAGTTGGGTTGGGAGGAAACTGGAGTCCATGAGAGAAGGAAATGAGGAGCTAAGCAGGTGTCTGAAGCCCTCAGGACTCTGAAATCCTTCCTTCCAACGATAGTCTTAAACTCTGCCAACTCAGCATACTGCAAATTTTATGAATAGCTTAAAAAAACAGGTTTTTGGTAAATCAGTATATTTGGATAATTTGACAGATTGTTACTTTGATTCATGTTCATTCAGTCCATTTGTCTCCTGGCAAGTTGGCTTTTGGAAAATTTCCTATTAGCAGATTGACTTGGGAAGTTGGTATGCTTCCATACTGAAAAGCAGTGGCTTTCCAGAAGCAAAACTAAGAAGGAGCCAGGAGTTGGTCAAGATTGCATCCTTCCTGGAAACAATAGTGTGCACAAACTACCTGGCAAAGTTGGTAATAGCTCATAGGTATCTGCAGTTCATTCTGTGGGGGATGTTAGTGGGTTAAGCTGCGGTGTGAATATACAGTGATGGAATGGATCTTAACATATGAGCCTATCGATTTCAAAGACATACACATTTTGGTAATAGAGACAAATGGAGGCATCACATGCCTCTATCAAAACATTTCATGTACCCCATAAATATATACACCTACTATGTACACACAAAAATAAAAATAAAAAATAAAAGTAAAAATAAACAAATTAGGGCATATTGGACGTGTGACATGACAAAATCAAGGCATTTCTGGCTGGGATTAAACAAAACTAGAGATTATTTTACTACTCCCTAGTGGTGACACAACTATTGCCCTTACTGGTATAAGGAGTTAGCAGACTGGGTTCATATTCTGGCTTTGTCACTTACTGGTTGTGAACTTATATGTTATTCATGTTATAAAGCTTTATTTTCCTCATCTATAAAGCAGAGATGATAACAGAGCATATGTCATTGAGTTATTGTAGGATTCAGAAAGGTAATATGTGTAAGATACAGACCCCTGGGTAGGAACTTGGTAAATGATAGTGTCTTTTCTGTCAGTCAGAGATGAGATTGGTCGTGGGTAGGGAGTATGGTTAGTTAGCATTTACCTTAAGATTATTGAGGGTGATGATGAAGCATTCACTTCAAGTTACTGATATTCTGAACCGATCCAAATTACATCCATTGACTATCTGCCTTTAGCCAAGGTTCCTAAAATGAACTAAATTCATCTTCAAATAATGTAAATCTATTAAGACGACTATCTCCAATTATTTATTTAATAAAAGGTGGCTATATTGAAAGAGAAGGACCTATCAAATATTTAGAAGGCAGTGTAGTTATTTTGTATTCGGAAGGATCAGGATTTGTACATTGATTCAGAAGATATTTACAAGTGTACATTGTATGCAGAGCCCTGTAGCCACAGAACACGCTTCTCTTCTCCCCCTCAAAGGAGGGTATTGGTCTAGGTGATCTACAGCAATAGCAACATTCCCAACTCTCTCAGTGCAGTTTCAAGTCACAAAACCCAGGCTCTTGATCCCTAGTCTGCTCATCTTAACACTAGAGCACCTGCTTCTTGGCTCCAAAGGAATAGAGAAATGATAGTGCATGCAGAACTCATCTTGCAGGAAGACGTTTTCTAGGAGAGAGAATTAAAATTACAAAAGAACAATTGTAAAGCAAATTACAGTATTATGCCTCTCAAATCATATAGTTAAGTGGAATAGAAACTTAGAGACATAGGGTGGTCAATGAAAGAATGGCTAATGAGGGCATTTGAACTGACCACACTTATGGGGACTGTACAGATTACAACGTAATTTTTCTTTTTTTTTTTTAATTTTTCAGAATTTTGTTTTCACTTTTTGCATGTGGAGTTGAGAAAAATATTTTTCCAGCTTTATTTAGGTATAATTGACCAATGTTGAGGGTATGTGACCCCAGCTTCTGTTCACCTTCCATGGCTTGCCTAGAATACTGAATAAAATAGTGGGAGGCTGGGGCAAAGAGAGGCTGTTTCAGGCTTAATTCCCAGGGAGCCACTTAACAGGAATCCTCTTCTAAGAACATAATGACTCTTCAGGAGAGGTGGGCTTTGGAGCTGCTAGTATCTAGTTATCAAGGATGGCTGAGATGCAGTTGGATTTGAAGGAAAAGATGATACCTGATCCTTGACTCAAGATTTTACATTTCAGACAGGGCATGGTAGTGGGCTTCCTCTGAGAGCCTGTAGACAAGCCTTGGTTAGAGTAACCTTAAAAATTAGCTCCATAAACTTTGTTCATAACCTGCAACCAAGAAGGGAAATCTGGTTTTCTTTCCCTCCATCACTTCAGATTATATCATCTCAGCTGTAAATTAAGTAGGGAGAGACATTTAGGATTATATTTTTACTGTCATCAGTTTCCTGACTCTCTGCCACAACTGTTCAAAACACACCTTAGTTTGTACTCCATTGACGTATGAAAGGACAGTATTCATTTGACATCTTTTTCATATTTACAGTTTCATTTATACAGCAAGTAGAAGTAGATGATATTTTAAGCCAAGAACAACCTTGCATTAAAGTAATTCAGCAGTGTTGAGCACTTTACCAATGGATATCAAACCTCGGTAAAATATTTAAAATGAAGAGAGAGAAGAAACATGAAGGGCTCGATTTAAGAGTAATATTTTGAGATTTTACATAATGAGACAGAGGTACTTTTCTTTGTAGAATTAGGTGTTATTTTTACGTAACTACAACTGGCAAAGTGTTCTTTGATCTTTCTCCTTATTTTTAAAAATTAAGTGATACAATTTGGACAAAGAAAGTTGTGCTTGTATCTGTTCCTAACCAAAGGCCAGCAGTGGATATGGCTGCAAACCCTCTGTTACATGTTATATCCCATATCCTGAGCCCAAACTCATTATTTACATGCACAAACTAGTTAGGTATTAAATATTCCCTAATGTTTTTATTTAAAATTGTAAGTGCTTCTCTGTGACTTTTAATTGTGAGGTGTTTTTTGTTTTGTTTTGTTTTGTTTTGTTTTCGGGTCTCGCTCTGTCATCTAGGCTGGAGTGCATTGGCGTGATCACAGCTCACTGCAGCCTTGACCTCCCCGGCTCAAGTGATCTTCCCACTTCAGCCTCCTGAATAGCTGTGACCACTGGTGTGCACCGCCACATCTGACTCATTTTTTATTTTTTCTAGAGATGGGATCTCACTGTGTTGTCCTGGCTGGTCTCAAACTCCTGGGTTCAAGTGATCCTCCCACCTTGGCCTCCCAGAGTGCCTGTGACTTTTATGTTCTACATCAAATATTTGCCATTTATACTGGCTTATGGAGAGGCACAAAATGTAAATTCACTGAATAATTTGGAAAATATTTACTTGTATTTATATTCTTGATATTTAAGTCGGTGGATTTGAAACAAAACATACTTGCTTCACAACATATTGCTGTCAAAGAGTTTTGTCCAGTAAAACTTACTGCATCCTTTAATACAGCACTGTCCAGTAGAACTTTCTGTGATGATTGCAGTGGCCTATAATCTGCTTCATCCAAGACGGCAGCCACTAGCTACGGAGCACTTGAAATGTGGCTACTGTGACTGAAGACTAAATTTTAAATTGTATTTAATTTAAATTAACTTAAATTTTGATTTAGCCACATGTGTCTAGTGACTGCCATATTGGACAATGCAGCAAGCAATATATTCCTATGTTGTTTATCTCAGATATAAAGTTATGCACTATTTAGAAGCCAATATAAAGGTATTAGATTGCTTTTAAGCAACAAATAGAAGCTCCAGCTTGTTCATTAAAATAATTTTGTCAATCCAGGCAGACTTGGGATGAAGGATGTGAAAACATTTTGATTGAATTGACTACTAAGTTTTATCTGTTTATTCCTTTATTTACTTAGCAAATATCCATTAAGCACATAGTAATTGCTCTCCATTGTGTGAAGTGCCTGGGATACAAGAAGTTTAAAGCATGTTCATTGCCTTGAAGAAATTAACCAGGTAGAAAAAGTAGATAGAAAGTAATAAGAAACATTCATATAAGGCAGAAGAGAGTTGAGAAAGAGGGAAGAGTCTAGGATGACTTGGAGATTTCAGTCTTGAGTGACTGGGTGGAAGGTGGCACTGTTCACCAAGTAGGAGACACTGGAGTGGGGAACAGGAGTCTATACCATGTTGAATTGAGGTTAGATGCCCACATGCATGTGCTGAAGGCAGTTGGATATGTGGGTCTACAGCTTGGGAAGAGGTCTTGAGGTAGAGCTGTGGGAGTCACGCATAGTTGAAGCCAAGGGATACGACATGGTCTGCAAGGCAGATAATATAAAGAAATAACAGAACTCCAAGAGCAGCCCTGAAGAGGTACCAGCATTTATGATGTGAGAAAACATTCTGTTAGACTAACATAGCTTATAAATTTAGTCGGAGGTTGAAAAATTATTTTAAAAATATGTAATAATATAGGAATTTTGTTTTTAAATAATATGTGGGCAGATTTACAAGTGACTCCATTTATGTTTGTTTCATGACACTGAAAATCAAACCAGTAAGAAATATTTTATATTTTACATATTTTATATTTTAATTAAATTAATATTAACAACATAAAATATTAATAAATATATTTAATTAAATATATACTTTTTATATATTTTAAACATTCTGTATTCGATATAGTCCAGTTATACATGCAAATGAATGACTTAACTCATTAACTAGTTGTTTTATGCTGTGCAAATCAGTACTTCCTAAATATTACGTATTTTGGATATCCGAAATACATTTTTCAAGCTCTTAATTTTTTAGTGTTAGAAATAAATGATATAAATAAAATGGATTTTTGTCAGGGTCCTCTGAAATACATAATGGAAAATTTATCTCCATTGGATCAGAATTCACTTTTTGAAATCATGTGGCATAACCCAGGTTTTCTCTTAATTATGTGTCTTCTGAATATGCTTGGAAAGTTTTATATATATCATTTTGCCACTGTCTTGCTGCTCTGAGGTCTTGTTTTTTATAATATTTATTATCAGACTTTAATTTCTCATTTTGTGGAGTAATAGGGGCTTTTCTAAAGAAAAACTCGTGAAAACAAAATACATTTCAATAACAGAATCTCAGTTATGAAATTTTTAAGGCTTGAAACACTATTATCAATATTAGAAATAAGATTCTCATTCATTCATATTTTCTCACCCATACTTAATTGGTGAAAAGTAAGCTAGTATTTCGACTCTAGTGTGCCATGAAGCTGCATCTCACCCTGGGCAAATTTCTATCTAATTTTGATAGAAATGAATTGTTAATGAGCCCCGAGAATGGAGAGTTTCTCTAATTACAGGAAACAAAATTAAATTGGGCCTAAAGGCATTTTTTTTTTTGTAATTGCAGTTGGTTTAAAAATTGAAAAAGAATATTCACTCAAACACCTTGGCTTTAAAAATATTGGTTTGCTCCCCACTGTTAAAAAGGCATTGAGACCTGCAGCAAACTTCATTCTAATGAGGGTCCAGATGATTTTTTTTTTTGTAGATGTGTAGAACAACTCTGTGGGAAAAATGATACCTCAAAGATTAATGATGTTCTGTAGTAGGGAAAATAAAACAAATAGTTTTTATTTGAACCTTTTTATTGTATGATAGAAAATTTTGATTTAAATGGCGAGTGAGATATGCTTACCATCTCTCTTTTTTCCTATTTATAGTAGCTCTCAAGGTCAAAGAGGACACACTAGCATGAAAGCCGTGTACGTTGAACCCGCTGCTGCTGCTGCTGCTGCTGCTATCTCAGACGTATGTACATTGAGGACCATAGACTACAATCTTAGACCCTTATCCGTGTGATGTTGATTATTTAGTTAATGTGTGTTACCAAGAAGTATGTCATATGGATGTGACACATGAGCAGTGTTCCACAGTTGCCATCTTGTAGACATTTCTTATTAGGAGCCAGTAACTGCCAGACTTCGAATGGTCCCTGTAGTGCTTGAAAAAGAATTAAGCTAAGCTGTATCCCAGATGTTGTTCAGGGTCTTTTTGCCTTGTGAGTACATTTCATAATGGAAGTTTACTTACTGACCTGCCTGGTGTAGAAAGCCATGAAGGCTAGAACCTAGTGCCTAATTAGCCTAGGTTGTCTGCATCCGTTCTCTAAGACAACGAATGTATCATCAATTTATTCATTAACCAGATATGACTAGAAAGAATCCTTAAGGGACATACATTAATAGAAATCTACCTGGGTCTACCCTCAGTGATCTGATGAAACTCTAGACTGGGACATAAAACCAAACTGCAAGGAGAGAGGTAGAGAAGAACAGAAGAGGTATCCCAGAAGGCATTTCCCACGTTAAAAAGTGACAGGGTGGTTCCTCACCTTACATGCCACTCTATGGGTATATGTACCATAGCTGATAGGCTGGATCACCACAGTGGTAACAGTGCTACAGAGAGAAAACATGACCGAGACATCAGAAGACAAGGGTTTGATTCCTGATTCTGCCACTTACCAGTTACATGGCCTGGGGAAAGTTGTTTTACCTTGGACAGCCTCAGTTTCCTCATCTGTAAAATGGAAGTAGTAATAATAATCTCTGCCAGGCTACCTCATGGGGATATAATAATGCTCAAAGGAATCTTATCGGGATATTTATTTTACTCCTATAATAGAATGAAACCTCTGTGAGAGGAGAGATCATTGGCTGTCTTGTTGGTCAGCATATCCCCAGTATTTTGAACAAGGCTTGTTACACACAGTAGGCAGTCATAAATATTAGATGCACAAATGAGTACTCTATGTTAAAGCACTCTGTTATTTTTATAGAACTCTTCAAATATTTGGTAAAGGGATTTCAAGAGCAGTATAGACAGGCTGCATGCATAGACTCTAACTTTGGTTTTCAGGCCTCCATGTGTTTTGCCTGAATGAATTTGTACTGGGATCAGTGCAGACAGCAGGTCTTTTCAGTATTTAAGTTCTTCTGTAATATGGAGATGCCATGAGCACATATTTTAAACATGAAGTGCTGATTTTGTATTGAATTGTCCAAGTATTGCTCATTTAACAAAGTATGTCTATGTGAATAAAACTTTCTCCATTCCGAATAAGTACCTCTGCTTAACCTAATATTCTGCTCAAAGAAGTATGAAACAAAGAGGAAATAAGGTAGAAGAATGCTAATTTAGACAGAGCAGTGTTCTGTTTACACACAAACTAATTACAGGTATGCTGGGAAAAGGGGCCAAGCCAACCATATAGCTCTAGCCATCAGTGTAACATCTACACAGTTGTCAGGCTTGCTTCATCAGCCCGTCAGTAAATAAATATTTACCCAGGGTTTATACTGTACTGTGTGTGAAGAATCCAGAGTCCCTAAACTTAGTATATGTTGAAGAAAGCTGGATTAAAATATTCTCATTTTATAAAATATATAATGCCTAAGTAATTATAATATTTAGAGAAAAGTGGGCTGTTTAAAAAAAAAAAGAAACACATAATCCCACTGCTGTGGCACAGCTGCTATTTAATTTTGCTTATTCCCATTCAGTCTTAGTCCACCAACGTATATATTTTTCATGTAGTTACAATGAAAAATATAGCTTACATTCTACTGCATACCCTTGGCTTCCACTTATCACTAAGTTCCATTTTTTTCAACAGTCACATTGATCATTTTTTAAAACTGTATAATATTCCATGAAATTGTGAGACCTGCTTCCAGCCAAGATGGAGTGAGGGGGCCAGGTTAACTTGCCTACCTGAAACGGGCAAAAATAAAACAGACAAAATATATGACACAACAGTTTTCATGATAATGGCCAGCAGGCAGCAAAGGCCATGGATTCTTGAGCAATTGGAAATCAATGAGAGGAGCTTCACAGTTACCAGAGCTTACTACATAGCAAGTTTCTAGGCCACATTGCAGAGAGGGAGAACACATATGGAGCCCAGTGGACTGCCCGAGTTGAGATTGAGGTGAGAGTATAGGGAGACTAAGTTTGCTAGCGGAGTCCTAGAGAAGAGAGAGCTGCATGGAGAAAGAATGCCAGAGATCTGTGAGGGGCCCCCTCTAGTATTCAGCAGCATATTGATTGGCATATTCACTTGAGGAAGCTACTTGAAGTGGGGCTAGGGGAAAACCATTCCAGAGGATTACAGAGAACAATACTAGTACTCACAAAGGGTTAGTAACAGTTCTTGTTCCTACCAGCCATACTGGAAATCCTCATAACACACAAGACATTAAGTGAGAGTACATAGAAATGTCTTGCATCAGGTGTGGAGAAAAATTAACCCTAATGATATGGTTTGGATCTCCTTTTTAATTGACTCTGTCCCAAATACTTCTCTTAATGATGAGTGTAGGTGACTTATGTTAGTAGCCACCCACATTCTGCCATCCATTCCTAGAGACAGGTTGCTCCTTAGCCATGTTACACTAAACAGGCATGTTTGGCAGAATTGCAGCTTGTGCATTATCAGATTGCTTTTGCACCCAAATCCATTGTGTCAGGAGGTGGCAGGTGGGGTGGGATCTTCAGAAGCAGCTGTCTTTGAGCATGAACCAAGAGCTAGGTAGGACAGAAGCAGACAACACAGAAACAGTCGGCTAGAGCTGATTACTTGCAAATGAGAGTCCAGGACAAACCTGATTTAGGGAATAATCATGAGAGCATCTTGCACTGATTTTATACCTACTATGGTAGGCATTTAGTCATTTATTCATTCAACAGATACTTATTTAAGATTCTAAAAAGTAGTCAAAGAAGGTCAGCCCTGAAAAAGAATAATAACACTGAAAACTAAACTGTATTAAGAGCTTCCTATTTGTGCATTTTACTGGGTGCTTAAGTCCCACAACAGACCTGTGAGGCATTATCATTCCAGTTTTACAGATGGCAAATCTCAGAGTCTTGCTATTGAATAAGTTGCCCAAAGTCACACAGTAAGTGTCAGAGCCAGGATTCAAACCCAGATCTGTCTGATCTCAGTATCTATGTCTCTTACTGCCCAATGAGGCGTCTACTTTTAAAACTATTTTGTCATATTGTCCTATTTGTTGCATGGTTTCCCTTTTGTTCTTTATATATTTGAACATTTTAAATGTGTTTATTTTTAAAGGCCATTTCTGATTCCTTCATTTACTGATTTATTGAACAAGTATTTATTGAACACCTACCAGATACCAGACACTGTTTTAAGTTGGGGGTGGATTCATCAGTTAACAAAACAGTGAAAAATTGTTGCTCTAGAGGAACTTACATTCCAACAGTGAGAAACAGACAATAACGAGATGAAAATATTAAATAAAGAAATCATTGATTAGAAGGTGACAAGACTTAGGCCAGGCACAGTGGCTCATGCCTGTAATCCCAGCACTTTGGGAGGCCGAGGCAGGCAGATCACGAGGTCAGGAGTTCGAGACCAGCCTGACCAATATGGTGAAACCCCGTCTCTACTAAAAAATACAAAAATTAGCCAGGCGTGGTGGCACACGCCTGTAGTCCCAGCTACTCAGGAGGCTGAGGTGGGTGAATCACTTGAACCCGGGAGGCGGAGATTGCAGTGAGCTAAGATCGTGCCACTGCACTCCAGCCTGGGCGACAGAATGAGACTCCGTCTCAAAAAAAAAAAAAACAAAAAACAAACAAACAAAAAAAACTCAACCCAACCCAAACAAAAGAGAAGGTGACAAGACTTATTGAAAAGATAGAACAGGATGAGGAGGTTTGGGAATGCAAGAGGTCGGGGAGTACAGTATTAAATATAAGCAATGACTTGAAAAAGGTGAGAAAGCTAGCCATGAAGACATCTATGGTCGGGGGAGACTATTTCAAGAAGAGGAAAAACTTCTGCAGGGTTTTGGAGGTGGAAGCATGCCCAGTGTTTAGAGGAATAACGAGAAGGTTAGAGCAGCTGGAGCAGAGTGAGCAAAGCTGAGAGTAGGTATTGATGAAGTCATAAATGTAAGGAGGTCAGGTTGAGTAAGGCTTTGGAAGCCATTGTATAGATTTTGGCTTTAACTCTGAATGAAATGGAGAATGATTAGAGAGTTTTGAGCAGAAGAATGGCATGACCTGACTTGTTTATTAAAAGAGTCACAGTGTTGAGAATAGACTGTGGGAGGAAGGGCAGGAATGGAAGTTAAGGAGTCCAGTTAGGAGGCTATCCCAGCAGTCCAAATGAGAGATGATAATGGCTTGAAGCAGGGTGGTAACCGTAGAAGTTATGAGAAGTGGTCAGATTCTGAAAATATATATGTGTGTGTGTGTATATATATATATATATTTTTTTTTTTTTGAGATAAAGTTTCGCCCTTGTCACTCAGGCTGGAGTGCAGTGGTGCCGTCTCGGCTCACTGCAACCTCCGCCTCCCAGGTTCAAGCGATTCTCCAGCCTCAGCCTCCCAAGTAGCTGGATTACAGGCGCATGCCACCACACCTGGCTAATTTTTGTATTATTAGTAGAGACGGGGTTTCACCGTGTTGGCCAGGCTGGTCTTGAACTTCTGACCTCAGGTGATCCACCCGCTTCGGCCTCCCAAAGTGCTGGGATTACAGGTGTGAGCCACCGTGCCTGGCCTTCTGAAAATATTCTGAAGGAAGAGCCCTTACATTTGTTGGCATTTGATGACGGGTGTGAGAAAAAGAGAGGAGTTAGGGATGACGTGAGCAACTGGGAGGATAATGTTGCATTAACTAAGATGGGAAAAATTATGGGAAGAACTCGCAGCTTAGGGATGTTTTCTTCCTTCTTTCCTTCCTTCCTTCCTTCCTTCCTTCCCTCCTCCTCCTTCTTCTTCTTCCCCTTCCTTCCTTCTCTCTCTCTCTTTCTTTCCTTCCTTCTTTCTTTCTTTCTTTCTTTCTTTCTTTCTTTCTTTCTTTCTTTCTTTCCTTCCTTCCTTCCTTCCTTCCTTCCTTCCTTCCTTCCTTCCTTCCCTCCCTCCCTCCCTCCCTCCCTCTTTCTTTCTTTCTTTCTTTCTTTCTTTCTTTCTTTCTTTCTTTCTTTCTTTCTTTCTTTCTTTCTTTCTTTTTCTCTCTTTCTCTCTTTCCTTTCTTCTTTCCTCCTTTCTTCTTTCAAGACAGGGTCTCTCACTGTGTTGCCCAGACTGGAATGCAGTGGCATGGTCAGCTCACTGCAACTTCTGCTTCCCAGGCTCAAATGATCCTCCCAACTCAGCCTCCCAAGTAGCTGGGACTGCAGGCACACACTGCCAGACTCACCTCATTTTAAATTTTTTTCTAGAGACAGGGTCTCACTATATTGCCCAAGCTGGTCTCAAACTTCTGGGCTCAAGCAGTCCTCCCACCTCAGCCTCCCAAAGTGTTGGGATTATAGGCATGAGCCATTGTGCCTAGCCAATGGTGTTTTCTTTGGGGGGAGGAGTAATATCAAGGACTTAGTTGTGAAAATGTTTATGACTGAGAAGCCCCTTAGACATCCAACTGGAGATGTAATACAGGACTGGAAATTTGAATTTGGGGATCATCAGCATGGATGGTCTTAAAGCTGTAAGTCTGGAGGATGGACACTAAGGTAGATAGCAACAAGGACCAAGGACTGAGTTTTGAAGTACACCCAAAGTTAAGAGATTAGGGGAAAAAAAGGAGGAATTAGCAAAAGAGACTTACAAGTGACTAGTGAGGTAGAAGGTAAGCAAAGTGAAGAAAGTATTTACAGGAAGAAGGAATGATGAACAATGTCAGCTACTGCTGATAGATTACATAGGTTGACAATTGAGAAGTGACCATTAGAGTTAGGACCTGTAGGTCATTGCTAAACTTGACAAAAGTTTTGGTGGAGTATGGTGGGGTTCAAGGAGATAATGTCTGATGAGAGTAGGTTTAAGAGAAGATGGTGGAATGGTGGCAGGTAAATAAGAGATAAGATATAGAGATGATTTCTAAACTCAGGGTATTTCTTTGTTTTGATTTTTGTTTTTCTTTTTATTATTATTATTATACTTTACGTTCTAGGGTACATGTGCACAACAAGCAGGTTTGTCACATATGTATACATATGCCATGTTGGTGTGCTGCACCCATTAACTCATCATTTACATTAGGTATATCTCCTAATGCTATCCCTCCCCACTCCCCCCACCCCATGACAGGCCCTGGTGTGTGATGTTCCCCTTCCTGTGTCCAAGTGTTCTCATTGTTCAATTCCCACCTATGAGTGAGAACATGCGGTGTTTGGTTTTTTGTCCTTGTGATAGTTTGCTGAGAATGATGGTTTCCAGCTTCATCCATGTCCCTACAAAGGACATGAACTCATCATTTTTTATGGCTGCATAGTATTCCCTGGTGTATATGGGCCACATTTTCTTAATCCAGTATATCACTGATGGACATTTGGGTTGGTTCCTAGTCTTTGCTATTGTGAATAATGCCACAATAAACATCCGTGTGCATGTGTCTTTATAGCAGCATGATTTATAATCCTTTGGGTATATACCCAGTAATGGGATGGCTGGGTCAAATGGTATTTCTAGTTCTAGATCCTTGAGGAATTGCCACACTTTCTTCCACAATGGTTGAACTAGTTTACAGTCCCACCAACAGTGTAAAAGTGTTCCTATTTCTCCACATCCTCTCCAGCACCTGTTCTTTCCTGACTTTTTAATGATTTTTATTCTAACTGGTGTGAGATGGTATCTCATTGTGGTTTTGATTTGCATTTCTCTGATGGCCAGTGATGGTGTGCATTTTTTCATGTGTCTTTTGGCTGCATAAATGTCTTCTTTTGAGAAGTGTCTGTTCATATCCTTTGCCCACTTGTTGATGGGGCTGTTTGTTTTTTTCTTGTAAATTTGTTTGAGTTCATTGTAGATTCTGGATATTAGCCCTTTGTCAGATGAGCAGGTTGCAAAAATTTTCTCCCATTTTGTAGGTTGCCTGTTCACTCTGACGGTAGTTTCTTTTGCTGTGCAGAAGCTCTTTAGTTGAATTAGATCCCATTTGTCAATTCTGGCTTTTGTTGCCATTGCTTTTGGTGTTTTAGACATGAAGTCCTTGCCCATACCTATGTCCTGAATGGTAATGCCTAGGTTTTCTTCTAGGGTTTTTATGGTTTTAGGTCTAACGTTTAAGTATTTGATCCATCTTGAATTAATTTTTGTATAAGGTGTAAGGAAGGGATCCAGTTTCAGCTTTCAACATATGTCTAGCCAGTTTTCCCAGCACCATTTATTAAATAGGGAATCCTTTCCCCATGTCTTGTTTTTGTCAGGTTTGTCAAAGATCAGATGGTTGTAGATGTGTGGTATTATTTCTGAGGGCTCTGTTCTGTTCCATTGGTCTATATCTCTGTTTTGGTACCAGTACCATGCTGTTTTGGTTACTGTAGCCTTGTGGTATAGTTTGAAGTCAGGTAGCATGATGCCTCCAGCTTTGTTCTTTTGGCTTAGGATTGTCTTGGCAATGCGGGCTCTTTTTTGGTTCCATATGAACTTTAAAGTAGTTTTTTCCAATTCTGTGAAGAAAGTCATTGGTAGCTTGATGGGGGGGATGGCATTGAATCTATAAATTACCTTGGGCAGTGTGGCCATTTTCACAATATTGATTCTTCCTATCCATGAGGGTAGAATGTTCTTCCATTTGTTTGTGTCCTTTTTTATTTCGTTGAGCAGTGGTTTGTAGTTCTCCTTGAAGAGGTCCTTCACATCCCTTGTAAATTGGATTCCTAGGTATTTTATTCTCTTTGAAGCAATTGTGAATGGGAGTTCACTCATGATTTGGCTCTCTGTTTGTCTGATATTGGTGTATAAGAATGCTTGTGATTTTTGCACATTGATTTTGTATCCTGAGACTTTGCTGAAGTTGCTTATCAGCTTAAGGACATTTTGGGCTGAGACGATGGGGTTTTCTAAATATACAATCATGTCATCTGCAAACAGGGACAATTTGACTTCTCTTTTCCTAATTGAATACCATTTATTTCTTTCTCCTGCCTGATTGCCCTGGCCAGAACTTCCAACACTATGTTGAATAGCAGTGGTGAGAGACGGCATCCCTGTCTTGTGCGAATTTTCAAAGGGAAAGCCTCCGGTTTTTGCCCATTCAGTATGATATTGGCTGTGGGTTTGTCATAAATAGCTCTTATTATTTTGAGATACGTCCCATCAATACCTAATTTATTGAGAGTTTTTAGCATGAAGGGCTGTTGAATTTTGTCAAAGGCCTTTTCTGCATCTATTGAGATAACCATGTGGTTTTTGTCATTGGTTCTGTTTATATGCTGGATTACGTTTATTGATTTGTCTATGTTGAACCAGCCTTGCATCCCTGGGATGAAGCCCACTTGATGATGGTGGATAAGCTTTTTGATGTGCTGCTAGATTCTGTTTGCCAGTATTTTATTGAGGATTTTTATATCAGTGTTCATCAGGGATATTGGTCTAAAATTCTCTTTTTTTTGTTGTTTCTCTGCCAGACTTTGGTATCAGGATGATGCTGGGCTCATAAAATGAGTTAGGGAGGATTCCCTCTTTTCCTATTGATTGGAATAGTTTCAGAAGGAATGGTACCAGCTCCTCCTTGTACCTCTGGTAGAATTCGACTGTGAGTCCGTCTGGTCCCGGAGTTTGTTTGGTTGGTAGGTTATTAATTATTGCCTCAATTTCAGAGCCTGTTATTGGTCTATTCAGGGATTCAGCTTCTTCCTGGTTTAGTCTTGGGAGGGCGTATGTGTCCAGGAATTTATCCATTTCTTCTACATTTTCTAGTTTATTTGTGTAGAGGTGTTTATAGTATTCTCTGATGGCAGTTTGTATTTCTGTGGGATCGGTGGTGATATCCCCTTTATCATTTTTTATTGCGTCTGTTAGATTCTTCTCTCTTTTCTTCTTTATTAGTCTTGCTAGCGGTCTATCAATTTTGTTGATCTTTTCAAAAAACCAGCTCCTGGATTCACTGATTTTTTTGGAGGGTTTTTTTTTTTTTAAATTCTGCTCTATTTTATGTAGCATTTTCTCCATGTCTGTCCAATCTGCTGTCTTGATTGGAAGCCCTATGGCCTTTCCCCCACCACTTCCAAAAAAGTAAAATGCAAGGATCTCCTAAAAATTAGAGCACTTTAACAATAAGCCACCACAGGGAAAATGCAAAGATTTGGGAACAGACTTCTTGAATGCCCTCTTCCCCCTCTCCCCCTACATATTTGCAGTTTACATAACCATCAGGTATTGGAGTTTGCATTTGAAGCCTACTCTATATCCAGCCTCAAAACCCATGCCTCTCTTTTCAAATCCTTTAGCACACTATTCGTGGAGACAATTATGGAATAAAGGTGAATCCAAAACTCCACTGAAAACTGTAAAAGCATGTTGATTTTCTTCCTATCTCCATGCATGCATTTTCACCTTAGTCCTAATTGCATTTTAAACTGTTATCTTTTTGCTTCCAAAGTAGTTTCTTGGCTTTGTTTTTTCCAGGCCAATTACCATTACTGCACATGATGCTGTCATTTAAGTTAATTTAAGCTCACTGCATTTATATTGATAAGCCCGAACATACGAATACCCAAAAGTGGACATCTTAATTAACATTTGAGAATATAAGTTTATGTTGAAAATAATCCAGAAAGCAAAGAGTTAGTGATTAAATCGATAGATGGCTATGAAGAAGAACAGAAGGAAGAGGAAAGAGACAGGTCATATCTCCTCTTAATGAATACCGATTCACCATAATGTCATTGTAAGTAATGAAAAGATTGTCACATCCCCAGCAACATATCACTTATTAGGGAGTATAAAACATAGTCATTTGAACAGTGAGGTTGCACAGTTTCCTGAAGTTGAAATGCTGGGATGTGATCCAACAAACAGATTCTTTGTAGAAAAATCACCATGGGTCTGTGTCTTAAGCCAATCCAGAACAAAAGCAAACAAAATATTTTGTCAGGGATGTAAAATATTTCACTGCTAAACCAGGTACTTAAATTTCAATGGACAGTGATCCACAGACTATTCAAAAAGGATTCAGTTGTTCAGGAAATAGGACAGGATCACTCAATAGAAATATTATGTATGTAGTTTAAGGCAACAAATGGCTTAAAGGTAGCCAGGCTTAGGAAAAAGAGCATTGGGTTTGGAGTCAATGGATTCTATCTCTCACTCTGCTCCTGTCTGTCTGTATGGCCTTGCCCTCTTTGACACTATCCAGTGAGAACATTGGACTAGAAGCTCTTAGAGGCCTTTTCACCTCTCTGCTTAAAATAGTTTTGCTAATAATACTTTCAACTTTAATCTGCCTAAAGACATGCAATAGTTGTTAAACAGCCCCTGGTTGGCCTTTTCTTGCTCTAAGCCTAGGATGCAAGTGCAGGAACTCTGGGAAAATGGCCTTATCAGTGGTGGTGCAGGTCTCCCACTGCTGTCCCATTTCTCTGTGAACCAGTTTGTTTGGGTCTAATAATGAGGAATGGGAGATGAGGTGACTACCATCCTTGGCAACTATCATGACAGCATCCTACTGACACCACTGAAAGGCAGAATTGTTTTTGCCATGCCTTTTGATCTATAAACATTTTTTGATGCCTTTATTTTTAGTGTTATGTATACTGTGTTTCTCTTCTTCAGTTTGTCAGTGTATACCTTGTGGCATCTATAATCTCCGCTTGTTATCTTCCAGCAATATTTTTAAGGAGGTATTTGATGATGATTTTTGTTAGGTTTTCAGTTGATTGCAGCAGTGTTAGAAATTGTGATGTGAAATGCATCAAAGTTTGTATTCTGCCTGTGTTTCCTATTCTTTCTAACTCCAAAATGCAATGTCCTATCTTTCTCTTTTGGAAATGTACAGGACCAAATTGATATTGCAGAGGTTGAGCAGTATGGACCACAAGAAAACGTTCACATGTTTGTAGATTCTGATTCAACTTATTGCTCCAGTACAGTTTTCCTGGATACTATGCCTGAATCTCCAGGTAGGTACATTTATGCATTTGGATAGGGACTATTAGAAGAAAAACAGTGACCCCCAGGGTAGTTACAGTTTTTCAAATGAATATAATGCTCTATAATACTGTGAAATCCCAGAGTGAATTCCAACTTTCTTCATCTTCTGTAAATATTTGAGATGATGATTTGAGAATAATAAAAATGAGTATTTCATCACAGATTCAAGTCTTTTCTCCTATTTAATTTTAATCTTCTAAAAATTGGCGCTGGATCTCAATCCTTGAAGGAATAGCGTTTTATCTTTTTATACTCGTGTAGTCTATTCTGCTATCACACAGTATTTGGATTCCAAAGAAACCTCTTGTTATTGAGTTTTCATGCCAATAAAGGGGGAAAGTGAGAGTCTCTCAAAAACAGTGATATTTCTTTAATGAGTTTCAATATTAAAGATATTTCGTAACCGTAATTGTTTGAAAAGTACAAAACTTAAGGAAATGGTGGATGCATAATACAAATTATATCTCCTAATTAATCTTATCATAAATAATTGGTATGTGGAATCTCCTTATATAGAAGTAATAAGCTCTATTTTAATTTTTATTTCACTCTTTTTCAGTTTTTAAATCCAGTTTTAGTATCTCCAACTTTTAAAATTCTTAGTTAACAACTTTTCCATTGTTGCTGTCAATCTCAAAGCTGTGTTTAAAAAATTCCTTCCAAAACAATTGATTTTTGGCAGGAGAGGTCAAACTCCATGAACTCATAATTGTGATTTCTAAAATTTATAAGAGCATTGATTGCTTTAAACCTATTTATCTGGACCTACCATTGTAACTTTGCTATAGAGAATTATTTGTATTCACTACTGTTAAGCCAATGATGGAGAAATCCTTATAACCTTCCACAGATGACTGTTCCAACAAAATGAGCATATTGAAATGGCTAGCAGCTTATGGCTGATATGGTAGAAGTCAAGTAACTCCTGGGTTTCTCACTATCACTTACAGATAATTTAGTAGCTTTGTTTACTTGGAATCAGAAAATTAAAAAATGGTAAACTGGGCCGGGCACGGTGGCTCATGCCTGTAATCCCAGCACTTTGAGAGGCCGAGGTGGGCGGATCATGAGGTCAGGAGATCGAGACCATCCTGGCTAACACGGTGAAACCCCGTCTCTACTAAAAATACAAAAAATTAGCCGGGCGTGGTGGCAGGCACGCCTGTAGTCCCAGCTATTCAGGAGGCTGGGGCAGGAGAATGGCATGAACTCGGGAGGCGGGGCTTGCAGTGAGCCGAGCTCTTGCCACTGCACTCCAGCCTGGGCGACAGAGCAAGACTCCGTCTCAAAAAAAAAAAAGAAAAATATGCTAAAATGATTTGGAAAATGGCTTTTAGTGGAAAAAAGAGTTAAGCAGAAGAATTTAGCCAACAGTCTAAACACTGGAAGTATCCAGAAACCAGAATTTTTCAAAATATTTTCAATGGTCATCCCAAACTCATGCTATGATTAAAGGACAATTCGCTCATGACCATAGCATGGTAAGGTATGCAACCCCAGGCTGCAGAAAGCAGATAGGAAGTGACGGAGTGGTTCATTCTGCCTAATCCAGATGTTTCTCTTTTCCAAACTTTTAATCTTGAAATAATTTTGGACTTGAAGAGTTGCAAAAATAGCACAAAGAAAAAAATAGAAAAATAAGGGAAAGATACCATTTAGGATAACCTTCATTTAGCTTCCCCTAATGTAACATTTTACATAACCACAGTACAGCTGGCAAAACTAAGAAGTTAACATTGATGCAATACTTTTAAGTGAGCTTCAGCCTTTATTCAGTTTTCCCAGAAAGTTGTTTTTCTGTTCCAATAACTAATCCAGGATCCCTCATTGAATTTAAATAATATGTGTTTTTAGTTTCTTCCAGTCTTTGACAGTGTCTCATTCTTGCTTTTTTTTTTTTTTATCATCCGATACTTTTGAAGGATATGGGCCAGGTATTTGACAGAATGTCCCTCAATTTGGGTTCGTCTGATGATTTTTCAAGATGAGATTGAGGTCTTGCATTTTGGGGAAGAATACCACAGATGTGATGTGCCCTCCTTAGGGCATCATATCAGAATATACATGATGGTATGTTTTATTGCTGGTGGTGTTAACTTGATTGCTTGGTTAAGGTGGTACTGTTTTCCCCTTTGTACTTATCAAATATTTGAGGGGAGCTACATTGAGAACATGCACATAATGTTTTCTGTTTCTCCTTAAACTCTCCTTCACATTTAGCATCATCAGTGGAATTGGCCTACAGCAATTACTTCTAATGCCAATTTTTTATTTCCCTCGTTTTTTGTATATTTATTAACTGCAATCTTGCTGTAAGAAAGAGTTGTTCCTTGTCTCTCTTTCATTCATTTATTCGTACATTCATTTACATCAGGATGAATCCATGGGCATTTTTTTATTATTTGGTTTGCAATCCAATACCGTCATTAAAAAAAAATTGTTCCAGCTTTGGCTCATGGGGCTCTTTTAGGTTGGCTCCCTTGTCCTTTTATCATGTCTGCATCTTTTTTTTTCCCTTCACTTCCTTATTTCCATTATTACATGTTGTCATTTAAATCAACCCCTTCTTTAAGGAACCTTATTTAGGTCCTTTATTTGGAGAGTGGTATTTAGAAACGAAGATCTGGGTGCTAGTTGTACTCATTGTTACAGGTGTGTCACTACTTCTAAACCCTCTCAGTGGACTAGGAAAGATGTCTATTCATACTAACCCATGCAACCATATACAACCATCTGTATTTATTTCAGCATGTAACAACCAACAACAACAACAACAACAGGAGTTCATTGATAGTTCCTACTCCAGCCCAGTATCATAGGGTTCATTCTAGCCTTTTCTGTCTGCTTATTTGTAATTTGTATCTCTGACAGTGAGAAATCTGGCTTTCATTATCTATGGTATATTTATTGATTTTTCCAATACATAAACATTCATAAAAAGTAGTTTCACAATTGCTAACCTGTACCCCTTAAGGAACAAATTTACCATTTGGAATTAATTTGTGTGTGCATTTTTTTTGTCTTTAGCTTTGCAGTATCCAGGCAAACCTCTGTTTTCTGAAGTTCCTGCGTTAGCTTCTTTATTTCTCACCCCCATCACTGTGGATATGTCATTTATCTGTAATAGAATTAGATTCATTTGTTACAGTCTGTATTTTCGCCTAGGTTTTCCTGCCTCCTGATCAATTTCTTTTCAATTTTATATACAGTAAAATTCACTCTTTGATATATACAGTTCTATGGATTTTGACAAATGTTGAGAGTCATGTATCCATCACCACAGTACCAAACAGAATAGTTCCATCACCCCCAAAATTCCTTTGTGCTCCCTCTTTGTACTCAACCTTTGTCTCCCATCCCCTGACAACCACTGATCTGTATTTCACCTCTGAAGGTTTCCCTTTTCCAGAATGTCATGTAAGAGGAATCATATGACATCTAGCCTTTTTGGTCTAGCCCCTTTCACTTAGCAAAATGCATTTAGGATTCATCCACGTTTGCATGAATCAACGGTTCATTCCCTTTTATTGCTGAGTAATACTGCATCTTATGAATATATCAGGTTTTAAAACTTCATTCACCTGTAAAAGAACATCTGGATTGTTTCCAAGTGTTTTTTGATCATGAATAAAGCTACATTAAACATTTGCGTAGAAGTTTTTGTGTTGTATGAATATAAGTTTTCAACTCCTGGTTGCGGGACTGCTGGGTCATTTGGGAAGTATGTGTTTAACTTTATTAGAAACTGACAAAATGTTTTCAAAAATGACTGTACCATTTTGCATTATTCAAATAATGTTCTCCACTGTGCTTTTCAGGGCTGTTGAAACCAAGTCATGTCATAACACCTCCCAGAGAACTTTGAGCACTCCCGAGGTCCCACATTCTGGGCAACCCGATTGTGCAGAAGTGATTTATGACTAGATTTTATTTGGTTTTATCGGTTGGATGGTACTAAATCTCCAAAAGCAGAGCCAAAATAATTTTATAATGAATGAAATGACACTAACAAATGCAGTGGGTTTAGGCACTAGCTTAAGCTGGAGGGTAGGCAGTGGTAACTTCAAACACTCTCTCCCTTTTCTTCATTTTCAAATATGAACAGATTTTTAAAATAATATTCTGAATGATTCCTGGCACCTGGCACATCTCATCCTTAACATGGGCTAAAATGACCCTCGTACAGTCTTTTTGATAACATTAGTACTTTTGCTTTTTAAGTCATGAACTCCCCTGTGCTTTCTTCCTCAGCCTTATCCTTGCAAGACTTTCGAGGTGAGCCTGAGGTGAATCCATTGTACAGGGCAGACCCAGTGGACCTGGAGTTCTCGGTGGATCAGGTGGACTCAGTGGACCAGGAGGGCCCAATGGACCAGCAGGACCCAGAGAACCCAGTTGCCCCGTTGGACCAGGCAGGCCTGATGGATCCAGTGGATCCAGAGGACTCAGTGGACCTGGGGGCTGCTGGCGCAAGTGCTCAGGTACTCTGAAAGTCTCGCTTCACTCGCTTCACGTTTGTCTGGATAGCTAACCTTGCAAAGCCCAAATTTTCACTCTTGTGACCAGTTTCACTTCACAGAAAGTATGTTTGTTACTTTTTCAAAACTATATCACTATTTCTGTTATACTGGATTTTCAGATGCCGTTGAGAACTCAATGGACCCTCACAAACAGGGAGATTGGAGGTTCTCTAAGTAAGACCAAATCCCTGTGCTCTTCTTAATATGAAATCCCATGGACACTTTGTACTTGAGGAAAAGTTTGAGCCAAATAAGAAGCTTAGCTGCTAAGAAAAGGTGGTATTTTTAAGAGCCCTGCTTTTAATCACCTGTGAGAGCATGCTAACCATCTAGAGGGAAGACAACTTTCTGGCCTTCCCATACCAACCCTCTCCCTGCACCACAAGCTAGGTTTTCCCAGTGGAATTTTTATTAGGTTAGAACATGCATTTCAGAGTCGTTAGATATACCCAACCTTGAAACATCAGTACCAATGTACAGTCCACGGCCAAATCAAAATGGTTGGATTAACTACTGTGTAGTTCCTCTACCCTGAAATGTGTGTACATAACCACAGATTTCGATGATCATCTTTTATATTAGACAGGATTATTAAAATCAGGATTAGAAGCCAAGCTAATGAGTTGATGGTCAGTTACCTGGAATTGTGTGCGTTCATCACTGAGCCTAAGATTGAGTGACTCCGGTTCAAAAGGATCCTCATCCAGTGAAAATAATTAAGGGCTAGAACACAATTGTTTGAGTTTGGCCCCAGCAGTGTGGCCTTGGCAAATTACTGAGCCTCAGTTTCTCCATGTTGAAATGGTCTTGCCTTGCGGGGATTTGCAGACTGCTGTGAAAATTCTTTGAGCTATTTAAAAGGAAATTTCTGTGAAAATCTGCTGTGGCCTGATTTATGTCCTTATCATGCCAAAAAGTTGTGGTCCCCCTTTCACTGTTGACAGGTTTATCTTCTCTTTTGAATTAACTTGTAATTAAATTTTGAAGTATAACTTTTAAAAAATCACCAAAATAACCAGCAATGAACGTGTGTCATCTGGCTCTGCATGTGCTAGTGTATTAGGCTTATTCCTGGGTGCCATGTATCAGCAACCTGGAGTGTATCCAGAAGATGGAGACCAGGATGAGGAAGGGGCTGGAAAACATCTTAATCAGTTGCCGAAGACACTGAGAAGGGAAGAATGGGAAGGGACAGGACAGCTTTATCCAAGTAGTTGAAGGGTCATAAAGTGGAAGATATGGTTCCAGAGGATCAAGGAAGCAGTCTGACACTATTAGCCCTTCTCAGACGGATTAGGTCACCTCTCAAAATAGCAAGTCCTCTCTCCTTCGATGGAGTGGTGAGAGTCAATGCTTGGCAGCTCCTTTTCCAGGAAAAGCAAAGAAAATTTCTGCTTGGAGAGGGTGAGAGGATGTGATAACCTGTAGGGTTTGTCTCTTCTAGTCCTGAGTTTAGAGGGGTGTGTGTGTGTGTCTGTGTGGGTGTGTACACGCGCGTGCATGTGTGTGTGTGTGTTTTTTTTTTTTTGGTCTAATGAATGTCTGCTTTCTTATAGGAAGAGACATACAATACATAGTGAAAGAAGGACAAGTTGAACAATTTTCAATGGACTAAAAATACATATATAATTTTTATTCCAAATAATGAAAACAACAACTTGTAGGGTATTCTCTCTCTCTCTCTCAACTCATCTATGTACTTACATTACTCATAAAGGGTATTGATGAACCACAGTATAAGTCTATTTTTGGTTTCTGAAAGTTGCAAGTGTAGGTACCTTTTTCTTATCATTAATGTTGTAAATTCTTTATCGATCAGGACTGTGGCTCTCTGACCTTGTTTATATGCATGGTATCCAGCATAGTTCAGGGCAAATAGCAATTGTTCCCAGGCCCGACTTCCAGCCTTGAAAGATAATTATTTTCCAAGAATCTCATCTCTTTTCTGTCCCTCTCGGCCAATCAGTTGAGAAGTCTCATCCACCTTTTTTTTTCTCCTTTTTTTTTTAATTATACTTTAAGATTTAGGGTACATGTGCACAACGTGTAGGTTTGTTTCATACGTATACATGTACCATGTTGGTGTGCTGCACCTATTAACTCATCATTTAACATTAGGTATATCTCCTAATGCTATCCCTCCCCACTCCCCCCACCCCATGACAGGCCCTGGTGTGTGATGTTCCCCTTCCTGTGTCCAAGTGTTCTCATTGTTCAATTCCCACCTATGAGTGAGAACATGCGGTGTTTGGTTTTTTGTCCTTGTGATAGTATGCTGAGAATGATGGTTTCCAGCTTCATCCATGTCCCTACAAAGGACATGAACTCATCATTTTTTATGGCTGCATAGTATTCCCTGGTGTATATGGGCCACATTTTCTTAATCCAGTATATCACTGATGGACATTTGGGTTGGTTCCTAGTCTTTGCTATTGTGAATAGTGCCACAATAAACATCCGTGTGCATGTGTCTTTATAGCAGCATGATTTATAATCCTTTGGGTATATACCCAGTAATGGGATGGCTGGGTCAAATGGTATTTCTAGTTCTAGATCCTTGAGGAATTGCCACACTTTCTTCCACAATGGTTGAACTAGTTTACAGTCCCACCAACAGTGTAAAAGTGTTCCTATTTCTCCACATCCTCTCTAGCATTTGTTGTTTCCTGACTTTTTAATGATTTTTATTCTAACTGGTGTGAGATGGTATCTCATTGTGGTTTTGATTTGCATTTCTCTGATGGCCAGTGATGCTGAGCATTTTTTCATGTGTCTTTTGGCTGCATAAATGTCTTCTTTTGAGAAGTGTCTGTTCATATCCTTCGCCCACTTGTTGATGGGGTTGTTTGTTTCTTGTCAATTTGTTTGAGTTCATTGTAGATTCTGGTTATTAGCCGTTTGTCAGATGAGTAGATTGCAAAAATTTTCTCCCATTCTGTAGGTTGCCTGTTCACTCTGATGGTAGTTTCTTTTGCTGTGCAGAAGCTCTTTAGTTTAATTAGATCCCATTTGTCAATTTTGGCTTTTGTTGCCATTGCTTTCGGTGTTTTAGACATGAAGTCCTTGCCCACGCCTATGTCCTGAATGGTATTGCCTAGGTTTTCTTCTATGGCTTTGTGGTTTTACGTCTAACATTTAAGTCTTTAATCCATCTTGAATTAATTTTTGTATAAGGTGTAAGGAAGGGATCCAGTTTCAGCTTTCTACATATGGCTAGCCAGTTTTCCCAGCACCATTTGTTAAATAGGGAATCCTTTCCCCGTTTCTTGTTTTTGTCAGATTTGTCAAAGATAAGATGGTTGTAGATATGTGGCATTATTTCTGAGGGCTCTGTTCTGTTCCATTGGTCTGTATCTCTGTTTTGGTACCAGTACCATGCTGTTTTGGTTACTGTAGCCTTGTGGTATAGTTTGAAGTCAGGTAGCATGATGCCACCAGCTTTGTTCTTTTGACTTAAGATTGACTTGGCAATGCAGGCTCTTTTTTGGTTCCATATGAACTTTAAAGTAGTTTTTTCCGATTCTGTGAAGAAAGCCATTGGTAGCTTGATGGGGACGGCATTGAATCTATAAATTACCTTGGGCAGTGTGGCCATTTTCACGATATTGATTCTTTCTCATACCTGATTGCCCTGGCCAGAACTTGCAACACTATGTTGAATAGGAGTGGTGAGAGACGGCATCCCTGTCTTGTGCCAGTTTTCAAAGGGAATGCTTCCAGTTTTTGCCCATTCAGTATGATATTGGCTGTGCGCTTGTCATAGATAGCTGTTATCATTTTGAGATACGTCCCATCGATACCTAATTTACTGAGAGTTTTTAGCATGAAGGGTTGTTGAATTTTGTCAAAGATCTTTTCTGCATCAACTGAGATAATCGTATGGTTTTTGTCATTGGTTCTGTTTATATGCTGGATTACGTTTATTGATTTGCATATGTTGAACCAGCCTTGCATCCCAGGGATGAAGCCCACTTGATCATAGTGGATAAGCTTTTTGATGTGCTGCTGGATTCGGTTTGCCAGTATTTTATTGAGGATTTTTGAAAAGATCAACAAAATTGATAGACCGCTAGCAAGACTAATAAAGAAGAAAAGAGAGAAGAATCAAATAGACGCAATAAAAAATGATAAAGGGGATATCACCGCCAATCCCACAGAAATACAAACTACCATCAGAGAATACTATAAACACCTCTACGCAAATAAACTAGAAAATCTAGAAGAAATGGATAAATTCCTCAACACATGCACCCTCCCAAGACTAAACCAGGAAGAAGCTGAATCTCTGAATAGACCAATAACAGCCTCTGAAATTGAGGCAATAATTAATAGCTTACCAACCAAAAAAAGTCCAGGACCAGATGGATTCACAGCTGAATTCTACCAGAGGTACAAGGAGGAGCTGGTACCATTCGTTCTGAAACTATTCCAATCAATAGAAAAAGAGGGAATCCTACCTAACTCGTTTTATGAGGCCAGCATCATCCTGATACCAAAGCCTGGCAGAGACACAACAAAAAAAAAAGAGATTTTTTTTTTTTTCAGAGATGGGGTTTTTGCTTTGTTGCCCAGGCTGGTCTCAAGCCTCAAGCAGTTCTCCCACGTCAGCCTCCTGAGTACCTGGGATTACAGATGCAAGCCACCACACCCAGCTCAGCCTCTTTTTTATTACTGTTTTTTAAACTTTATTTTACTTTAAGATATTGTGGATGTTAATCTTTTTCTTAGAATTTTGTTTATTTTTGATATATTGCAGTTGTACATATTATATATACTATATGTGTGTGTGTATATATATATATATATACACTATATAGTATACATAGTTTAGTGCCAATTGATGGTTTTCATATTATATATATACTATGTATAGTGTATATATATACACTATATATATTATGTTGTACATAGTTTTGGATACATGTATATATTTGGATACATATACACAATGTGTAATGATCAAGTCAGGGTAATCAGGATACCCATCACTTCAAATATTTGTTTTTTCTTTGTGTTGGGAGCATTACAATTCTTTTAGCTATTTTAAAATATACAATAGATTGTTTTAACTCTAATTTTCCTACTTGAGTACTAGAACTTGTTCCTAACGTTTAACTGTATTTTGGTACCCAGTAATCAACTTCTCTTCATCCCCCTCTTCCCCATTCCCTTCCTAGCCTCTGGTAACCACCATTCTACTCTCCACCTCCATGATATCAACATTTTTAACTTTCACATATGAGTGAGAACATGTGATATTTGTCTTTCTGTACCTGGCTTATTTCACTTAACATAATGACCTCCAGTTCCATCCATGTTGCTGCAGGTGATGTGAATTTATTATTTTTATGGCTGAATAATATTCTATTCTGTATATATAACACATTTTCTTTAGCCATTTGTCTGTTGATGAATACTTGGGTTAATTCCAAATTTTGGCTATTGTGAATAGTACTGCAACGAACATGGGAGTGCAGATACCTTTTTGATCTACTGATTTCCTTTCTTCTGGTGTATACTCAGCAGTGGGATTTGCTGGATCATACGGTAGTTGTATTTTTCGTTCTATAAGGAACCTCCATACTGTTTTCCATAGTGGCTGTACTAATTTACATTCTTACCAACAGTGTATGAGCGTTCTTCTTTTTCCACATCCTCACCAGCATTTGTTATTTTCTTAATTTCTCTCAAATGTGTCTCTATATCGTCTACCTCTGGATTGTTCCATGCCCCTATTATCTCTATCCTGAATTACTCCCACAGCCTTCTAATTGACTTTTCCCAAACTCCACGCTTCGTTTCTCCCACCACTTGATCTTCTGCACAGCTGCCAGAAGGCATGTTTTATAACTGAGTTCTGAGCATCTTACATCCCTGATAAGATCTGGGTTGTAGAACACATCTTCTAGCAGCAGTGCCAGGTGACTGATGAATAAAATCCAAGTTCCTCGGCTGCCTGAACCTGTACAAAACTCTGGTTTCTCCTCTACGTGTGACCTGCCTTATTCCTTCTATTCCAGCTAATTTGGAGCATCATTTGCCCCATAGCACACTCTCTACTTTTATAAACCTGTACATTTGCTTCTTTCCAGATGTGAAGCTGTTATCCAAGTTAAAATTAGATTTCCAGGACCTAGAGGAGAGTCCATCTAAGTACTATATGAGAACAATAATAGTACCTGCTTTTCAGGGCTCTGTGAAGATCAGACCTGTGAGTTTTCGTACAGTGCTTAGAAGAGTGCCTGGAACAAAGGAAGTGCCAGTTGATGGTTTTCATTATTGCATTGCTAACAGGGGCCCTATTGGTGGACTGCCATTTGTGATTTGACCCAGGCGCAGAATACTTTGGCACTGGCCCATGACTCTTCCACTAAGGACTTTGGGCATGTTGCTTCATGTCTCTGGGCCAATTCCACTTCTTTCTTTTTGGGAAAAGAATCAGGCTAAATGATCTCCGTGGTCCATTTCTTATCTAGAATTCCTAAATTCTCTAACCATTTTTTCAAACTTTCTAGTAATGAATGAAATCAGGATTTGAGAGCTACCATTTGCATTCTCAGTCTTTCAGAAATTTTGAAGTGAAACAGGATGGTAAGACTTGGAGAAACCAGTGTTGCTATACATGAACCATAAGTAATTCCTCCCCACAGCCATTACAGCCATCATCACCAGTTGCATATGACATCATTAGCCAGGAACTGGAACTGATGAAGAAGTTGAAGGAGCAGCTAGAAGAGAGGACTTGGTTGCTGCATGATGCCATCCAAAACCAGCAGAATGCATTGGAATTGATGATGGATCACCTTCAGGTCAGTCAGGATGCTAGGTTTCAGGTCAGAGACCAGTTCTATATTAGTAGCAGAAGGAAGAGGAGAGAGGGACCTTGGCAAGCCTTAAGGAGTTAGTCAATGGTGTCTGCCGGTAGTGACAGCTGCTGCCCACAGGGTGATATGGGATATCTAATGTGATCTCCAGCAGGGACTTAGAGTTTTGCCCTTTTTCTCCTGGCTACAAGAGCTGAGATTGGCCCAGCCAGGCCTTGGCAATGGTAGATGTGGCTTATATATAGCCAAGGCTTCCTGTAGGCTTGCCTGTGGGCAGTCCTGCTCCATGCCCAGCTTGTCTTATGCCTTAAGGAAAGGTGTGGACTGTGAATAAGACCTTTGTGATACTGTGTCCTTACAGAAGCAGCCAAACACATTACGCCACGTTGTCATTCCTGATCTCCAATCTTCGGAGGCAGTGCCCAAGAAACAACAGAAACAACACGCTGGGCAAGTGAAGCGGCCTCTCCCACATCCCAAGGACGTCAAGTGTTTCTGTGGTTTATCTTTATCCAACTCTCTCAAAAACACTGGGGAGCTTCAGGAGCCTTGTGTTGCCTTCAACCAGGTATGGAAAGGCTGTTTTAACTGTGTATCTGAAAGGGGATTTTGTTTTCTTGAGGACTTTGACTCACTTGGTTCTCCTTAGGGGGTAGTGACTATCCACTTGGCTGCAATTTATTTGCCCAAGATAGTAAAAAATCCTGGGCTACCTAGACCTGAATGCACATGCTAGACCATGTATACATACATGTACATATGTGCTGGATTAGCAGACTCTCGCTGCCAGGTGCATGGCTGCAGCTAGTATCCAGTCTAACTAAAGTAGACAGTCACACAGATCACTATGTGCAGAGAGGCTCAACTGTTGTCACCTTTTGCTTTGCGAGAATTGAATGGGAGTGTTAAATAAGTTTCTGGGAGGCTCTTGCAGACACCAGGGTGCTTTTATCTGTTGCCTTTCGATGCAGCAGCAACTGGTGCAGCAAGAACAACACCTGAAGGAGCAGCAGCGGCAGCTGCGGGAGCAGCTGCAACAGCTGAGAGAGCAAAGGAAGGTGCAGAAGCAGAAGAAGATGCAGGAGAAGAAGAAGCTGCAGGAGCAGAAAATGCAGGAGAAGAAGAAGCTGCAGGAGCAGAGGCGGCAAAAGAAGAAGAAGCTACAGGAGCGGAAGAAGTGGCAGGGGCAGATGCTACAGAAAGAGCCAGAGGAGGAGCAGCAGAAGCAGCAGCTGCAAGAGCAGCCACTGAAGCATAATGTCATCGTGGGGAATGAGAGGGTGCAGATATGCCTGCAAAACCCACGTGACGTATCTGTGCCCCTCTGCAATCACCCTGTTAGATTTTTACAGGCCCAACCCATTGTTCCTGTCCAGAGAGCAGCTGAACAACAGCCCTCTGGCTTCTATCAAGATGAAAACTGTGGGCAACAGGAAGATGAGAGTCAAAGGTAAGACATGCATGGAATGGTGATAGTGGCTATGATTATTGCTTTTCCCTCATGGCTGGATCCCATGCCTGAGATCACAGACAGACGACCTATCCATGTGGCACCAGCGTCCCTCTCATCAATAGCAACTTGCTCTCAACTTGCCTTCTCTGTGGCCACGGCCATCATCCTTCTGCATGTGTGGTGCATGGATGAGCATCCATTGATGGAACAAAGGGGTACCCATGAAGAAAGGACTAGATAAGGAAGCCTCAATGCTAGGGAATTAGCCCACAAACCTTGAAATCACTTGGCTGGATTCCCCAAGCCCAGTCTCTTGCACAGGGTGTCTATGGACAAGTCTTGTGCCCATAGCTGAAAGACTTCTGGGCTTCCAGTTTCATTCCCCAACTTTCCTGGAATCTGGTGATGGCAGTAGGCCAAGTGCAGGTATCTCCCTGGCATTTATGAACAGTAAGAGGGAAGTGAGTGTGAAACAACTGCTAGATTGCTAAGATCAGCCAAGAACACATGAAGGCTAAGTCCTGAGTGGCAATATAGGGACATGAACACATTTCTGCTCAATAATAAGGTCTTCAGTTCCAAATGCTAGAAAGATAAGGTTCTTCTCAGCAATGAAAGGATTGCTTAGCACATAGTTGGGGCCCACTAAATAGTTTTGAATGAATGTTAGCTTTCTGAGACGGGCCTCCTAAAGCTCTCTGGACTTCCTTCTGGGCCTTGCTTTCGAATCAGTGACTTTGACATGAAGACTGCTTTAGGGCCATATTGTCCACTTGACCTGATCATCAGAATCCACCTGAGGAGGGTTTGGAAAGTATAGATTCAGAGTCTGGGATGGGGTTCAAAAATCTGTATTGATCACAAGACTTCCAGGCTTAGGGTTGTGGAGAGAGCACTGGATTTGGAGTTTGGAAATCTGCCTTACAGTCTCTGCTCAGCCATTAGCTCCCTGAGTGCTTTCAAAGTAGGTGAAATGACTTTCCAAGGCCACAGAGAGCATAGTTGTAGCAGGAACAAGACTGTCCAAGTAATATAAATAAAACCAGGTGAGACAAGGGATTGTAATTTCTCTCAGTGTCTACATTCACATTACTTTGACAAGTTGAATCTTAGTCAGGCCAAAGTGAGAATACAAACAAGTGAATCCTGTGGTGTAGCCACCAAAACCAAATGTGCCTGAAGCACCTACTGATGACCACGTGAGTGTCTCATCAGTTATCATGTCCAGATCCACATCACTGCAACAGCTTTCTTCTCTTACAGTTTTTATCCTGAGGCGTATCAAGGGCCCCCCGTGAACCAGCTGCCATTGATAGATACCTCAAACTCTGAGGCAATTTCTTCTTCCAGCATTCCTCAGTTTCCCATAACTTCAGACTCAACCATAAGCACCCTGGAGACCCCACAGGATTACATCCGGCTTTGGCAAGAGTTGTCTGATTCACTCGGTCCTGTTGTCCAAGTGAACACTTGGTCTTGCGATGAGCAGGGCACCCTGCACGGCCAACCCACCTACCATCAGGTATGGGACAGCCCCCTCCTTTTCCTTCCAGCGCAGGTCAAGAGGGATTCTGGGCCCCTTCCACATAAGGCACACACCCCAAGTGCATGCTGTGTGTGAGAGCCAGACTTCAAAGCTCAGTACATTTGACGGCAGTTAGTCACATGATGGTAGCACTCATTGCTGAGTAAAAATATTCTCTACAGGGTTCCTCAAAAAAGTGAGCTGGCCTAGTGAACCTTAGACGCAATCTGACTGAAACTTCTCTCAAAACTATGTTACATGGGCAAAGTGAGCCATGCCATGTTTTTAATCTGAGCTCATCGTCTGGTCCCAAGCCTCCTTTCAGACTTATGGATCTTTAGTTCTGCTACAAAATCTAAGACCTAGTGTAGGTATGTTTCCTTGTACTAAAAATAAACTTAGGGCCCCTCTGTTGAATGTGCTTGGTATCCATCTATGGGGTACCCCGTATTTGGAAGGGCAGGCCTACCTTGTGGATTATCTGCAGTGGCCATGTTTCCAGGATGGAAGCTGGTCCAGATGGCAGTTACGTAGCAGGTTTTGCTCCCCGCAGGCCCCCCACACACAATTTCACTAATGAATGGAACTTACAAAAGGTGTTTTCACTCTAGCTTTAAAAATCTTATTATAGCCTAACCTTTTTTTTTTCAAACAACAAAACCAAACCAAAATAACCAGAACAAACAGTAAGCTAAGGCAGAAAGGAGTTTAAATACTTGAGGCAAGCAAATGTATGATTATTTTCACATATACCCCTTGACTAACTGTGCCACCAGTACTGCTAGAAACTTGGTCACTTAGAGGGACTGCTCACACGGAGAGATCAGAGTGGGCAATAGGTCCTATGGTTCCTATGGTTCCATTACCAAGCCAGACTTTGTTGAGAACATCTTTCACGCCTATTTTTGAGGCACTTTCCCTCCTAGAGGGGGTCCTGAGAGACCAAGCCAGCACAAGGCTGAGCACGTTGCCCAGGGAAGTGGGAAAGGTCAGATTCTGAAAGGTTGCTCAGCTGGGAGAAAGCAGGGCAGGACCAAGTCGGAGCTTTCCTGTCCACAAAACCTCAGGGGCTCCCTGCTATCCTCAGGATGAAACCCGAGCTCCTCTTCTTAGCTTCCCAGCCCTCACTGCCTGCCCTGGCTTATCCCTACTGCCTTCTGGCACCTTTCTGCCTGCAGGTCCCCAGACACCTCCAGCTGTCTGTCCAGAGCCCAGCCCTGCTCCTTTTGCTCCCTGTGTCTTCTCCGCCCCCTTGGGTTCCAGTCCTTGAAACCTTGCATCACTTTGCAACATAACCCAAGGAATCCCTCCTCCTTAACCAGAAAACACCCCCTCAGCCCATACTTTGTAACACCATCTTTGTATCTATTCCTTCTCCCTCCTCCACACCCCAGTGTGGGTTGGTACGTCTCCTGTCACTTTGTTAAAGTGGGCCAAGTAGCTGCAAATCAGTCAGCATGGAAATGACTGAGCCCAAGACCCAAGGCTAGTGGCCTTGGCCGGCCATGGCTGGCAGAGAAGCTGGACAAGAGAGGGCCAGACACAGACCCAGGAGCCTTAAGACAACTTTGAGAAAGCCCAGGTCTGCTTCTGCTGCTCTTTAAGCTAAGATGCTGCTGGGAGAGAGAAGAGGAGAGGAACCTTATCTTCTGTAGCTCCTCCGTCTCCCATCACCTTGCAGGCTCATGTTCCAAAGAAGTATTTCTCAGCAGCTTGTGTATTTGAACTAAAGGATTCCTCCTACCACCAAAAAATGGGCCCACAGACTCTAGCAAACATTCCACCTTGTTTCACTTTTTCCTGGCAGGTGCAAGTTTCTGAGGTAGGAGTCGAGGGACCTCCTGATCCACAGGCTTTCCAAGGCCCTGCTGCATACCAGCCAGACCAGATGAGATCTGCGGAGCAGACCAGATTGATGCCTGCAGAGCAACGTGACTCAAATAAGCCGTGCTAACAGTACTTTCATGACCAGTGATGAGGGGAAATGGGGGGAGGGGGCAGGCCAATGAGGTCTGCATGGCCAGGGGACCTTCAAGGTGCGTAAAGTCCCTTGGGGTAGGGTTTAGTGGGTAGAGACTTATTTGTTTCCTGATAGGTTATGTTTGTAATTGTTTGTTAAGCACAGCCTGTTTCTTGGAAGTTATGCTGTAGAGGCAGCCTGTGATCCGTAGTATGCTAGGGTGTGACAGCAGCCAGCCACAGCTGGATCTGATGTCTTGTCTGCCCCGCCCAGCTTTGCATATCCATGTTCTACCACAGGAAGGTGGCCTGCCAAGAGTCTGCTCAAAGTTTTCAACATAAAGAATAAAGAAAAAAAAATGCCAAAGTGCTTTTCAATCTAGTAAATCTAGAGGGTTGTTTTGTCTTAGCCACAAGAATTCCGAGGTCTTGACCCTGATGATCAACCTGCCTCCCCTCCATAGTCTTGTTGGAGAAGCCCAGAGAGAATGGGACTCCAACTAAGGGAACCTGAAATCAACTCAATGGAGGCACTTCAGAGCTAAAATAATTATGGCTTCCTTGCTTAATAAACATTTTCGTTCACTGCAACTTTGTGAATTGATGAGTGACGTTTGGAACCTGACTGTGCCAAGGTCCCTGGTGAAGGGTTGGTTCCCTACAGTTAGGCCCCTTTTGTAGACCCTGCTCCCCTCAGTCTCTTGTTCACACCTCAGCTCCATGCCACATTTGCAGAGGCCAGCGACTGCTGCCTTCCCACATGGCCGTGTGCCCAGGCCCGCTGTGTAGCTTTTTTTCGTGTAGCTCAGGCATGCTGGCTCCTTCATTGACACCAAGGGCAGCCACAGGCCCACTGAACTCTGAAACAGTTGGCCTAGGGGCTACCTTCTCAGGGTGGATGGTGTTTGTGCCTCACATATTACTTCAGAAGTAAGCCTGAACACTAAAGGGCAGTGTACCCATACCTTTTACATGTGGGTTCTTTCTCTCCCATCAGTAGACTTTTTAATAGATAGGAGTACCCCCTAGAGGGAAAATAATTTTGGTTACAAGTCAAGCACCAAGAAGGACATCTTCACAGTTGTCTGCATGGTGCAGAGAGAGGTTCGGATAGCCAAACCAGAGGTCATTGTGTGCCTTTCTTAAGGTAATGAGCCATTGGTTGGAGAAAGCAAAGGAGACCCCAGTCTCTAGTGGCAAGTTAAAATAAAGGAGGCACATTAGGCCTCACATCACAGGAGAAGCCAGAGATTCTTTAGGAAGCGTGATCTCTACCATGGTTTTATGGACTGAATGTTTGTGCCCCACCCCAAATTCATATATTGAAGCTGTAACTGCCCAGTGTCGGAGTGTTGGAAGATGATGCCTTTGACAGGGGTGATTAAGGTTAGATGAGGTCACTAGGGTGAGACTGTCATGACGGGATTAGTGCCCTTAAAAGAAGAAACACCAGGAAGCCCCTTCACGTGCACATGGGCGCATGCACGCACACACGTACGCACGCACACACACACACACACAAGAGGTCCTGTGAGCACACAGCAAGATTGTGGCTGCCTGCAAACCAAGGGAAGAGGCTCCAGGACAGAACCTACCTTGCCAAAGACTTGATCTTGGGTTTCCAGATCAAGCCACCACACATGGCAGAGCTTCCAGAAACAGCCACCGCGACCTCCACATCAGTTCATTCCCAGGTGGGCAGTACAGCAGTCCTCACTGAGCAGCGCTCAGTCTGTATGTACATAATAGAACATTGCATGCACAGACTTAAAGCTGAATATTCATGTTTTCTAAACACATCAAACATTCATAAATGTTCCTATTCCCAAGCACATTTTCTAATAAAGAAGGAAGAGTTATTAAAACTACCAGCTCCAGTCCATGTTTGCAGCACACACCACAGCATGGGCTGATGCCCACTGTGGTGTCTTTAGTGTGTTTTGACGCGTATTTTGGAGACAATGAAAAGGAAGGTAGCTATAGAATGTTCTTGGGTATGACTTTTGTTCATCTCTGCCAAAATCACCGGGAAGGAAAGGTTGGGGAAGAAGGGCTGGAGTGACAGGAAGTGGGCCGGGCAGACGTGGGAACTGGGAACTGCAGCTTCAGGCCAAACTGCCTATGAGGTGAAAGGAGGGAGCTGGTCCTCCAAGGCCTTGGAATGCGTCTCTAGCCTCAATGGAGACTGCAGTAAACTTCACCTGCATCTCTTAAAATGGGCCACATCAACCTTAACGAAGACTCTGGTTTACAGCTAGGACCAAATTAAATATTCCCTAGGGGATATTAAATAATTGGGATTTTTGTTTGGTTTATTTTAATGGGTAGGGAAGACAGCATCGAGTGCTTCTCCATCGCCTATCAAATAGAATCCAGATTCTCCACCTGGCCTGGCCTCGCCCTTCCTCTGCAGCTGCATTTATCTCCTCCAGTCATGCACTCTGCCCCCAGTCCCCCGAGCCCTTGGGTTTCATAGAAGTCCTGGGCCTTTTTGCCCTTCTACATTTGTCACTATTCCGTATTATCTTATGCCCTTGCCTCCCAGCTCTATATTTTCAACCCTTGCCCACCACCATGCAAAGCCTGGCTGGGAAGGAGCCCTGCTCCATGTACCCCTACCCCCGCCTCTACCTCACTTGGAGTACACATGTCATTGCCCTTCTAGACTGAGCTACAGTGGGCAGAGATTGGGACAGATCTTGGATGCCCCCGTAACACAGTACCTTGCAGGTAAGCGTTTCCTCTATGAATGTTCGCAGCTCCCAGGCCCCAGGAAAGCCTTCCTCCAGTGCTCATTATTTAGGTAGAGCCCTTCTTAAGCTTCTGAACATTAACCAGAAACCTTGCAGCTCTTCCTCAGGGAGGAGCTCCTCGATGAGGGACTGTCAGACCTGCGGGCATGCCCTGCAGTGGGGGTGCAGTTCTGGCCCTGGGACTACAACTTTCCTGTGGGTCTGGGGGCACAAGGGAACTTGGTAGATGAGACAGCAGGGTGTAAGTCATGAAGTGCAAAGCACTGCACACAAGTTGGTGAGCATCCCTAGTGGTGGCTCCAGTTAGCCTCTGCAAATCTCTTTGTGGCACACGGAAGTCAGGACCACTGCAGGGAGATGGGGGCTGTGGGGAAGTGTAGGGGGAATTGACGGTGACAATTAAATGCCAAGAGGCCCAAAACTCCTGGAGCCATGGATGTTTCCTGCCCAGATGGAGGCCCTGACCCCAAAGGTCAAAGGCTAATTAACCACCTGGTCACCTTGTTGATGAAACAAAACCCACAACCCTGCAGAATCAAAACATGTCAATTACAGAGAGGCAAAGGTCGGCAGACAGGACAGACAAATTGCAGTATTTAGAATGGTGCAGTCAAGTGTTTGTGCAATCTATTTCCAGTTCTACCATGTGGGCAAAGTAGTTAGGAGAGGGGCTGGAAATTTGGCTGACTAGGAGTGGGGCGGACTTCAGCACAGAAAGAGGCTCAGGGCTCTAGGTAAGAGCCATGCTCTTGAGGCCATTTACACCCCAAACCTTGGACATGCTGTCTGCTAGGAAAGGCAACCTAGGACTGCTTGCGAAAGGGGTAATGGGACAGCAGAAGACTCAAGATGGGGGTCTTGAACTGAGTTCAGTGCTGCTCTTTTATTGTTCCCCTCACTTGTCAGTAGGCAGTGCCCACCAGTTTCCATGTGGGATATGGTGCCAATAGAGGCAAGGCATTGAATGTTTAGGCTTCTACCTGCTACCCACCTACTGTGAAACTCTGGGCAAATCACTTTACCGCTCCCTGTCTCTGCTGACTCACTGGAACATAGGGACAAAGATAAGACACTTGCTTGAGAGTGAGACTAGAATCCAGAGGCCCTCCTGGATCAAGGAACCAATGAATGAGTGAGAGAACAAATGTCAGCCTGTCTCCCTGCCATTCTGAGCCTTATGTTCTCCATCTCAGCTCTGATGAAGAGACAACGTGGGTTCCTGGAAGATGGCCATACCACAGAGTGCATCTCCACCCTTATTGCATTCACCTCCCCCTCTCTCTTCTCAGGCCAGTTGCGTCTTCTCTTCTGGTCTTTATCAGCACACTGTTCCCCTCCTTTAACTCCTGCACTGCCTCCTCTTTTGGATAGGCACCTCCATCCTCTGAGTCACCCAAGCTAACACGCAGACTCTGCCTGAATCCTCCCTTTCTTCCATCTATCACCTTAGACATAATTGTCTGTTTCTTCCACTAACACGGGGAAGGGAACATGAAAGTGTGAATTAATGAGGAAGTAAATAAATGAACAGATGACTGTCCAGTCTCTATTCTCTTCTGTTCCCAGGCTCAGCATGGGCTGGGCTTACAGGAGGCATCAGGGGAGATCTGGTGGTCAAGGGTTCTCTCCACCAGAGCCTTCCCATGCTCCTCCTTAGGCACGGACACTTTTTCCAGGCTCAGGGCTCTTAGCTCTAGGAACCCTCTAGGTTAGGGCCAGCCCCTAAGACTATAACCTATGGTACCAGCCTTGGGAAAGATGTTCGATGGCTCTTCAGGGCCAGCACATAGATTGTGATTCTTGGTACCATATCTCAGGGTGCCCCTATAACACTCAGAGTCAGCTTCCTGGGGTTGCCGAGGGCTGGGGCATTGCCCAGCGCCTAGACATGGACAAGAGCACAGGATGGGTGGAAACGAAGGAAGTTCCTTTATCTGTGTCTTAGATTCATGGTTTCATCTGTCCTTGCCCCACACACCCCACCGCCACCAATTTGGTGGTAGATACAGCAGGCTCCAGCTCAGGTAGGCAGCATCATGCACCCCAAAGCCCTAGGAGCAGTCAGGTAGGCCAGTGGCGCTCAGGACACACAGCCCTCAAGCCCTAGGTTGGGTGTGGTCAAACTCATTTCTTGTCATCTCTTGCCCCCTGGTGCATGGTCACAGTATTGCAGCTTTCCAGGGTCCTCCCTTGTGACCAATTCGGTTAACATTTTCTGACTACCTATTCCAGGTCAGGCCCTAAGCCATACAGAATTCTGTTCTCAAGGTTTCAGTCCAGCCCTTGGTCAACTTTCTGATGAATCTTCCTTCTCTATTCTCCTCAAGCACCCCAAGGCCATGATCCATCATATAATCATCTTCTTTCTCTTTTTTGCTTCTGTCACAATTGACTGACAAATTCCCACCCTTGGATGAACTCAACTATGCCCTCTGTGTGTCTGCACTTATGCACCTCCGTGCTTCTAGAGAAAATCACACACATTGGCAGATTGTGTACCGCTGTAGGCTCATGATCTTCAGCCTCACCAAGGCACATCTCGCTGCTCAGGACTTCCGTGTTTGGTGTCTTTCCAGTCCGGTTCTCAGAATGGTGATTCGCCCTTTCCTCAAACTCCCCATGTCTTTCCATTTCCCTCTTGCTTTCTTTGTTAATACTCAATTTAGATGTTACAAGATATGGAATAGAAATTCCCTCATCCTCCCATCACTAATCCTTCGTATGCTTTCCTCTGACTGAACTCAGCTTTCTGCAAGCTAAAATGGCAGAAGTATCCCTTCTCCTTTCTAAGGCTGATGTCTTCATTTGTGTTCTGGATCCCATCCCATGCCACTTGCCCCTCCCTCCACCATCAATGAATCCCCCTTTCTACTTGACCAGTCCCATCACCATAGAAACTTGCGATATTTTCTGTCTTTACAAAAAACCAATCCTTGACTCCCACATCCCTCTCCAGTAAGTGTCACATTTCTCTGCCTGTGTTCAAGGCACTTGTCTGCATGTATTGTCTCCTCATCTTGTCTTCCCAGTATACCCAACAAGTTCAGCTTGTGTCCTTTTAAGAAGTCTCTCTCTCTCTCTCTCTCCACACATGCACAGAGGAAAGGCCATATGAGGACACAGCAAGAAGGCAGCCATCTGCAAGCCAGGAAGAGAGCCCTCACCAAGAACCAAATTTGCAGGCACCTTGATGGTAGACTTTTAGCCACCAGAACTGTGAGAAAAATGGATGCTTGTTGTTTACATCACCTAGTCTATGGTACCTGGATGTGGCAGCTTAAGCTGACTAATGCAGCCACCTAGTTTGTGGTACTTTCTTAGGTGGCCCTAGCAAACTAATACTACTGGGATCATCCTTAACTACATCTTTTTGTTCGACTCCAAATATCCAATTAATGTCCACATTTTGTTGGCTGTGCCTCCAAAATCCATCTGGAATCCCTCTATTGCTTCCCATCCCCAAAACTCCCATGATCATCTGTCACATGTGCATTCCCCACACAATATCACAGTGATCTTTACAAAGTATAAAGCTGATCATGTCATTCTCTTGCTTAAAACTCTCCAGTGCATTACATTATTATCAGAAAGAGGGTCAACCCCTTGAAAAGTTCTCTAGGGCCCCTCTCCAAACCATCTCCTCTTACTACCCCCACCCTTGCTCACTACGTCCCAGCCACACTGGCCCCCTTTCTGGACATCGAGCCTCAAACTCACGTCACATGACTGACTCTTTCCCTTTAGGTATCAGCTTAATTGTCACTTCTTCAAAGGGGAAGTTGCAATTGTGAGATCCAAAAATGGATTTTTTTCTCATCTTATTTCCTAACTGGTTATTGTTGATTTGTAGGAAAGGGGCTGAATTTTGTAAAATTGGCTTGATTCCATCTGTCTTGCTAAACACAGTTCTTAGTTAATCATCTTTAGCTTTCTAAGCAGCTAATCATATAATTTGTAAGTAATAATACATTTTTATAGTGGGGCATTTCTAATAGGTTTGCATCTTGTTTCTTGTCCAAATCTTACTACATCACTTTAAGTAAGATCCCCTTCCTTGTTTTAAGTAAGATCCCCTTCCTTGTCATAAGTGCTCCTAACAACACAGCACATCTTAACATCTTAATCTGTACTTATATGTTGTTGTGTCTAATAGGTAAGTGAATACATGCAGTGAAACAGATTGAATGAGTAGACTGTGTGGCTTTTGCTCTCCCCTCTGAACTACAAGTATCATAAAGTGGGGACAGTGATTGAGTTCAAGCAACAAGGTGGGCAGTCATTAGATGTCTATTGAAAAAAAAAGAAGGAAATAAATGAAGATGCTTTAATAGAAGCATGTAATGGCTTGTTGAGTGGAGGTAAAACATGACAACAAGACCATTCCTAGATGAAAGGGGAGTGTCAGCACAGGTTTCTACCGGATCTCAACTCTAAATGGATGTTGCCAGGTAGAGAAGCGGGGTGCACATTACAGGGAGAGGAAGCAGCCATGGCAAAGGCCAAGGAGCTATGGAAACCTTATAAACCCCACCTCGCTAGATGGTCTGCCACACCTGTGGGCCTCTGGATTTCCTGTTTCCTCTAACTCTAAAACCACAAGAAAACTAAGAAACGAAGTGCGTGAATTATCTTTCTGATCCCTGTATGGATAGGTGGATGGGTGGATGGGGCTTTCTACGTTTAAAAGAAATGGAAAGAATCACAAAGGAAAAACAAAGCAATAGATTGATCTACATTAAAATAGTAAACTTCTGCATGTCAAACATATTAGCACCAATAAGAGGCAAACCAAAGCATAAATATGTGCTATATAATGTGCAAAGAACATATGAGAATTAATTTAAAAACACTAAGATTGCAACAGAAAAATGAGGCCACACAGTTAATGCACAGAAAATAAAAGGAAAATGGTGAATGAACATGAGAGAATATAAGCTTGACTAAAAATGCAAACTAAATAATGAAATATTAATAAATTTTGCAAGGACTATTAAATTGCGATATTTCCTGCTGGCAAGGGTGAAGTGAAATGAACACTTTTATGCACTGGGATGTGGTACAACCTTGTTGTATAGCAAATCAGATCTACAGAGTAAAGCCTCTTAAAGGCTCATATTCTTTAAACCCGTAATTTTATTGCTAGAGATCTATAATTCTACTTTTAAGAGTGGGTAAATATTTATAAAAAGATATTCATTTTCAGCATCAATTACAGTAATAAACAGTAGAAACAGCATGAGCCTCCAATTACCTGAGGAATTCTTAGATAAATTTTGAAACCTCCATAAAATGGAATACTTTACATCCATTAAAAATACTGCAAATAAACAAAAGTCATTTAATAAAATTTAACTTCTATTTCTGATTAAAATGATAAATAGTAGTGAAAGAGGAATCAAATGATTCTTTCTCAATATGATGCATTCAGTGTATCATAACCAATGGTAAATGTTGGTGTAAATCGAATCACAAGAGGCATTGCCCTGAAAGCTAGGGACAGGATCTTGTAGTAAGATTATGTCAAGAAACAAATAGCATACATACTGAGGTGGAGGAGACACATTCATCGTTATTTGCAAATTGTATGCTCATCGTTTAGAAAACTAAACATGTTTAACTAAGAAACATTTTTAAGCAAAGCTGATGGATACAGGTAATTTTACAAAAATCAGCATCTTTCTCACAAACTAGCAATAACAAGTTGGCAACTGTAATGGAAATCACAATTGCAACAAATATATATATATAAAACAACTATGCGTAAAATATTTTAAAATGTGCAGCATCTAATCTATAAGAAGAAAACTAGAAAACTTACCTAGGAATATTAAACAAGATAAATGAAAATATTAACACCAAGAGATTGATTGAAAAGATTTATATTGTAAAGATACCAGTTTTCCCAATTTTAATCCAAAAATTTAATACAATTGCAACCAAGATATCAATGGTATTTCTTCTTTTGTAACTTTATGAAACTATTCTAGGGGTTAGATAACAGAATAAATAAGCAAAAATGAACAAGAAAATTGGAGGGAAAGAAGCAGAAATGATTAGGGACAAGAGGAGAGAAGGTAATTGATCCACTAGATAATAAAAGTTGTGCTAAAGTTACACTGGTTTCAACAAAAAAGAAACACCTGGTAAAACTAGTGCTTCCATCAGTGTGGAAGAATTGTGGCTCCAAAATAGCTTTAAAGACACATCTGAATGGTGGCTCTCTGGTCAGTAGGGAGGGGAGAAGATTCTTAAAGGCTGAGGAAATATTAATTGTCCATATGAAAGAGACACTGAGAGGGTGGTTAATGGATATTAAGTCTCCTAAGCTACCCCTTCTCTCCAACAGTGGTGGAGAAATAACAGTTCCCAAACAGAATAAACACTTAGAAAAATACAGTTAATCCCTAGCTTAAATCTTAAGCCAAATTCAATTTCATACAGGGATTAAAAATTTACACATTATCTAATGAAAACATAAAAAGGTAGGTGAAAATAACAAATATTTTAAGTGTTGGAAGTGGAGAAAACCAAAGCATGAAAGCAAAGGGAGAAAATGGTCAAATGTCCAAGACGCATGTACAAGCAGGGCCATAACAGCATTGTCTACAATAATAATAAAAAAAAAAAGGAAATAGGTAAAGAAGTATTAGTTCAGCCATACTCTGTACTGCCTTGACAGAGATGCCCATGAGATCTCAAGATATTGTTAAGGGCAAAAAGGCAGTTCATAATTCCTTTGTGTGTGTGAAAAAAAAATGTACGTGAAAGAAAACATACAGAAGGGTAGAAAACATACAGAAGGATAAATAGGAAAGTACTAAAGTGATTCTCAACAGATCAGGGGATTATGGGTGAATTTTAACTTTCTATTTCATGTATTTGTGTTTTGCCTGAATATTTTATAATGTATATTTTATGAATTGTATAATTAGATTAAAAAAACAAAGGAAATTAAAAAACTTTTTACAGTGTATGAACTAAATGATGTAAAATTGAATTTGTAGAGTGAAAAATAAGAAGGTGATATGTAAACATTTTAATAATGGCTTTCTCTGGCTGGTGGAATTGTGAGTGGTCATTTTCAAAATTGCCACCATGAGAACATATTATTTTTAGAATCAGAACAAAAAGATACATGTATAATTCCTATGCTACATGGTGTGGAATGATATGAGAAAGGCAGGAGGGAGCTGAGGTTACAGAAATGTACAAGACAGAAATGTCCCTGACCTCATGAGACCAATAATCTGGTGGGAAAGACAGACCGATCACAAGGAAATAGGAGTGAATCAGAAAAATGTCAGAGGGCAAATGCTCTGGAGGAAAGAAAACAGGAGCTGAGATACAATGTAGAAGGGGATGAGCTATTTGCAGAGTATATCTGGGAAGGCTTCTTTGAGGTTGTGACATTAGAGCAAAAAGCTAAAAGGCAAGAGGGAGCCAGCTATGGAAAATTTAAGGGCGAATCATCTGAGCTAATCTCCTACCACTCTTTTATGGTGATATTTGATGTAGACACACTGAGCTTCTGTCAGATTCCTGTGTCCCTAGTTCCACAGGACAGTGCCAAACCAAAGATCAGATTATGGGCAACACAAGAGGTGGGTGCTCTGTTGCTAAGGAGCCAATACCACATACTAAAAACTATACTCTAAGGTAGGGAGGGAGGTGTCTTAGTCCATTTGGGCTGCTATAACAAAACACCTTAGACTGGGTAACTTATACACAGCAGAAATTTATTGCTCACAGTTCTGGGGGCTGGAAAACCCAAGATCAAGGCACCAGCAGATTCAGTGTCTGGTGAGGGCTGTCTTCGGATGGCTCTGTTTTCATGGCCTGATCATCCCTTAAAGTCCCACCTCTTAGTACTATCACATCACATTGTTAATCAGGTTTCAACATATGAATTTTCTGAGGGACATAAATATTCAGATCAAAGCAGGGGGCTAGGTGGAAAGTCCCATCCCTCACTAGAACCAGGGAAGTGGGTGAAGAATTGCCTCATGGTAGCCTTGCATAATAGAAAGGAGAGTGGAAAAGGGTCTTGTGGCAGCTCCTCACAGGACTTCCCATCTTCTGACATTCCTGGGAGGATCATCAGGCACTCCGCCAAGACTGGACTCAGACTGTGGTTGAGCCTTGCCTCTGGCCTGTGTGAAATCTTTCCCTCCACTCCTTGTGCCTCATACATGCCAACCACACTTTTGTCCCAGGGCCTTTGCACATACCATTTCCTTTTACAAGAATACTCTTCTCCCAGTTATCTACGCAGCTATCACCCTTATTCCTTTAAATGCTTCTCGAATGTTACTTCTCAGTGAGTCCTTCCCTGACCAACTAGTTTAAAACTGCAATCCAGAGGCAAAGCAAGATGGCCAAATAGAAAACTCTACTGATCGTCCTCTCTGCAGGAACACTGAATTGAACAACTGTCCACACAAAAGAAGCACCTTCATAATAACTGAAAATCAGGTGAGCAATCACAGTTCCTGGTTTGATAAGAACCAAAAATCAGGTGAGTAATTACTGTTCCTAGTTTTAACTTGATATCACTGAAAGAGGCACTGAAGAGGGTAGGAAAGACAGTCTTGAGTCACCAATGCCACTTCTCTCCCATCCCCTGGCAGTGGCCAATAGTCTGGCATGGAGAAAGAATCTCTGAACCTGGTGGAGGGAGAGTGCAGTGATTGTGAGATTTTACATTGAAACTCAGTGCTGCCTTGTCAAGTGGAAAGCAACACCAGGCACAGCTCAGCTGGCACCTATGTAAGGAGCATTTAGACCAGCCCTAGCCAGAGGGGAATAACCCATCCCAACAGTTAGAACCTGAGTTCTGGCAAGCCCCACTACTCTGGGCTAAGATGCTCTGGGGTTCTAAATAAACTTGAAAGGCAGTCTAGGCCACAAGGACTGCAATTCCTGGGCAAGGCCTGGTGCTGAACCAGGCCCAGAATCAGTGAACTTGGAGTGCACATGACCTAGTGAGATGCCAGCTGATGTGGCCTAAGGAGTGCTTATGTCATCCCTCCACTAACCTCAGGCAGCACAGCTTGCAGCTCCAGGAGGAGAGGGAAGAGTAAAGAGGACTTTGTCTTGAAACTGGTATACCAGCTCAGCCACAGCAAATTAAAGTACCAAGCAGAGTCCTGAAGCCCCTGTGGGCCATAGCTCCTGGACAACATTTCTAGACCCACCCTGGGCTAGAAGGGAACCCACTGCCCTGAAAGGAAGGACCCAGTCCTGGCAGAATTCAACAGCTTCTGACTAAATAGCCCTTGGTCCTTGAATAAACATCAACAACAGCCAGGCAGCAGTCACCACAGAACTTTGGCAAAACACAGTACCATGCTGGCTGCAGGTGTGACCCAGAACATCCCCAGCTGTGGTGACTATGAGGAGGGACTACTTTTGCTTGAGAAAAGGAGAGGGAAGAGTAAAGGGGACTTTGTTTTGCAGCTTATGTACCAACTCAGCCACAGTGGGGTAGAGCACCAAGGAGGCTCATGAGATTACCAATTTCAGGCCTTAGTTGTTGGACAGCATTTCTGGACCTGCCCTGAGCCAGAGGGGAGCCCACTGCCCTGAAGGGAGAGTCCCAGGCCTGGCAGTATTCAACATCAGATGATTAAACAGCCCTTGGGCCTTGAAGGAACATCAGTGGTAGCCAGACTGTACTTGTCGTGGGCCTTGGGTGGTGGTAGCCGTGGGGAAGGCATGACCTCTGCTTGGGGAAAGAGGAGGCAAGAATGGGAAGGACTTTGTCTTGTGGCTTGGGTGCCAGCTCATCCACAGTAGAATAGAGCACCAGGTAGATTCCTAAAGTTTCTGAGTCCAGGCCCTGGCTCTCTGATGGCATCTCTGGACCCACCTGGGACAGTGGGGACTTGCTGCCCTGAAGGGAAGGATACAAGCCTGGCTGGCTTCACCACCTGCTGATTGCAGAGTCCTAGGGCTTTGAGCAAACATAGGCAGTAGACAGACAGTGGTTATCACAAGCCTTGAGTGAGGCACCAGTGCCATTCTGGCTTCAGGTGTGATCCAGTGCAGTCCCAATTGTGGTGGTCACAAGGGTGCTTATGTCATCTCTCCCCCAGTTCCAGGCAGCTCAGCACAGATACATATCTCCCCCCCACCCACACACACACAGAGAGAGAGAGAGAGAGAAAGAGAGAGAGAGACTTCATATCTTTGGGAGAAATTAAGGAAAGAAAACAAGAGTCTCTGCCTGGTTATCCAGATAATTCTTTTGGATCTTACCCAAGACCACCAAGGTGGTACGTTTACAAGTCTGAAAGAGCCACAGTGTTACTGGGCTTGAGGTGCCCCCTGATGCAGATATGGCTGCAGTAACCAAACACTTAGATCATAACACCCAAATCCCTTTGAATACCTGGAAAGCCTTCCCAAGAAGGGTGGGTACAAACAAGCCCAGATTGCAAAGACTAGAATAAATACTTAACTCTTCAATGCCCAGACACTGACTAACATCCATAAGCATCAAGACCTTCCAGGAAAACATGACTTCACCAAATGAACTAAATAAGGCACCAGGGATCAATCCCAGAGGGACAGAGATATGTGACTTTTCAGATTGAAAATTCAAAATAACTGTTTTGAGGAAACTCAAATTCAAGATAACACAGAGAAGGAATTCGGAATCCTACCAGATAGACTTTAAGAGATTGAAATAATTTAAAAGAATCAAGCAGAAAATCTGGAGCTAAAAAATGCAACTGGCATACCAGAGAATGCATCATTGCTCTTTAATAGCACAATTGATCAAGCAGAAGAAAGAAATAGTGAGCTTGAAGATAGGCTATTTGAAAACACACAGTCAGAGGAGATAAAAGTAAAAAGAATAAGTACGTGCTTATGTGTAGGTTGGGATCCAGGGTGTGTGTGGGTGGGAGGATGGCAAAGTTCTTGGTAATTTCAATATCTGCATAGGTAATTCTACTCTGATCTCCTACTCCCTTGACCTACTCTCCAGTGGTGCTTTTGCCCTGTTCTCTACCTCAGCCACTTCCTTCTACACTCATCCTAAGACCTGGTTGACATCTATAACCACCATCTCTCCAGAACCTCCATTTCATGTATCCAGCTCTCCAACCACCGGCTCACTCCTTTTAGTATTATGACAGTCCTCTGACCCCTGTGGGGACCCTCAAACCAAAGATTCTACTGTTGATTTCACTCTCCTTCACCAAACCCTGATTCTGTCCTTATCTCCCTCCTTACCCAGCCTAAAATCCATGGTCAATCATTATCATTTCTCCCTTGAATCCACATAAAACTACTGTGTCCCTCCATTATATCCCTGTACTCATCTGGCAAAACCCCAACCCTGATGAAATCCAACTCTACCTACTCTAAATATCCACAAGAACAATTGAATATGGTTGGAGAAAGCCATGCACATATGTTGAGTAGTTTCACTTTAAAATAATGACCATCAACCCTCAAGTGGGCCCTCCATGCAGCCCAGAAATCACGCTACAGTTCCACAGAACATCCACTCTCTTGGCTCCCAGAAGACGACTATTTCAAGCCTTCTCTCCTCAAACCACTGACATCCCTCACCCCAACTCCCAACTGGTGGCTTGGCTTTCTGTGTCACTGGGAAAATAGAAGCCATCAGAAGAGCACTTTTCCAAGCTCTGCCATCGCCTCTCCCACCTACCTACATCTGTGTCTCTCCCTCCTGCATCACCAATTTTTCCCACGTTACTGGCTCATTAGCATACAAACATGTTACAGGGCTGGAATTTATCTCATATTTTAAAAATACTTCTATCTTGTCCTCTCATATCCCTACCACCCCCAACCCCAGCTTCTCTGTTCTCCTTCACAACAAAACTCCTTACAATACTTGTCAATCATTGGGTACTCGCTGTTTTCAATTCCTTTTTTCCTACTCTTGTCCCTCCACATTTTCCTGGAAATGGCCCCTGTAAAGACATTCATGACCTCCACATTGACAGACATAATGCTCAATTCTTTGTCCTCTTCTTATTTGTCCAGTCCGTAGGATTGGAATAGCTGCTCACCGCCTCTTTCCTGATACACTTTCTGCAGTTGTCTCTACGTGTTGCTGCACCCCTCCTGCCTCAACATCACTCCTTACTGGCTCCCTTGCTGGCTTTTCCTCGTCTAAATGTAGGATTGCCTGGGGCTTCGTTCTGGGGCTGGTTTGCTATCTCTACATTCATTATCCTGTGGATCCAATCCAGTCTCATGACTTGTAATATGAACGAAATGTTACTCATTCTGTGATTATATCTCCAGCCTTGATATTGCCCCTGAACTTCACACACGTCTATACAACCCATTCCATCACTGTTTTTCTTATCTCAGTTAAAGGGCCTCCATCCTTCCTGTTCCCTTGACTGAGAACCTTAGTGCCATAATTGATTTCTGTCTCTGTCCTAGCTCAACTCCAAACTGGCATCAAACCCTAATGACTCTTCCATCAAAATCAATCTTGAATCTGCTTGCTTCTTACCACCTCCACTGCATTGCCTGTTGTAAAATAGAAATCAGATCGTGGTAACCACTGACTCAGAATCCTCACTGTCTCTCCACATGACTCTGACTAGTAGCCAAAGTCCTGACAGTGGTCTACAAGGCCCTGCATGATCTCTTGCTACCCCCATCTTAACTACTCTGACCTAGTCGCCTACCATCCTCCTCTCTGGCTTGCTTCACTTCAGCACACTAGCCTCCTGCCTAACCCTAGAACATGCTAAGCTTCTGCTCCCAGGGCTCTCGCACTTGTGAATTTCCCAACCTGGAATAGGATGGCCCCTCAACTCTTTCAAATCTTGGTTCAAATGCCATCTTCTCAGTGGCACATTTCCTGACTACCTTATTTGAAATCTCTGCTTCACTTTTTCTTCATGGCACCAATCACCATCTAGCATCCTGTATCTTTGACTTGTTTTTCTTTTTTTTGTGTCTAATATCCATGAGGTTAGGAGTTTTTATTTAATTTTTTGGCTTCTGTAATCCCAAGTCCTAGAACAGTGGATAGCACGTAGTATCACTGAGTAAATGCTTGATGTAGGAGTTGTTTCAGTCTGTCTTAACAAAGTAGGTACTGTGGACTGGGTGGCTTGAACAATAGAAATGTATTGTCTTCCAGTTCTGGAGGCTGGAAGTCTGAGATCAAGGTGTGGGCAGGGTCAGTTTCTCCTGAACCTCTCTTGGTGGCTTGTGGATGGCCACACTCTCCCTGTGTCTCCACATAGTCATTCCTCTGTACATGCCTGTGTCCTAATTTCCTCTTCTTATAAGGACTCTAGTCACACTAGATTAGGGCCCAGCCTAATAACCCTATTTTACCTTAATAACCTCTTTAAAGGCCCTATTTCGAAGTATGATCACATTCTGGAGTACTGGGGATTAGGACTTCAACATGAATTTGCAGAGGGACACAACTCAATCCATGACACCTGATTAACTTGTTGATCGGTTTGCAGAGATGGAATGAGTCTCTTACAGGGTAAGGATCAATGCTTAGGCTCAGTCAGGACATAAAAGGATGGGAGCAGCAGAGCTCAGATAAAGTTATCCATTCAATTCTGGAATGGATGAGTGTTGGGGAAAGAGTGAAACTCTGGGAGTAAATGAGGTTGTCAGAGAGTGCTCCTCTTAGCCAAAGGGTGAGGCACAGGGATGGGGCTGGGGAGGGGCAATGTGGAGGAAGGTAATGGAATTGGTGGTGATGAGACATGAGGAAAGAGGCAACTGGTCAAGGCTTGCAGAGGGGAGAAGGTGAGGAATCACAAGTGGTGGGTGACTGAGAATTCTGTTACCTGGGATAGGATCGGGGATATTGGAAATGCCACCCATAGGCACGATGGCTTACATACTTCGTGGGACCCAGTGAAAGTGAAAATGAAGGCCTCTTGTTCAAAAAGCATTAGAATTTCAAGATGGTGATAGCACAGCCTTGAGCCAGGTGTCCAGAGCCCTCTTAAGCACAGGGCCCTGTCTGACTCCATGGGTCATACACCCACAATTCCGGCTCTGCCGGAACAGAAATGGGGGCAGGTAAGAAGGCAATGGAGGCCTTCTCAGCCCCAGCCCCTCCAGCCTCAGCTTGACAAGTCTCTAGAGAGCACCAGCTGTGGATGAGGTTCTGTGCGAGATGGTAGGGACACAGGAAGAGACAAGGTCCCTGGCCCCAAGAGAGGAGGCAAGTGTGCACGTAAGTGAGCTACCAAATGAACACAAGGTAGCTGGATGCAGGCCAGCTGATGTGCATTAAGCTCACACTTAAGCGCCAGGCACATTCTATGTGATTAGCTCCACTACCCGCTTAGCAACGCTTTGAGGCAGGCACTGTTAGCATCATTCTCATCTGAAAGGTAAGGAAACCGAGATGCAGAGAGGTCAAACACTTGCTGGAGATAATAGAGCCTACTATGTAGTACCACCAAGAGGTGCAGCAGGCACTACGCTCCAGAGGCACTGCTATTCCTCCTCCCCCACCTTGCTATCCACCGAGGCCCCCATGTTCATAGTCTCTGCAGATAGTCCTGAGAGTGGAATGGCGGACTGGGGTGCAGGAAGGATCCTGCAAGACCTCACAGTAGAGATGTCATGCGCACTGTGTGGGAAGAATGAATGCAAGTGCTCCAGGTCCACAGTGGGAGGAAAGGCATTCTGGGCAGTGGGAAGTAGAAGTAGCCTCATGTGGCTGGAGCCAGAAGCTAAAGTGGGAGTGCCAGAAGGAGGGCAGAAGCCATAGACCCTTGTGCACATACTGGAAGAGCTGCTTTTTTAACAGTCAAGTGCACAAGGGTCTATGCGGTGTTAAGATCACGATGGGAACATGCTGGTGGGCTAGGAAACTCAAGAGGTTAGTTCCAGAAGAGTCTGTGGAATTCTGCCCCACAGGCTCCGGAGGCATGGGGGGAAGGCCATAGAAGAGCTGTCGTGGGTAAGGAAGATTCCTGCAGCCGTGAAATAGCAAGCAAGCTAGGGAAGAACTCTAACAGGAGGCAGAAATGGAAGGGAAAGCACCATGCGGGGAGAGAAGTGTAGAGGCAGGCATCGGGGGAGCTAGGGGAGCCAGGCCCTGGGGGTTGGAGGGGAGGCGGCCGGTGGCAATGAAGGCCTTCGCCCACCCCTCTTCCGCCCCCTGGCAAGGCAGGTTGCTAATACCCGCCCTGGGATAGGGGTGGGAGTGGTTCTGGAACCGCCTTCTGAGACTCATTCCCATCAAAAGCAACACTTGGGGTGGAGGGAGGAAGAGGACGCCAACCCCAGTGCCTGGCCGGGTTCTAGATGTGCAGAGAACAAAAAGGAACCCTAAAAACCCAGCATCCCCTTCTCCGAGGGAGGCTTTCCTAGACCCAGAACCTCAGCCCACCCGGAACCCCTTTGCCCCTCTCTTAGCAGTGGACCTGTCATGTGGTTCCTCCTGGACTAGTGTAATCTCTGCTATGCGTCTTGTCCTGCCATGCTGAACTTCTCACAGTGCGGCCTCCGAAGGAGCCCCCATCTAGCGCTCCTTGCAGTCGCAGAAGATTCCTTCTCCCCTTACTGAGCCTTAGAGTTTTCCAAACCCATTTCCTCCTTCAAATCGCTGCAGCCTCGCGAGGGAGGCAGAATTCTCCCCATTTCTCGGACTTTGCAGGAGAGAAGCCTGCCTTCCCGGGGCAGGGTGGGGGTAGGTAAGTGAAGAAGCCAAGGTCACCCAGTCATTGGCGGAACGCGGCCTCGACTCGGTCCTTCTTCTGAGGGCCCTGTGGATCCCTGGCAAGGCAGGCCTAGGTTGCAGGCTAGCCCCCCTCTCTTTTCGTTGGCCCCAGGAGCCCGGCGGGCCTGAATGGCAGGTGAGCCCGGGGGGTGGGGACAGGACGCGGGTTGGGCTGCGCAGGGACGCCTGGCGCGCGGGCCTTGGGAGCGGCCGCCGGAGCTCCCTGCTACGCCGTATCTTCCGAGGGCCCACGCCTTGGGTCACGACTGGACCAGGGCTTTGACCAAGGGTCCTCTGTGTGCCCCAGGCCCGCCAGTCAGGCCCCGCCCCCCGGCGGCACGGGCGGGGGCAGGGGCGGCGCCGGCAGAGTGGGGCGCGGGCGCGCGGTGCTCGGTGCGCGCCGCCGCCCCTCCGGCCCGGCTTGCCCGCCCGCTCTCCCAACCCCCTCGGCCCACTCCGTCGCCCCCACCCCTCCTTCCTCCACTCGGCCAGGCGGCCGGCGGCCCGGTGCGCGGGGCAGCGCGACGATTGCGGCCTGGCGATCGGGGCACTGCGGTCGTGGCGCGCGAGGCGCGGGGCGCGAGGCCAGCCCTGGAACGGCGGGGTGTGGGGGGCGGGCAGCTGCGGAGCCCCCAGAGGAAAGCAGGGGCAGGCAGGGGGGTGCCGAGGTAATGGGCCGGGCCTGGGCGCCCGGCTGCGAGGGGCGGGGGTTCCAGGCGCACTTCGGCCCTGGAGGGGCGGGCGACAGGGTGCCCGGGGCGGTGGGAGGGCAGCGGGGAGGGGAGGAAGGGAGGGAGGAGACGGCTGGGCCGGACCGGGGGGCTTGGCCGACGGGGAGCAGGTGGGCGGGGACAGGGCCCCTGCTGGAAGAGGCGCAGCAGCGAGGTGGCGGGCTGCGTGCGCAAACAGGGCGGCCGCCTTCTGGGCCCGGAGAACGGTGAGGCCATTTGGGTTGGGTGTCCCAGTCCCGAGGGCACGGTTCGGTATCCAGGGCCAACGAGCTGGGTGCAGGGCATTGTTGAGGAGGGAAGATCTAGAGGCCTGTCCGGGCCAAGGGGATGGGGCGTATTGAACAGCTCCGGGAGAAGAGTGTTGCTGGGTCAGGGCGCTGGTGTCCAGCGAAGGTGGGCGAGGACAGGCACTTTCAGGGCTGGCCTGAGTGGAAAGGGACAAGGGGGCCCCAGAGTTTGAGTTTGAGCATAATTTGGGAGTTGTCGTGTCACTGGGTGGGTCGATGAGTCATGCGATTTGGAGAACCCTTTCCTGGCGATCAGTTCTGAGGGATGGAAATAAAGTCTAGGGTTTGGAGAAGTGGTTTGGAGGCCATGTCTTGGGACACCAGGTGCTCTGGTGGTCACCAGGCTTCATGTGAGGGACTTTGGGAGTTGTGTCCCAGAGGCCTGAGATTCAGAAGCTTCAGTCTGGGGTGGAGTTAAGCAAGGTCTTTGTGGTGGCCAGTTCCCTGCCTTCCTTCCTTTCCAGGCTGTCAGGATTCAGCTGTGTTCCTGCGGGGAGTGGGTTAAAAATTCCTTCCGCCTACAGTCAGCTTTACAGTATCCACCAGGGGCATGGGGGACATATACATGTGTGGCTGCAGCATCATTCTTTGTCGTGGAGCCCTCACGATTGCTTCCTTATTGTTGCCATAGTAACTGTCTACTGATGGTGTATTTATAGGGGAAGAAGCAGGCGCTACATTTTGGGGAGGGAGGGGGAAGAGGCCTCGTGGCAGGCAGCAGCAGCAGTGAAGGTGGCTACAGAATTGCTAATGGAGTGGGCCATGCCATGGGAACTGTTTTGGGGGTGTTCCTGGCTCGACTGAAGCTTAAAAATGAACTGGTGACTTTAGCAGGTGCGTCAGGATAACATGTATTCGGGTCTATGATAGGTGTGACATATAGCCACCTTTGACCAAGGCTAGGTGTGTGGGGGACAAAAGATGGATATATGTAATCTATTATGTAAATTTTTCTCCATTTTTTTAAAAAACCACTGCAGTTTCCTTTGATAAGCATATTTTTCTCTCTTCCCTTATTAAGACTATATGCATTCTTCTCAAACCCAGATACAACAGCTCCATTTTTCTTCAAGCAAAAAATCCTTGCCATGAGGCATACTATATCCACACCCTCACCACATAAAGCTCAGGTATCCATAATGCAAGCAGAATTTTGAGATCATATTCCATCTTGGTTCTGACAAACATTGAGGGCCAACTGTCTCACAAGGCAGGCCATCTGTTGACAAATTCACATGTTGATAGTTTTGAGGGAGATTGTTGCAGGGTTCAAAAGAGAAAGCCCCTTGATGTGGCGTTTCCACAAATAGATGTCAGATCTGCTGTTTTACCTTTAATTTTCTTTTCTTTCTTTTCTCTCTTTCTCTCTTTCTTTCTCTCTTTCTTTCTTTCTTCCTTCCTTCCTCCCTCCCCTTCCCTTCTCCTTCTTTCCTTCCTCCTTCCCTTCCCTTCTCCTTCCTTCCTTCCTTCCTCCCTCCCTCCCTTCCTTCCTCCCTCCCTCCCTCTCTCCCTCCCTCTCTCCCTCTCTCCCTCTCTTTCTCTCTTTCTCTCTTTCTTTCTTTCTGGCTTTGTAACCCAGGCTGGAGTGCAGTGGCGCAATCTCAGCTCACTTCAATCTCCGCCTCTCTGGTTCAAGCGATTCCCCTGTCTCAGCCTCCAGAGTAGCTGGGACTACAGGCATGCACCGCAGCATGCCTAACTAATTTTTGTATTTGTAGTAGAGATGGGGTTTCACCATTTTTTGGTCAAGCCAGTCCCAAACTCCTGACCTGAGGTGATCCGCCCGCCTCAGCCTCCCAAAGTGTTGGGATTATAGGCATGAGCCACCGCGACCAGCCTAAATTATTGATTTATATCCTACCTGTTTGCCAAAAGGATTAGGTGGCATATTATAAATGCACAATAGGACACTGGAAACATAAATAGAAAGCTGTATACCACATCGCAGGACAGAAGCATATGTGCTTAACAGCTGGGCTTCCAGGGTGCCTGTGCTTGACTGGCAATAGTGACGCTGAACTTCCTGGCAGCCTAGGCAAAAAGGAGGGCTCAATGGATTCCACAGTTCACGTGTCTTGCATCCAGTTAGTCATCAAACCAGAGCTTCTGCTTGGGGAGGGGAGCAGTGGGGTGATTGCTCCCAGATGTGGACAGCTCAGCAAGGGCTCTAGAATGTGTGTATGAGTGGGCGTGTGTATTGTGGGGAGGGACAGAGGGAGCAGTGTGCTGTGACCATGGTTTAAGTACTGGCTGGATAGCTCCTTAGCAGGAGAAAGGCTTTCTGACAATAGCTCACATTAGGGGCAACTCTTGTAGTTAGCGTCTCAGTGTCGGGCATCTAAATTCATGTCTTGGCACTCTACTGCCATGGGCTTTAATGCAAAGAGAGAAGAGAGGCCTGGTTCCAGAAGATTCCAGGTATCTTGCCTCTTTGTCTGGTGAAGATGAACACAGCGGGTCACCTGGGTTTGGGCCTTCTGATTATGCCTGGGAATATGAAGAATGCAGCATTGTTGTGCATGGAGGATGAGACCCTGTAGAAGATGTGTCCACTGAAGGTTGCTATAGGCTAGTCCCAGCAGGGCAGTGACTTTTGAGATGGTTGATGCTGTGTTAAGCTTTGTTTTCAGGGAACATGCTTGTCATTGGAGGTATCTGTGACTCACCATTGTGCTCAAAATTAGTTGTGAATTCTGGTCCTGCCACTGTCACTGTTGATTTGCTTAACCTTGTCTGAGCCCGTCTCTCTGGGCTGTATCTCCTCATCTATCTCTGAGGTCCTTTCCAATTGGAAGTTGCAAAGATTCATTGAGGGGAGCAAGGAAGGAGGAGCCTCAGCCTTTAGGAGCTTTCCTTTTTAAAAGAAAAAGGTCAACCCTTGGTTCTTATAGATGCTCAGAACATGTTCTTGGGGGAAAACGCTGAAAGGTTTGCTTTGGGCCCTACTGGGCCTGGGGAGGTCTCTGGAGAAGAGCTTGGGGCAGAATGAGAAGCAGCGGAAGCCATGGGTGGCTGCATGGAGGACGACGCACCCCACAAGGTGCTGCTTCAACCTTTTGACCACGCCAGTGGGAGGGGGGCACATCCCAGAGCCAAGAGTGTGCCCTGTAAATTTCTAGATGTGGTTTCACTGCAACTTTGCTTTTCTCTTACTCCAGAGAAGTGAGACCCTGCAGCTGAGGGAGCATCATGGCAGGTGAGTTTTTCCAGGCCTGGGCAGAGCCGTGGAGGGCCATGCCTAGGGGTTCATGAGTCAGGTTTCAAGTCCTTCCCAGCTTCCCTGCCCCCTACCCCCCAAGTGGGCCTGTAGCCATTTTCCAAATGGCTGAGTAGCAGTTTTGCCCTCTCAACTCTTTGGCTCCCTTCTGAAGTATATGTCACTTGTAGATGTGTACCTACCCAGGCTTCCCTGAGTGACACTAACGTGACAGGCCATAGGGCCTGGGGAAGGGTGCCTGCCTGCTGGCAAAGACATGCCAGCTTGGGCATCCAGGGGGAGTTGCTTTACATGGGAACCAGGAAGTCCCACCTCTAGGTGAACAACAGGAGCAAACGTCACCTCTTCTTTCATCCTTCACAGTCTCAACTTAGGCTTATGTGGGTGCAGAGCTCAAGCTATTCTGGTCAGCCTGTTTGTAGCTGGGTGTCTCTCTCTGGAATAAGTAGATATGCCCACCATCCAAAGACGGTATTGTAGGGAGATTCTGTGCCCCGTCTGTAAAAGCTTAGACTCTCCATCTGAACCCTGCTACTTCCCATCCCCAGAGGTGCTCTTAGGCTCGTGTATGCCCACTTGTCTGATCTAGCCTAGGCTGGCTTTGCATTAGACTTTCTTGAACAAGACTATTGATGCCAGACCACCTGGTGGCACAGGTGGATGTTCAGGTGGAGGAACACCACCCTGGTAGAGTCTTCTAGGATTATCTGGTATTAGTTCCACCAGTATCAGCCTTAAAGAGGAATACATTCTCATTGCAAGGGCTCCAACTTTCACTTTTCAAGGTGATGCAGAAGATACTGGAGCTTTAGTCACTGAACATTGCCTACTTACAATTCTTATTCTTTCTTGTTCCTGTGCAACGTGCACTTTCCTTGCAGTTGGCTACCATTTTCTTCCATGTAGCCAGGGACCTAAACCTTGTTGGGGCTGTGGTATTCTAGACAGGTGTATCATGGCACCATAGAATGTCAGCCCTTCCATCCCTTTCACAAAGGGCCGGCCATGTCCTTTGATCAGAAGCCTGGTGTCTTGCCTGCTCACTCGGCCTTGTTTCCCTGCATAATTATGCTTCAGTTGCTGGGCTGGGCCTGGTTTGAAGGAGCCCCTGGGCATCTCCCCATTCCAGGCCTCAGTAGGGCTCTCTCCTCAGTGTTTCTGGAGGCCAAGGATGCCCATTCGGTCCTGAAACGATTCCCTCGTGCCAATGAGTTCCTGGAGGAGCTGCGCCAGGGCACCATCGAGCGAGAGTGCATGGAGGAGATCTGCAGCTACGAGGAGGTCAAGGAAGTGTTTGAGAACAAAGAGAAAACGGCATGTACCACCCTGGGGCTGGTTCTGGGAGTAGGAGTAGCCTCAGGAATAGCAAGAACAGGCCCTGGTAATGCAGACCAATCAGAAGCAAGGAAAGACACCCAGCCTAAGGCATAGCCACTAGGGCCATCACGGAGCAGATAAAGTACGTACAGTCCCATTGCCTGACTCTTTTGGGGTCCTCCTCACTTGGGAGCATTGTCCTTTGCCCTTGGTACATTCTGCTGCCTCTCTGGTAACTCTGTGAGACAAGTCAGATGGGGAAGGGTAGGAAGCACCAGAGTTACTGAAGGCCTCTGAGCCCACCTGGAGCTTGAGCTTCTCTTAAGTACCACTTTTTCTTTTGCAGATGGAGTTCTGGAAAGGGTACCCAAATGCAGTCTACTCTGTCCGAGACCCCTCGCAGAGCTCAGATGCCATGTATGTGGTGGTACCCCTTCTGGGGGTGGCACTGCTGATTGTCATCGCCTTGTTCATCATCTGGAGGTGCCAGCTGCAGAAAGCGACCCGTCACCACCCCTCCTATGCTCAGAACCGGTACCTAGCCAGTCGCGCCGGGCACACCCTCCCCCGGGTCATGGTGTACCGGGGTACTGTGCATAGCCAAGGGGAGCCTTCTGGGCACCGAGAGGCAGCGAACAGCCCCCAGGTGGTGCTGGGGCCCAGTCGGGGGGGCAGGACCACAGTCCGGCTAGAGAGCACCCTCTACCTCCCTGAGCTCTCTCTCTCCAGACTGTCCAGCACCACCCCTCCCCCCTCCTACGAGGAGGTGACTGCGCCCCAAGAGAGCAGCAGTGAGGAGGCCAGCGTGTCTTACAGTGACCCACCCCCAAAGTACGAGGAGATAGTGGCCGCCAACCCTGGCGCTGACAAGTAGTGGGACGTTTGTGCCCTGTCCTGGATGAACGCCTCTTTCCGAGGTCTCCTATTTTCTTTTTAACTTTTTAAAGACTGTGCCACCACAAAACAGCCTTAGCCTCCTTGTTGCCAAATAATTCCCTAACTGTGGAGTTTTAGGAAGTCAGTTGTCAGAGACAGGTGGGGAGGGTGGGGGTAGGGACCACGCATGAGTCGAAGCCCCCGGGAAGAGCCAAAGGCCAAAGTGCCCAACTCTTTGGGATGACCCCCAAGCCTCCAACATCCTGTCTTTCCATCAGGAACTGGCTTCTCTTATGCCAAAGGAATAACCCCATTGAGTTGATTGTGGCCAGAATGTCCACAGGCCTGGCCTGGGGGCTGTGGGACTGGCTGGAGGCCTGCCTGTGTCTAGAGCTCTGGGCCTCAGGGGTAAGGGAAGGAAGCCAGCCTTTCAGCACCCCTTACCCTCCACAGTTCTGTGATTTCTGTCCTTGCTTACATTTGGAGGACAGGGACAAGGACTGAGCAAAAACAAAATGAAAAAATCATGACAAATAAATAATTAACACAATAGAACAAAACTCTAGCACCCGGGCCGTTCATAGGAGGCCAAGGGAAATTTATCACATGGATCTGTGATGTCCGCCTCCCCTAAAACCTGTCCCCACACTCCTGGAAGGAGGACAGGGTGTGTGAAGGATGAGGGCCAGAGGGCTGGGTGGCAGAGTTTCCTCTTCCACATTGACCAAGGGGCCCACGTGGACTCTGCCATTCAGTTTCTAGTGTGCTTGTCTCTCCAGACATGTGGACCAGCTGTGTTCAAACCACTACCCACTGGCATGAGCCTACTTTTTGCGAATGGTGCATTGAAATTGAACTTCAGATTGAGGATTTCTCCTTAACGATGGTGCGCATCTCAGGAGAAGATCCTAAAGTGTCCCTTTTAAAACATTTATTTGTGGAGAAGCCCGTGGCCTGGGGTTGAAGGCCCATATGGGGTTTGCTCTGCTGTTGCCAGGTGCCAGTCTGTTTTCAGTGAGGCTTTGGACAGCAGTGGGGCAGAAGGCACCTGCCCTTTAACTGTCAGTGACCATGCTAGACACTGTTGATACCACCTCCCCCTACTTCCGTCTCCATCCTCCTGACCTCAACACCAAACCATTTCTCCTCTGTGGTGCTTTAAAAATTGTAGCAAATTTTTGTGTGGTGCAAGAATGCATGGCCTGCGTCTATTGGCAACCACAGCAATTTAAAATCCACTGAGCTGACAAGCTTTTTTCTGTCAAAATATCTCTCTAAGGCAGACATTGGGACTCATTTCCTTGAATGCAGCCCTGCCTTCAGGCCACAGAGGACTTCTGGAGGCTGCTCTAGCCCTGAGGACTTGCCCTGGGACGTGCTTCCAGTTAGAAGGCTTGTGTCCCTACCCCAGTGAGGCCACCAGCTTGGACCACTCCACCCTGTGGCTGGGGTTTTCCATCCTTCCCCCTACCTCACAGGCCCGTTGGAGGCTGACTGAGCAAATGCCTGCGAAGTGCTTGAATTGCCGGGGAGCCAGCGAGGTTTGCCTTAGGAAGAGTCTTCTAGAAAGGTGTAGGTTATAAGGGAGCAGTCTTAGCTGAGGCCCTCATATGCCTCTGATGTTGAGTCTCCACTTGGAGAGTCAATCTCCCGTCAGTTGACCCTTTCCATCCTCTCGTCCTCCCTTTCCAGAGCTCCCTGATGCCAGAGATGCTGGTGAATGCAGGTGACATTCTACCTTTCGTTTCCTTGTCTTTCCCTCCCCTGGGCCTTCAGCATTGCACTCCTGCCCTTCATCACAAAGGGGTTTTTGGCTTAAGAGGCCCCTGCTTTTTCCATGTTGGGGGACCTGGGGAAGCCTGAAGCTCGGGGCTAGCCCTGGCTCTCCCAGTATTTCTTCAAGTAGGTGCCAGAGTGTGACCTGGGAGCAGGTGAGAAGAAACTTATCCCAATATGTCTACTCAGTTAGCACAGAGCCAGGCATGAGCTCCACTGATCAGAGCCAAAGGGAGTTTGCCAAGAAATGCCCGCTGCCTTTGGCATCTGAGTTGCAGCTGGGTGGTAATGGGAGAGAGCAGGAAGAGGCCCAAGGCCTGGCCCATGGAGGGCAACATGTGTCCTTCAGGGGCTGAGGACAGGCCGTGGGAAGAGTCACAGGAGGTTGCTTAAGGCCTGTGATGTTCGGTTCAGATGCTTCATGGTGTTCTGCCAGGTGGGGTTGCACCACGGTCTCTGGGATGGTTTCTGCAGCACATTGTAGAAAAAAGACTGTACAGCACACAGCAGGCATCACTCCTTGCGATGCACACTTGGATTTTATGAATGCCCTGTACATATCTTTTCAAACTCTGTGTTTGTATGGAGGTGGATTTGATACAATGCTGACTCTTTCGTGGCTACATTTTTGCTGTTTTTGGACTTCTATGTGTGTGTGTGTGTGTGTGTGTGTGTGTATCTATGTGTGCACGTTGCCTTTTCTCATTGCTTATCTGAAACAATAGCCGGTGTGCAGCTATATTTGTACCAGGAGGGATCCGGTCTGAAAAGAGGAATGTCACCTCCCCTCGCAGGGCTGAGTAGCCTGATGACAGGGCCCTGAGCAAGGAAACGTGGCATTAACTATATTGGACACCCAACCCCCAAAGTTGTCACTGTTTGCCTCCTTGAAAAAGGCTTTGGAAGAAGACAAAGCAGCTCCATTCTGCAGGTCTCCACCCTATGCAACCCCCGCTCACACGCCCTTTTGGCATGGTGCCCCTGGCCCAGGCTTCTGTTCTGTGGGTGTCAGCAGCTGAAAGAAATCTGAGTACTCCTGGGCATGGTTTTTTTTTTTTTTTTTTTTTTTTTTTTTTTTTTTTTTTTTTTTTTTTTTTTTTTTGTGTGTGTGTGTGTGTGTGTGTGTGTGTGTGTGTGTGTGTATGGAAAGATGTGTGACTATTGACTTTGGGTATCGCGGGACTAGTTAATTAGATGTTTTTCATTTTTCAAAAAGAAAAGGTTTTAAAAATTTTCTTGAAATGTGACTGTCACTTGTTTTCAACCAAAAACTTTTTAAGATTTTTTAAAAGAAAAATCGAAATCCTGTCCCTCCCCCGCTTCCCATCGCCTCCGGTTTTCAAAATGAAAGCACAAGTGCAAGAGTGGGGTGCACAGGTGCCTGGCGTGTACACACCACCCACACAGCTGCGTCCAGCCCTGGCTGAGGGAGACGCAGTGCTGAGCAGTCAGCCCCGGGAGGCCTCTTTTTCAACTTCCAATCCCACTGCCATGAATGTGAATTCCTTAGGGTGCTTCCAAAAACAGGAGTCTGCCTGATCTGTTGGACATTGCCTTTTTGGTAGCCCGAATATGAGGAATTCAGGACAGGAAAGTGTCTTTTTGTCAAGTAGTCAGAGCCGGATGCTTCCCCTCTCCCAGTGGGTGGAGCATCGCAACCCCCAGCCAGAGTTGATCTTTTGACAACCCAGTGACATCCCATGAGAAGGAAGAAAAAAAATTCAACACTGCCTCTAGATTGTTATTTTGTCCAAGAGAGAGATCATGGAGAGAGTCTCTCTCGCTCACGGAGGCTCTGTCTTTCTAGGAGTATGTGTGTGTGCTGTCTCATGTGTGGACACTCACAGTTGAGGCTGAGATGGATATCTTGGCAGCAGAGCTGCTGGTCTAGGTGGCTTTTCAGCTTGACAAGTAATGAAGCTCCATTTCAGGACTTCATCGATTCCGAAACAAGCACAGCCCCCCACCCCCCGCCACGGAACTCTACTAATACTAATCACTATAATTAGCTAATTTAAAAGTACGGTAATCAGACTGCTTGCAACTATTTTAAAAGCCCATTAATTTGAAGCCCACTACTTCAGAACTTCGAGAAAATCACAACTTAAGACAATTCACAGTAGCTGTGATTCTGGCTACATAAAAATATTTGAAATATTCTTCCCTTTAGTCAATGTTCAGGGTCTTTTGTGTAAGAGAAATCCAGTTTAAAATGAGTACCCTTTTCAAAGAAAAGGCTCAAGATATTAAGGATCCCTTCACCGTGCCTTCAGCTTTGCAGTTCAGCACTTCTCGTATGTACAGGGTGATCTCTTGTTCTCTCTCCATCACAGGGATGTTGGATATTGCAGCCTTTCACTCTACTCCGTTATTTATCCTGTGAATAACATAGTTTGTGAACTAGACTGCAATTTAAACTAATACACATGATGTATCTTTCTAAATATTCTGTAAAGCAGATGCTTCGCTGTCAGACTGGCCGCTCCATCATTCGCCTCCAAATATTCAAACGTGGGAGCTTTTCCTTTCAGACTGTGGGCAGCGAGTCTCTCTCTAGCAAGAATTTATCTGACAAACATACCCAAATAGCACACCCTCTCAAGCTCAATGCCTCAACAGTTGTTTCACTGTACTGATATCTGACTGCTGAACAGTGCCTGCCCTTCACCCACCCCCAGCCCGAGCATTAACACAGATCTTCAGGATTGGGACAAATCCCCCAGCTGCTTTTGCCTCTCAATCCATCTCCCCTCATCGATACCAATTTCCCAGGCCTGAACACATCTGTTATTTTGCTCTGACATTGTGAATTTGTGACAGTGGAAACCCTGATATGTGCAACTGAGCTTATAGAAATAATTACTGTGAAATGGATTAATTTTGATACCACTTTAAACTGTGCTTGTATTCATGTGTTGACCCTTGTCAGCTGGGAAATCTGTACATTCAGTATATGTCAGCATTTCATTGGAGCCTGGGGGCAACAGACAAACTTGCTTCTGATTTCTCTCTCTCTCTCTTTCTTTTTATAATTGTTGAATTTGGCTGTTACATTTTGTCTCCTTCTTTACAAGAAAACAATAATAATAAAGAGCAAATGGCATCCACTTGAATCCTGTCGTCATCCATCTTGGATCCCTGCTGACTCCCAAACTTCCAAGGGGTATGGGTGGTTGTGAGTCAGACTGTAGATAAGGAAGAAGCCCAAAACAGTCCAGGAGCAGGAAGCAGACATGTCCTGGGTCCTAAAGTTTGTCCCCAGTGTGTAAGATGATCTCCTGAGCCATCCTTCTGGGATGAGGTTGGTGAGATCTGTCAGAAATCACAGTTAGAAACTTGGTTTCAGAGCTGGGAGAGGAGCGGAAGGTATACAATACTCAGGCTTTGCCCTGGCTGGGCTTCCTAGGTTCTAAAGATGGCAAGGATCAGGGACTGTTCAGAGGGCAATAATGCCCAGCCTCTGCACAGAGGAAACATGGTCTTAGCTCCCAGAGATTCCCAGCTGTGGGTATGCAGAGAGATATAGCCACGGGAAGTCGCAAGTGCTAGTTGTGCCAACCCCAAGTAATGAAAGTCATCCGTCCTTTAATCGGGAAGACCCTGGAAGTGATGGGACAATGGCAATGAAATTTGGGACCTCCTTAGAGGACTGAATGTGGAGCCCAAATGCCAAGAATGGCAGCCAGAGGCCTTGGGGAGCTGGGGCTTGAGTGATGCTAACCTTCTGGGGATGCTGGAAACTCGAAGGCCCTTCAGGCACACAGATGGGGTCATATTCTGAACATAGGTTTTGAACTTTAGGCTCTTTTGCCAGAGACAAATGTTCTAGGCAGTGACTTAGGGTCCCAGGCCAGCCCATGCAAGGAAGCTAATACATGAAGGATGCCCTGAGCTTCCAAAGTCCCCTGTATGCACCATCCAATGGACTGGGCCTCCCCTGCTAATCTAGTCACAGGTTCTGGGGCCAAGGCACTTGAATTGCTTATAGACGATGAGGGCAAGTCAGGGCCAGGGACTTAATGGGGTGACTGTGGAGGGAGATGGTTCTATCCCTAGAGACAGGGGATCAGGTGAAAGGCAGACCCTGTGCCTCAAGGGTGTGGCTTGGGAAGGTGGGGTCCCTCTCCTTGCCCTCTCCCCAGCCTCCCATCCTGCACCAGTGCCACCCCCTCATAGTAGCTGACCTGAGGCTACAAGGAGTGACAGGATGGAAGGGCAGTGGGGAAAATGCCTGAATTGTGATTATAAATGATCATAGCCAGCATTTATTGAGCTCTTAGTGTATGCCAGGCCTTGTACATGCATTGACTGACACAATCCTCTCGAGAAACCTGCGATATGGGGTTTATAACTAACCCTAGTTTATAGCAGAGGGAAGCAAAGCCAGCAAAGGCATGTCATTTGACGAAGATCTCACAGAGAGGAAGTCCTGGATCCATCATGTGAATCCGGGTCTGTCCTGATGGCCCCACCCCAGGCCATGCACCTAGCACTGCTGGTCCCTTTTGGGGAAGGGTGACTTTGCGTTGGTTTTGTGTTGACTATAGATCCCTCCAGAATGCCCTCTTCCTCTCCCTGCCCTACTGGTAACCCCATTTGGGCAGGGACCATATATAACTTTTCTCACCACTTCTGCCCTAGAACACAGCACAGAGCCTGGATCACAGTAAGTGTTCAATTTTTAAAAACGTGTGGACTGATTGTGTTCTACAATCGGAGACCAAGCTCCATGTATTAGTTTGCTTGGGCTGCCAAAACAAAATACTACAGGCTGGGGGGTTAAACCACAGAAGATTTTCTCAAGGTTCTAGAGGCTGGAAGTCTGAGGTCAAGGTGCTGGCAGGGTTGATTTCTTTTGAGGCTTGTATCCTTGGCTTGCTGATGGCCATCTTCTCCCTGTGGCTTCACAGTATTGTCCCTCTGTTCTTTTCGGTGCTCCTAATCTCCTCTTCCTATAAGGATGCCAGTCAGATTGGATTAGGTCCTACCCCACTGACCTCATTTCCACTTAATTACTCCTTGATTACTCCTGCAGCCACATGTTGAGGTCCTGGGGGTTTACAATTTCAACATATGAATTTTAGGGGGACAAATTTTGGCTCATAATGCTCCACTCATGAGAGGAAGACTCTGTTGCTCCTTCCTCCAACCTAAGCACATGATGCACATTCTGGAAAATCTTGAAGGGTGAACATCATAGCTTCTCTGAGATGCTGGCAAAGACAGAGGGGCACCTTGTCAGTCTCCAACCAGTCCCCAAAGCAGTTTCTTCCCTGCCAAGCTGGACAGACTTGGGACAGCTGCCAAAAGTCTCCACAGGGCAGGTGAGTTGGGAAAGGAGAAGTGGGCTTCAGAATGCTTCTTCCAGGGTTCTTCTGTGGGAAGTGATGTGAGAACCCAAAGCCTGAAGAATAGACACAACGTTGGTGCCCCACAGGTTGTTTTTACAGACAAAATACATTGTTTTGGGGGATCACAACACCGCCAGCTCCAATGACATTAACTTTCAGCATTTTCTCTGAAGAGCTCAAACTGTGTGATGGGTTCGGTTTCACTAGGATTTCCGAGCTATAAAAATAGAGACTGGGTAACATTTCATATCAGGCTGGTTGCATGGGGTCACAGGAGCCCAGTGGGTGGGCAATTGGTGGTGGCACTGCTGGGTCCTTGGGCTGATAGGACATCTAGGGGTGGGTGCTGGCAGAGCATGGTGCTCCACAAGCTGGGGCATGCAGGTCCTGGCTGTCTGGAGCTCTGGGCATAGCTGGGTGGGGGAAACATCAGAACAGCTGTAGCAATAGTGCATGATGAACTTTATGCTAGGGGAAGTCCAGGGGGGTGGGGCTGGGGGCTTCCAGAGAAAGTCTTCCTGAGGAAGCCACGGCCAACCAAAGTGAAGGATGGGTAGCAATCAGCCAAGCAAAGACCATGGAAGACAATTCAGACAGGCAGAGGGGCAGCACGTGAAGAGGCCTGGAGTTCAGCAAGTCCATCTTGGTTTTAAGGAAACAGAAGACAGGGTAGCATGAGGGGAAAGACCTGTGCAAGATGAGATTTGCAAGATACATGGAGGTCGGCCTATGTGAGGCCCTTTAGGCAGTATTCAGAGCTGTAGTCTTTACCCTAGTGATAAGCGAAGGCCACCAAGGGGTGCCTTAAGGAGCAAGCGGGCATGGCCAGGCATGCTCTGCCAGCCATGTGGAAAACAGGCTGCAGGAGCCGAAGAATAAGAGAAGTCAGGGAGGTCAGGTTATTGCCATCGCCCAGGCAAGAGACAGCGCTGGGATGGATGAGGCTGATGACGGAAGAGACAGAGAGAGATAGACTGTTGAGAAGGTTTTTACTCAAACTTTGATGGGCACAAGACTATCTGATTGCTTAGAATGTAGATCTCCAGACCCCACCCTCAGAGTCTGATACCTTGAGTCCAGGGTTGGGCCAGCCATGTGCATTGTGACCAAATCACTCAGTTGATTCTTCTGCAGGGGATCTTTGGGTCACATTGGAAGAAACACTGAATTCTCTATTCAGGAGGCAGAACCATGCATGGTGACTGATTGCGTTGGGAAGGGGTAGTGAATAATCCCAGAGGACTTTCAGGTTTAGGGGCTCAGACAGTAGAGTAGATGGTAGGGCCATTCCCTGGAAAGGGTCACAGTTGAGGAAGAGCAGGTTTAGGGGAGCAAAAGACCACAGGTTTGAGTTGACGTGTTGCATGTGTGGTGTATAGCGCATTTGAGTGTAGTTGAGGAGGGAGGCCTAGGCTGCAACAGGAGAGATCAGAATTGCTTGAGGTCCCAGAAAGACAACAAGTGGTCTTGAGTGTGGACCTAATGGCCCAGGAGGGAGGCCAGACAGGTGGGAAGAAAAGCACTGGCATATGGAGCCCTGAAAACCGAAGGACTAGAGTGTTTCTAGAAGGAGACAGTGGACAATGATGTGAAATGCTTTCAAGAAGCCAAGGAAGATGACAGCCAAAGTGAACTCATTGTATGGAGCCATCAGGGGGTCATCGGTGACCTCGGCAAGGGGTGATTTCAGTTCCATGGTGACTGAAGAAGCCAGACTAGAATGAGCAGTGGGATGCCTGGAAGGTAACAAGTGGAGACAGTGCATATGATGGAGGCAACACTTTCCAGGAGTTGAGAAAGTTTAGCGGCAAAAGACAAGATGCTAAGGGGGGATTGTTTTGTTTTTTAACATTCAGGTCATTCCAATCCAACCACTATTTAGTGATCTTCTAATATGCCAGGAAGCACGCTAAGTGCTGAGGAGCCAGCAAACAAAGCAGACAAGGTCTCTGTTGGTCTCTATCTTCTAAGAGTGAAGGGCAGGTCAGAGTAGAATAGGGGCTGGAGGATGTTTTCTGAAATGCTCTGGAGCCACCTCCTCCTTGGGACTTCCTCTTGGTCTAGCGAGCACCCTGGAGTGTTAGTGTGATGGCCTTGGTTTATCACTGAATCAGTGAACTGGATCATATCTCAGCCCTCTCTTCCCGCCTCTGTCCAGCTTTTCCATCTGTAAAATGGGGGCATACTGGGAATAGTAACCACTTCATAGATGGGAACACCTGTCATTAGCTTCCTGTCTGAAAAAAAAACCCATGCAGCTTCTCAGGGCTGTGCTTCCCACCTTGGGCCTTCTTCCTCCTCTCCAACATCTTTCTCCAGCTTGGAGGGGCAGCTGCTGCTTGTGTTTTGAGCAGGTCATTTTCTGAGGTTTTGTACCACATTTTCTACCTCTTCCTTCGGCCTCTGATTCTCCTGATTTTTACATACACATCACAATTCAGTCATTGGGCACAGAAACAATTAAAAGCAGATGCATTTTGATCTGAGGAGTCACCACACAGCCGAGGCCAAGGATTTTGTGAGGTCACCTTGCTCAAACCCCCTTCCTGAGGATCAGGAAAGAGACTCTTTCCCACCAGCTCCCAGGGATCTCTGGACATAAGAGCAAAGTGCCCTAGCCTCTCAGCTGGGGGCAGGGTGACACTGGGCCACAGTGTGACAGATAGGCAGGAAACAAACCCCTCTGGGTCTCTGAACCTTCTGCCAGCTTTTGGGGGAAGGATTTCTTGGGCCAGTGAAGAGAAAAGGAGAAGGCAGAAGAAGGAGCAGGCAGTGACAGCAACTGGCTGCGCTGGGAGGCGAATTTCCCCTCTTTCTGGGTGCTGTTCTTTGTCACATGCAGGGTGGTCCCGAGTTGTTTCTAAGGCAGTCAACCAACAACAATTACGCTGAGCTCTTTGCAGCTCCACCTGAGCTGCTGAGAGAGCCTTCCTTTCTCAGGGGGAATCTCAAGGTGCTGTTCTGAAGGAACTCAGAGGCACAGCAGGATGGTCTCTGGACCCCTAAGCCTGGAGGACTGGGTTGTTTGGGAACCACTTAGCATCTCAGCAACCGCAGTCCTACCTGCTGGTTTGAAAGCCAAGGCTGACTCTGTGTCTGCATCTTTAACTTCCTTCTGCTGAAGCTGCTCCTCCCCCACCCCCCAGACTGTGCCAGAGTTTCCACCCATGCAGGGAAGACGTTTCTACTGATCTCAGCCCCCTTGGGAGGTAGCGAGCTGCCCCAGGAGGTGTGCAGTCAGAGGCTACAGAGGCCAGGGACATTGCTTGGGACAGATCTCCCTTGCGCCCCTCCTTCTTAGGTTTGCCAAGCTATAGTGAGCACCCACCACACTCCAAGACAGGCAGAGTGCAGCAGGGTTAAGGGCATGGCCGCCACACAAACAACTGCCTGCTACTGTCCCCACAGAGAGATGGACTTCTTTCCTGTCCATTTGATTCTCTGTTCACTACAGCATGAACTTCGTGAGGACAGGGACCTCATCTCCATCCCCAGTGTCTAGCACACAGGCAATCTTGATTCAAGGCAGAAAGCTAGAAATCAAGGTGGCTCTGTCCCCATGGGAGTGGGTCCTAAGGGCTGCCCTAAGTGGCCCTGTTACTTTTTATTTCCCTCTCTCTGCTCACAAGGTGGCCTTCCTTCCCTGGGCCAGCTATGGTCCCTGCAGTTTGACCCTGAATCCTTCTGTCTGTCCTTCCTGCCTCTTTAAGGAGAGGCGGGAGAGATGCAAGACTCTGCTAGTCTCCTTTCCCCTTCCTCTCTGGCGCAGGGAGGGCTTTGTGGCTCCAGGGATGACCTCAGTACCAGCTGCTTCCAGGAGCAGGAAGGAGAATTGTTTACAGGTCCATAAGGTTCATTAACAAGCCAAGAGGAAGCTCTCAGCTGCCTGAAAGATCCAGGTGCACCCATTTGCTTGGGTTTGGGGCTGTAGCTGCCTGAGACTGGGCTCTCAGCAGGGCTGGGAGATAGGAAGTCATCACACCCAGTGGCTTTTTTTACTTTCCTTCAAGACATTTGGCTTCAACGACCTCTTACATAAAGCCCCAATATAAGAAAGTGGTAAGAGCTGAGCTGCTCTGGATGAAGAACAGTAGAGTCTGCCTTGAAGCCCAGGCAGCCCCCACACACCTCCCTGAAACTTCCACGTGAACATGGGAAACTGAGGCTCCAAGCAGGTGAAGCAACCTGCCTAAGATGTCCCAGTGGCAGGGTTCTGAGTCACTCACAGATGTGCTGATTTTGGGCTAGGTTCCTGCCATCTCCTGCTGCAGCTTGCAAGGGAGGTGGGAGCTGGGGGCAGACAGAGCTGCGACCCTGAGCCGCTGGGAAATGGAGCAGAGTGCTCAGCTGACTGAACAGCTGGAAGAAGCTAGTGGTTGGAAGGCACTGTTGGAGGCAGATGATCAGGCTGGCTGGGGGCAGGCAGAGAAGACAGACAGACACAAGGGCAGATGGACAGGTAGGCAGGCAGCAGCCTGAGTTGGACACCTGCTCCGTGGGTGGCTGGATGCCCTCTAGGTTTCAGCAAAAGCTTGGATGCAATTAACTTTATTTGTTTGGTCCCCAGTGGAGGCTCTGTGCTCACGATCCCCCTTAGGGAAAAAGATGATACATTTCCTTTGGAGATACTTAGCTTGAAAGGAGGGAGAGTTTTTGTCTTATTCTTTTCTGTTAATAAAATAGCTCTTATTTTAATAAAGATCCAAACCCTCCAGCAGACAGTTCATGGGAAAGAAATACAGAAGATCAATAAACATATGAAAAATTGCTCAGGATTATTCATAATTAAAGTAATATAAATTAAAGCAACAATGAGATGGATATCATTTTTCACCCATTAAGCCTTTTAAATAGTTGCATAATATTCCTGTTGATCAGACTGGGAAGAAACACGGACTTTCTTCTAGGTGAGGCTTCACTTTGTGCAGGCTCTTTGGAGGCTCCTTTGACAATATTGGTCCATATAGGTCAAAATCATCAACACACATACCCTAGAACCCCACAATTCCACTTATAGGCACCTGCTGTGCAAACCCATTTACCTATGTGTGCAGAGAGACATGTTCAGGAATGCTCAGTGCTACATTGTTTCTAAAAATATAAAAGCTCTAGACACCCAAAATATCCATGAGCAAGTCAATAAAGGAGCAAGGGGAGGCAGCTGTGTAGGGAAATGCTATGCTGGGCTGAGAAGAAATGAGGTAGATTTGTTTTCACACGGAGAGATTCCCCAAAGCACATGGTTCACTTGAAAAAATAAGTTGCAGAATATGGCACACACCTCAGATGTAGGTGATCTCAATTGTGCAAAACACTGAACACTGAAAACATATAGACACACATACAAGCCAGGTATGTTCTGGACCCTTCTTTCCCCTATGAAGAAGCATCTGTTGAACCTTTGGGTGAGCAGAACCTTCCACTGGAGTGTTAGGGCTCTGCAGCCTGTTATGTACACTTGGCCATGTGCCATCTTCCTGGACCCAGGCACCGTGTGAGACTTGAAAGGTCTCTCTCTGTATCCCAGGTGCTCTAGTCCTTCGAGGCCCTGAGGTTAGCACACAGACTTTGGGGTAGGGGGCTTTTCAGAATGGTTGGAGTACGAATTTAGGGCCATTTCAAAAGGAGATTACCATGCAGATGATAATTATGAAATTATAATTAGCTAGCATGCTAAGAGACAAGTTCAAAGGCACATAGCAAACTCTCGTCACCTCCAAGTTGTCCTTGGCACTCAATCCAAGAAAGGAAGGCATGCTAAGGGGGTGAGATGCTGGGGTTTTTGAGTGGCATTGGGGGTTCAGGGATTGGGAAGGAATTCTCCCACCCTCTTTGCTTGGCTTTAGGTGGTGGATTCCTATGCCACCAGGGGGCAGTGCCTCCACATGCACCTGGACCCTGTGCTCCTGTGCCCAAGAAGCCCCACCAGGGCCAGTTGATAGCGAGACAGAAATCTGGCCTCCATAGCCCGAGGCCCTGTGGCAAGCCAGTGCCCACACTGCTCTAGCTTTGCTGACTTCTGAGTGCTCCTCACAATCCAGCCACCCTGTAGGGAGGCTTGTCCATGGGGGAGACTGACACCAAAAGAAGCGAGAAACTTGCCCAAGGTAAAATCTTGAAGTCATAGTGAGATAAGATTGTCAGATGGAATACAGGATATGCAGCTAAATTTCAATGTCAAATCAATCCATGAATCATTCTTTAGTGTAAATATGTCCCAAAAGTTAGTGTACGAGAGAATACTTATACTGTTGTTTATCTGAAATTTAAATGTACTTCGTACCTATATTTTCATTTGCTCAATCTGGCTGGGCTTCCCAGGCTCCTGAATCCCACTGAGCTGAGCACACTCAGCAGTTTCTCTGCTCCCAAGGTGGCCCTCCAGAAAGCTCGAATTTCATCACAGCTGCTCCACTGGATCTGGGAAGGGCTTCTTTGGGGCCCCCAGGAATGCAGGCAGGGCCTATATCAGCTCTGGTTCCCAAGCTGGACAGGTGAGGTGGGGGCAGGGGGCAGGCAGCCTCAGACCATGCCGCCCTATCTCAGCTACTCCTGGCCCCTTCGTTTCCACTTTCTCTCCCTTCCTTCCTTCCTTCCTTCCTTCCTTCCTTCCTTCCTTCCTTCCTTCCTCCCTTCCTTCTTCTTTTCCTCCTTCCTTCCTCCTCTTCCTCCCACCTGGCCCAGGGGCTCTGGGGGAAGAAGAGGCTATTTGTAAAAGGAACCTTATATAAACCTGTCCTGATTCCTTTTACAAATAGCCTCCTATTCCCCCAGGGGCTCTGGGGTTGTTTCCTAGAATGAAGGGTTCACCACAGGTAGTTGTAGCAATCAGGGTTTTCCAGAGAAACAGAACTGATAGGATGTATATATGTATGTATGTATGTATGTATGTATGTATGTATGTATGCATGTATGTATGTATATATCTGCATATGCACAAGTATATAGAAATTTATTTTAAGAAATTGGCTTATGCGATTGTGGGGCTGACAAGTCTGAAATGTGCAAGGCAGCCCTGCAGGCTGGCAACTCAAGGAAGAGTTGACATTGCAGTCCTGGGGTAGAATTACCTCTACTTTGGGAAACCTCAGTCTTTGCTCTTCAGGCCTCTCAGCTGATTGTGTGAGGCCCACTCACATCATCGAGGATGGGTCTCTACTTTATTTCAAGTCCACTGGTTGTAGATGCCAACCACAGCTACAAAATGCCTCCACAGCAACACCTAGACTAGGGTTTGATGGAGTCACTGGGGACTAGAACCTGGCCAGGTGACACATAAACCTGACCATCACAGTGGTCTAATCAGTAGGGAAGCTGAGGGAGAACTGGGACTTAGAAGGTGCAGGGCCTGAGGCCCCTGGGGGTTCTAGTGGCTGCAGTCAGGTCCCACCTCTCTTGCCCTTCTCTCCCTTTGTTATGGCTCCTGCCTAGGCTGACCTACTTCAGGAAAAGGCTACCTCCCGTGTCTGGGGACTCTGGATGGGGGAGGTAGGATACGCTCTCCAGAGAATCCCTTCTGAAGGTGTGGTATGGCCTGGATTGCTAGCACCTAACTCTGTTGTGGCCACTGTTGGCTCTCGGACCCTGTGCCAATCCCTGTTTCTTCATAGAAATGATGGAGGGTGGACCCCACCCTTCTCCCCATGGGCTAAATATGGAGATTCATGAGCCAGAGCAGTTCTCACAGGCAAAGGCACGGAATTGTATCTCTTCTCCTAAGTTGCTTACAGAGTAGCAGAGGAGAAGGCCACTGACCTAGCCAGCAAGATACAATAGAAACAGAAAGTACTGTGTCCAAGGCCTCAGCCTAGAGAGGGAGTCTCACTCCACCCCCAGATCTGACTATATCTTCCTTGAGCTCCTGTTTCCGGAAGAGGTGATTTTCTGAGTGTGACTCCTCTGTTCCTGGCACCCTGTGCATCCTTAGCCATAGCTTACAAGAGAACAGCTGGTTGTGATGGCAGGAGGCCCTCCCAACACCAAGGCGGAGATGGAAATGTCCCTGGCAGAAGAACTGAATCATGGACGCCAAGGGGAAAACCAAGAGCACCTGGTGATAGCAGGTGAGGATCCCCTAAAATACCCCTAGGCTACAGCCAACTGTGTAGATACGTGTCTATACCTGTGCATGTGTGTGTTGGAAAAGGTGCATGTGTGCACGGAAGTGTTTGCACATCTGTGTGTTGGCCGGGCTTCGAGGATTTGTGGGTTGATGTAAGGGAGCTAGGGGAAAAGGGATAGATGATGTGAGCATTTTTCCCTGGGAGGGAGGAGGATGGGAACAACATGTGTAGTACCTCTGTCTCCCCCTTATCCAAGCCACCACAGTCTCTGTTGCAAAATACTCAGAGGGCTCAAATTATGAGACCAGAGATCAATTCTCTCTCCCAATCCTCCAATTCATTTTCCTGCCATTTGGAGGAAAATCCAAATTCCATGATCTATAAGATTGTATCAGCCTCCTCAAAACGTTTCATGCTATGATATAGACAGAAAATACCATTTCTATAGCACACAAAGGGATCCAGATCACATTGCATTTATGTTTGTTCTTACGATGCTCCAAGCCTGCTTCTTCCCCCAAAGACCTTGCATTTGCTGTTTCCTCTGCCTGGAATGCTCTTTCCCTCAATTTCCCAGGGCTGGGTCCTTTTTTTCCTTCAGGTCCCCACCTCAATTGCTGTCTCCTACTTTTCTAGGAGGAGCCCTTTCCTTCCACTATGTTACCCTGTTTTGATCATTTATGGAGCCTGCATCTCTCTGTCTGCATTTGCAAGGATAGATTGCTTTCTGTTTTACACCTGTCATTCCCCCTTATACACAAACAGATGGTCAGTTCCTTGATAGCTGGAATCTTGTTCTTGGTCATTGGTCTCTAGGTTACTGGAGAGTAACCTAGTCTCGAGCTCAGCCCTCAGGAAATTCCGGTTTAACTTTTGAACAGATGAACAAACTGAGACCTGGGATCAGCTGATGGACAGTGGTTAATGGGTGCTGAGTGATTCCCAAGAAAGCTGGAGACTCTGTCTTCTTTTTGGTGTGTTTTGTGCCCAAGAAACCCTGGTGCAACTTCTATGGGTGCTCCTGGAGCTTCTGTTCTTCTCTCTAGAAATGATGGAGCTTGGATCTCGGTCCCGGGGTGCCTCCCAGAAGAAGCAGAAGTTGGAACAAAAAGCTGCTGGCTCTGCTTCAGCCAAACGAGTTTGGAATATGACTGCCACCCGACCCAAGAAAATGGTACTGTATGGGGTCCTCAGCACTTGGTGGCCAGGTTGGGGTTGGGAGTACTGGTTGTAGGGGCTCTAGCCTGACCAGGTCAGGCAGGGCTAGACGTTGACTTGTGAGGAGGAGGAAGCTCCTGTGCTCCAAGCTGGCAAATGAGGACAGGAAGTTCCAATTAAAGGTCAGGGTCATCCTTTCCTATGCTGGGGGTTCAACCTTGGGAATTCAGAATGCCTGAAACAAATATTGCATGGGGAGTACATAAATACTTTACTCTATAAATCTATTGTGTGAAATAACGCTTTCCTGTATTTAAAATTATGTGTGTGGTACGTGTGTGTGTGTGTGTGCGCGTGTATACACACAATAAGTCAGGTGAGGCTCCTATGCTTTCTGGCTGTTAAGAAATCCAGTCAAGTGGACTGGCATGGTGGCTCATGCCTGTAATCTCAGCACTCTGAGAGGAGGAGGCGGACGGATCACTTGAGGCCAGGAGTTCGAGAACAGTCTGGCCAGCATGGTAAAACCCCGTCTCTACTAAAAATACAAAAATTAGCTGGGCATGGTGGCACATGCCTGTAATCCCAGCTACTCAGGAGGCTGAGGCATGAGAATTGCTTGAACCTAGCAGGCAGAGGTTGCAGTGAGCTGAGATCATGCCACTGCACTCCAGCCTGGGCAACAGAGTGAGACTCTGTCAAGAAAGAAAGAAAGAAAGAGAGAGAGAGGAAGGAAGGAAGGAAGGAAGGAAGGAAGGAAGGAAGGAAGGAAGGAAGGAAGGAAGGAAGGGGAAAAGAAAGGAAAAGGAAAGAAAGAAAGGAAGGAAGAAAGGAAGAAAGAAAGAAAGAAAGAAAGAGAGAAAGAAAGAAAGAAAGAGAAAGAAGAAAGAAATCCAGGCAAGTGAATCTGACTATTTTGTAGGCAATCCTTTTAAGCTACATTCAATATGGGTGAAGGAATGTTCTAGAACAAATAGTGGCTATAATGTTGCAAATGATATTGGGAAAACACAGTCATTTTGGAGGGGGAGGGAAACCTGACTATTCTACAGAATTAAGTGAGTCCCACAGTTCTGTATCCAATCATTTTAGCTAGCTACATTCACTGTAGGTAAGGGAAAGTTTTAGAAAAATTGTTGTTATGCTGTTGCAAAGGCTGCTGGGAAAAGGCAACAAGATTGGAGAGGGAGGGAGGCCTGACTGCTCCAGGAAATCATGTGAGTCCCATAGTTCTGTACTTTAAGCTACATTCATTGTGGGTGTTGAATGTTCTAGAAAAATGCTGGCCACATTGTTGCAAAGGATACTGAGCCATTTTGGAGAGGAGGTAGACCTGACTGTTTTAGGGAATCACGAATCCCATCATTCTGTAGCCAGTGCTTTTCACCACATTCAGATGGATGAGGGAAAATTTTAGAAAATGGTGGCTTTACTGTTACCACAGTGAAGTTTGAAAGTTACTGGGGGGCAATAAGGTTGGAGAGGGAGGGAGACTCGATTGCTGAAATGATTTATTGGGTGGCCCCAGTGAAGAATGAGAAAAAAAGCTTCCAGGTTAGAGGTTTCCTGGGAATAAAAATAAGTCAAATATTGAGTTGACTTTTTGTGTCCAAAGACAGAAGCCAAATCAAGTTGCTCCAGGAGGTCAGGCTCCTGCAAACCACTAATGTCCCTGAGACTAGGGGAGATATAATCTCTGGTTTAATTAAAGTTGACTACAAGGGCTAGAGGTAGACTGTTTGAAAATATAGACATTATATTGAATTTATAAATTAAATTTAGAAATTTAGAATTAGGAAATCTAATTTACTAATTCTATTTATTTATTAATTCATTCATTCCTTTATTTTTGAATAAAACAGTTAATGGAACTGCCTCTAGGAGAACCATAATATGCAAGGGTGAGAAAAGTTAATAATGCTATCCTGCTGACTTGGAAAAAAGCAGTGTGCCTTTAAAATTACATGGAAATTAAAATAACATTTTTTGAAATGATTAACAGAGAGAAGTTGGGACTTGGTGGGTTAACAACAAACTATGTTATCTGAAACAAACAAACAAATTCCAGCCATCAGCCATTCATCCTTATTTTTTGCCTTCAAATCTCTCAAAATTTTTTTTGTCCTTCTGATTCCAATTTATAGGAAAATCAAGCAATGGTCTGAAAATTTTTCTAAGAGACATCATTGATCAAATTATAGTCATGGGGTCTCCCTAATACCCATTATCTTTTTAATGCAATTTTTGAAGTATCTTAAGAAAATAAAATATTGTGACCATGAACTACGGTTCATAAAAAAGTTGCACCAATATCTGTGTGCTCCTCTTGAGAAAGATTAGTTATGCCTTATTGCAACAAACAGAGTGCAGTGGCAAAGTTCCTATGAAAATCCTTTACACAGAAATTGATCCACCTTCAGTTTGATGTTGTTACTTCGGAACAGAAGAGGGCTGCAGATATTTCTCAGGTGACAGGTGAGCCTTGGTTGTCTATTTTTTTGTAAGAATGAGGCAAATAGAAGAGCTAACCCAGTACTCTGTGCGCCTCAGTCAGGCCTCTCAAATGACAGGCTCTACTTCAGCAGGGTGAGCGGGTAAGGAACTGGCTGTCATGTGGGGCACCCTGAACCCTGCCAGAATGAAGACGGTTTTATTTTGTGTCACTTTCACCCCAGCTTTCTTATTCATTTGGTTCAGGTTTTGGCTTGGCGGTAAGTGCCTGGCTGCCAACCAGGAGTGAGAAGTGTGGATGACTGCTTCCTACATAGATCATTAGTTAAAGGCCCTGTTTTCCTCCCTCCCCTCCTTTCTTGTGATATGCCGCCATTGTCCTTGCAGGTCTAAGTCCTCTCTGGATGCTGCTGGCGGGGGCCTCCTTTGTCAGCTGAGTCCCATCTGCTTCCCATCCACAATGAGGCCTAGTTCCTCCATGGACACTTCCTAGATTCCAGAATTTTATTGAATTCTTTCATTAGCTGATGCCTCTTGTGTTGTCTTCTGTCTTATGGGTTTGTACTGTTTTACTGTCTTCACTGGCAATTAGTGGAGCCTTAACAGGAAGGAGTGTTAAATATGAGGGACATCGTAGTGTAATGGCTGAGAGTATAACCTCTGGACTGAAATGTCCTGGGTTCAAATTACTGCTCTGCTACTTCCTAGCTGTGTGACTTGGACAAGGTAATTAACCTCTCTGTGTTTCAGTTTCCCCTACTTTCAAAACGGGATGATAATGATACCGTTTCACAGGGCTGTGACGAGGAATCAGTCACTTAGTATTGGTAAGGGCTTAGAGGATGGCATGGTCCCTGGCATGTGGTGTGTGTTAAATAAGCAGCTTGTGAAACATTTCATCTTGAACTGGAAACCTAGAACTATGATTTGAGCCCAGGCAGGTCTGGCACCAAAAGCCACGCTCTTTTCCTCTATCCCCCACTGATGCTTCAAAGGCATCAGATGGCCCTGGCCCAAGGGCTCTGGGCCAGAGATGTACATGCTAGGGAGTTGTTGGCAGATGGATAAAAATGAAAGCCACAGGGATGGCTGGCTGAGCTTACCCAGAGGAGTTGCTGGTTTCCCAGTAGCCAGGGTTCTAGCCTTAGCCCTGACATTTACCACGCATCCTTGGAAAGTAAAGGCATCTCGCCAGGCCTCCATGGCCTGGGCTGCCAATCAAGGTTTTACGTTCTCCTTCAGTAGGTTGCTCAGCCTCTCAGCTAATACCTGCATGTGAAAGTTCTTGCAGAGGACAGGGACCCCTGTTACTGCTCCTCTTTTGCCACAGCCTGCCTGGATGACCAAGAGCTACCGAGGAGCATGGTGTGGGTGGGGTGGTGGCCAGCAGCCTGTGTGGGGTTCCCAAGCTTTCCTAGCGGCCTGAAGCTGCCAGCCCTTGATTCCAGAGACCAGGCACCATGTGATTCCCCATGGGGTGCACCATTGGCTCTGGGCAAACTGGAGAAGCCACTCATGTGGGGTTGGGCAGGCTACTTTACTGACCATTCCTTTCTTCAGGGGTCCCAGCTGCCAAAGCCCAGAATGCTGAGAGAATCAGGCCATGGGGATGCCCATCTCCAGGAGTACGCTGGCAATTTCCAAGGCATACGTTTCCATTATGATCGGTAAGAGCTGAGGGTCTGTGGGCCCTGGCTGCTCAGACAGGGCCCGGAGTGGGGCAGAGGGGCTGGTGAGCAGCCTGGCCAGGATGGAGTCATGAGGGCCTGGAATGCCTCCCTGTCAGAGACCATGAGTACCCTGGCTCCCTGCCCATTTGGGGCATCCCAGTGCTCTGCGGCCTAGCCGAGTTGGGCTGGACTGGGCTGGGCCAGGCTGGCTCAGGCTAGCTCAGGCTGACTCCCAGCCCTCAAGGCCCTAGGCCCTCTTTACCATGGAAGAGGACTGGAGGCTGATAGAGTCACTGTCCAAGAAGATCACGACCTTACCTGCTTGACCTCACTGCCTTCTTGTGCTCCCTGCCAGGGACCACCAGCAGCTTTGACCATCTGTCTTTTTTCTCTCCCAGCAACCCAGGGACAGATGCAGTGGCGCAGACTAGCCTGGAAGAGTTCAATGTACTGGAGATGGAAGTCATGAGAAGACAGGTGAGGAGGGACCCAATCGGTGGGTGCAAGCAGAATCACAGTGCCTTGGAATAGGCAGGGCTCGACAGCTGGGGTCCTGTAGTCCCTTACAGTCATCTTTCCCTTTAGCGCTGGAGGTGGGGCAGATTCCCTTCCTCTTCCTCCTCATCCCCATGGCTCTGACACCCCGCATAGATGTCCAGCCTCAAACTCACTGCTGTCCCTGAGATGCTGGTAGGGAATAGGGGCAGATAAAAGGTGGAGGAAGAGGGAACATACAAGGATAAGGGTTCTATGTCCAGAGAGAGAGTGATACCTAAGGGTCTGAGAGAGGGGTCGCCTTTGTTCAAACCAAACCCAGACCTTCTTAGGAGGAGATCCTTTCTTCCTTGGCTCCCCGGCGCAGCTGGAATGGGCTGGTCTCTTCCAGAGAAGGGAAGTGAACATAAGGGAGAAGGCAAAAGTGGGGCCTGCAGACGTAGCAGCCAGGTCTTTGGTCCCGCGGACCTGGCCCAGCCTCCTGCTTCTCACTAGGGGCGCTCCCCGCTCCACCGCCAAAGGGCAATCAAGCCCCTTCTTGCTCTAACTTTATGCTTTTCCCATGGCTGTGCTGTGGGCTTCTGGAGAAGAGCCTCGCTCAGCAGCCCTGCCTTTGACTCCTCTGCAGCTGTATGCAGTCAACCGGCGTCTGCGCGCCCTGGAGGAACAGGGCGCCACCTGGCGCCACAGGGAGACCCTGATCATCGCCGTGCTGGTGTCGGCCAGCATTGCCAACCTGTGGCTGTGGATGAACCAGTGATCGCCCCAGCGCGGCCTCCGTATTGGAGCCCTCCCTGCTTCCCCTTCTTTCTTTCCTCTTTCCCCAGGCCGCCACTGCCCTTGCCCCTTTCATCTCCCAGCAGCCCTCAGGAGCGTCAGGATCATTTTCAACTCTGGTTAGGCCTCCTACCTGGGGAGGCCAGGTCACTGCACTGGGAGGTCCTGGCTGCTGCGAAGCTGGAGGAGGACTGCGTGGGCTGAGATGCCACCCTTTGAAGGGTGAACAGCATGGCGGCATCTGGGCCCCACAGTAACACCTAGTGGCAACCTTGCCTTCCTGACCTCAGCGGCCCTTCTGTTCCATCCTCTGTGGGCAGGGGTGTGGCTTTGTTTTCCTCCCTCGTTTGCTTCCACCTCGTGCACAGCGCTCTGCACAGACAACACGCTCAATAAAAGTTCAGCCATAGCAGCAAAACCCTGTGGCTGAGGTTCCTGTGTCCAGCACTCACTGGGGGCAACAGTGGAGGTGGGGTGCGCTGGGAAACAACAGCTCCTCTTCACAGAGACCTTGTGGCTGGGACTGAGCCTCTGCCATTGCCCCAGGGGCCCTGGTTCCCTCCTCCCTTTCACCTCCCCCACCTCCCTGTCCCCAGCCCCAGCTTTGCAAAGTTCTTCCTGTTGGGCTCATGCAAACCAGTGCTTGTGGGGGTGTGGTTCTGGGAGCATGTCTGCGCTGTGTTGCAGGGAAGCAATCAGAGGAAATCTCCTGAAAGGGACCAGAAACCTCATTTGCGCAAGAGGAAATTGAATTCCAGAGAGAGGAAACATGTCCCTGGGTCATCCAGTGAGACAGGGCCTGGATGTGAGTTCTCTGGCGTGAGTTCTCCTGAGTCCTACGCTAGGGCTTGGCCTGCCTCCTGCAGACAGACTCACTGGAGATGAGGTCCTGCCTCAGCTCTGGAGGCTGAACGGGAGCTACACATACCCCTCACCCTACCCACCACACACTCTGGGTCCACAGCCCATGAAGCACACCTCAGACAGGGTGAATAGCTGGGCTGTCCAGTGGGGCTGAGCCTGAGAGGTGGAGAATGTTGCCTGCCATGTGGGGGCCTGACCACAGTGCAGATGTGCCTGGTGCAGGAGGCCTGCAGAGGAGCTGCAACCCCTTTCCCTGGGACCAAGGGCTCAACACACATGTCTCTGACCCAGAACTTTCTCATTGGCTTTAGTTGCTAAGTGCACCTTCCCTAATCCCCCAAATCTGTCAAGGATTCTCCATCTGTAAAGACTGGGAAGCGTGTTAGTCCCTAGGTATGAAATGAACGTGTGTGTCTGTGTATGTGAGAGAGAGAGACAGAGAAGAGACAGGGAGAGGAGGGGAGGCGAGGAGAGAAGAAAGGATGGAGGAAGGGAGAGGCAGAGAGAGAGATACAGTCAGCGATACAGAGCGGCAGAGGGAGGGAAGTTAGAGTAGAGAGAGAGAGAGAGAGAAGCTTGAGTCCCAGAGCCTGCTCTGTCCCTGCTCCACCTCTTTCTCTCTGGTCCTCAGTGGGCTCCTATACAATGAGGGGGTTCTTCCACGCCTGACACTCTAGGGCTTGCAATACTTCTAAGATGAGGATGCAGGGCCTCCTGTCAGCCCTGTGGGACACGAGGCACGTGGCCCCTGGAGCCTGGGCCCTGCTCAAAGCAGAGAAAAGGACACCTAGGAAAGAAACACCAGAGAGAAAGATTCTCTCTCTGGTCCCAGAGCACAGAGGTAATCAAGTGCCACAGGAAGCCCCTCTGCAGAATGGGGAAACAGCAGCACCCAGATATGAGTACTTCTGGCCAGGAGAGCCAAGAGGGCCAGGGAGTACCAGGGGTGTTCCCTGTCCTCTGCAAATGGGGCCTGGGGCCCCAGGAGTCACCCATGGGCTAGATGGAAGACTGGGGGACCTCCTTGCAGGCCGCCCCTCCCCTTCCTGCAGCTTCAGGACAGAGCAGGACCCAAGATACAGAGGAATATTAAGGGAAGCAGGGAGATGGAGCAGGGGCAGCACGTGCAGCTTCTTGCCATCAGCCCAGTGCTCCAACTGCCATGAGTCCAGCCTTCACACTGTCTACCCCGGGCTGCCCCTTTCTCCGGCCCCAGTCAGGCCCCACAGGGAAGCTCAGAGGAAGAGGAGGCTGCAGCTGGGAAGGGCTGGGTCTGCCCTTTGGGACCTGAGTGTTTGTGAGCCTGCACAGACATGGACATGTTTGCAGAAAAAGTCTGGCTGAAAATATGTTGTGAAACAAAGGTTCACCCTTGGGAGCAATTTAGTTGAGTTGCAAACAAACAGCACGGCAGTGCCCTAGAGGAACGTCTCCTGAGCCAGGTGGGCTCATAAGGAGCCCGTGGCTGGGCCTCCACCCTGCCTTTCTGTGTGACCATTTGGCTGGTTCCCAGCAGGGCTGGAGGCCAGTTCCTAGAAGGGCATTCCTGCTCTATCTCTAGAACTCCCTGCCCCACCTAGAAGACCTCAGGAAGCTCCTGAGAGGAACTGGAGTCAGAGCTGCCCAGTCTGGGCCCCTCTGCAATGTTCCTTAAGGGGCATGGGGACCATATTGTGGGGGCTGGCACATCTGTGATTCCCAAGCCTCTGGGAGATCCAGGGAGGCTCGGGGGCAGAGTGCCAGGAGGCAAGTTGGCACCTCCTGCCTGGCCCTCTGGCTCTGACCCACCTAGAGCATTTGCCCATCTGATTGCATTTCTCTGCCAAACTGTCCTTGCCTTGCCCAACCTCTCCACCCTGAGCCCAGCCCTTCCTCCAGCAAGCCATGAACTTCCCCATGGTGAAGCAGGATGCTGTGGGTGAATGAAGGAGGGAAGGAACTCATTCTTACTTGGGGGTGGGGGAGGGGATTCTCCTGGCGTGCTGTTTTTCTCTAGTCTTTGAAGCTTCCCAGGGGCTGCCCAGGCTTAGTATTAGAGGGGTACACATCAGTCCTCCACTGGATCAGTAGCTTCTTGAGGGCACAAGGTAGCCTGCATTGTCTTCTGCACTCCTGGAACAAGTAAAGGACTGGCAGGATGGCCTCTGATTAGGGTCCCCAGAGATTGAATCTAGCCCTGGTCTTCCCCTCCTGGCCTTTAGGGTATGCCTTCTGTTGAAAACCTTTCCCCACCAAAGGGAGCCAATTCTATTCTTCGCTTCCTACGGCACACCTACTCTGTGCCATGCACTTTGCATCTTAAAAATATTTAATTACGCAAGTTGTGCATGAACACATTCTCCCCAAAAAGGCAAACATTGCAGGCCTAGCTAACACAGTCCCTTGCACCCCAAATGCCAAGTCCCTCCACTGAATTATTTCCCATGGTTTGGTTGGTGCGTATCCTTGCGAACTCTCTATGCTGTTCCATGCAGATTATGCGCACCTGTATGTATCCCAGGCTTTGCACGCAGGATGTCATTTAAGCCCCTCCTAGCAGCCCCCTGAGGGAGTGGCTTGTCTTCCCAGCTGGCTGCGCAGGTGGGCAAAGCTTTAATCCTCCATTTATGTAGTTCTCTGCCCTGCCAAGTGGGCCCCTGGTCCCCCGCCAGTCCTGGTCAAAAGCTGAAACTCAATATTCCAGTTCTTTTGTCACAGGCTGGCTTCCTGGCAGCTGGTGGAAGGTGGGAAGAGGAAGGTGGGCATGTGAGGAGGGGTACATGAGGGTGCATGGAGGGGACTCTGGTGTACCCAGGAGCAGCCTGAAATCCTGGCTTCTTGGAAAGGAGCCCAAAGCTCACTGCCCCAAGGGTCTTGCCTTGTTTCCCTTCCCTAACCCCAACCCTTCTTGGAGGCCAAGTCCAGGGGACCTGGCAGAGAAGGTATGGATTTTCCCCTCAGGCCAGCCCTACCCCAGGTACCTCTTCTCTCAGATTTCTCCCTGGCTTGACCTCAGATCAGGTGGACTGGTTGAGATTGTGCCAAGGTCTGGAGGCAAGTACACCAGGGCTGTGAGCTGGTGGGGTTGAATCCCCAGACACATAGCTCTGAGCATGCTCCGTGCAAGGCAGGGCTCCTCAGGGAGCTTGGGAGGGGCTGGCTTCTGGATCTGGGCAGGCAAGCAGCTTCTACAGCCAGGCAGCCCAGCACCCAGCCCTCGCCTGCCAACAGCCTGGGGTGTACAGTGCCCACAGACAGGCCAGCTTCTCCATTGGGCAGGTGACACCCTGGGGCAGCGTCTTGAGTTTGCCTTAGCCATGAGCATGAGCTCTTCTTGGCCTCTGCCAGCTTCTCCTGTTGGCCTCAGGCAGGGTGGGGCAGCTCTCTGACCCCGAGGCTGCAGCTAAGTTGTCAGGGGCTCAAGGGCCCCGCTGGCCTGAGGGGCAGGAATGGCAGGAGATCTCTGTTAGCTCCAGATGCCGATGAGCCCCCAGTGGTTTGTCTCTGACTGGAGGTTGTGCAGAAGGACCAACGGATGCTGACTGGCCAGGAGAGCCCCTGCCTCTGAAGCCATCTGATTGGTGAGGAAAGCGGCTGACCTTGGGCTGATACCTTTCTGTGACCACAGGCCAGTTACCTCCATGGGGGTACAGAACTGGAGTCCGTGAAAAGTGCGTGGGCCCTAGAACCTGGCTTGACATGGGTCTTCATATGTGTCATCTGCCGAGGGAGCTGAGGAAAGTGGCTGTGTTGGGAAACTTTGTCCCCTGTTAAAGCAGCCAAAGAAATTATTTGGGGCTCTAGGAGGGTGGAGGCCCTGAGTGCCACACAAAGCTTGTCCTGAAGCAGCTGGGACTTTGTCCTTTCCCAGGAGGGTGGCAGGGAGGGTTGCTGGAGCAGATTTGGAGCAGAGGGACGGAGGGCCTGCCCGACAGGCAAGCTTCAGTGGGAGGAAGGGGGGAACCCATAGGCCTTCACTGCCTGTCTGACTCCGAGCATTTCTGGGCCCCTCAGCTTCAGAGCACGGGCAGTGTTCACTTGGAGCCTGTGGCTCTCTGCATATGAGTAGCAGTGGAGGTAGGGGTGTGGGTTATGTGGGCTTCTCCCAGGAGCCATGCTGGGATTGCAGCCTTTGCTTTTGGCTCTTTGAACTGTACCCTGACCTCTTTCGGAGATCCTTAGAGGGGATCACCCACTTCAGGCCTCTCAGGCTTGGGAGCCAGCCACTCTGCCATTTGGGGAAATGCATGTGGGGTGAAGCCCTTGGAGCTTCTGGCTGAGGGAAGATTCTGGAGCCAGGCAGCAGGCCTGGGGCAGAGATAGGCTTCCAGGGCTGCTTCAGGCCTGGTACCCCGTTTGGGCTCCCCAGCTGAGCTTGCATCCATCTCAGCTTGAGCCCAGAGTGGCAAGTGTAAGCTCCGTCCATGTGAGACTGTGGCCATAGGAGGCAGCTAGTATTGGAGCAGCCTCATCTCTAGACATCCTGCCAGTAGCTGGGTCCCTGGGCCCCTCTTTCTGCATAGCTGGGCCCCCTCCAACTGCTCCTTAGTACCACTCATCAGTGACCACCTTCTCCAGAGGGAGGGACACTAGTGCTTGGACTGGACACATGCATGTGGCAGACAGAATATGTACCTGGTTGATCTGCAGGTGTCATGGTGGCCACAAAACTGCCAAGACCAGCCCTGGCCACACCCCCACTAAGCTCCAACACAAAATGGCCCCACAGGAGATGAGGCTGCATACATGGGTCTAGTGACAACCTGAAGGAGTTTGAAAGCCGGAGTGCAGAGTTTGGAATGTATTATTTAGATGATCCTTCCATCCATCCAACAAATACTGGACATGATCCCTAATCCTGGGATGTAGCAGGGAACAAGAAAATCTGTAGTTCATTGTCAGGAGATGATAAATCTATGATACAAATAAAGTGGGGGAAAAGTGAACATGAAACAAGGTAGACTTGGGAGAATCATTCATTCATTCATTTACTTGCCAAATATGTATCAAGCACTTATTACGTGCTTACCATTGGGCTCTGCTCTGCAGATTAATGACTAAAAAAATTAGATGAGTCCTTGCCACATAAAGTTTATTTCTAGAGTGCGGTCTTCTTTCCATGGGTTTTCAGAGGAGCAACAGACAGGACCAGGTGTAGTCCTATGAACTCACCCTGGTGATGTGGAAGATAAAGGAAAGGAAGAGCTGGGATCTGGAAATAGAGAAACAGTGAGACTGTGACAGAGTCTGGGCAAGGCCCAGGGCAGCAGCAGTCAGAATGGATGGAGAAGAAGGTGCTAGAGAGAGATTCCAGCAGAATAACAAATATGATTTGGGGAGCGGGTGCGAGGTATCAAGGATGACTCCTAGGTTTCTGAATTAAGCACATGTGGGGCAAGATGTGCCTTTCTCCAGATAAGGTGCTGGGGACAGAGGAGCTGGGGCGGAGGGGCAGAAGTTCATGTCAGTTTGAACATATTGGTTCCAGGGGCCCAGTGTCTTCCTCTAGGAGACAGAGTTGGCCCATGGGCACCTGAAGATATGGAGCTCAGGAGGGGCTTCTCAGTGAGGTCAGGAGCATTTAGGGAGATGAGCTACAATCACTAGGGTCCAGCCTGTCTTGGGCGGCCTTCTAGGAGGAGCCTCCCCTGGGGTATGGACTGTATGTGGCTGATGCCAGGCATATTGCCCCAGCCCCATCTTTGTCTATAAAGAGACGAAGCCTCCCTTGGCAAAGCAGCCCAATCATGGTAAGTTTGTCATAGTGGTGTCCACACTAGAGACTGTAGCCCCTTGTCAAGGTAGTGATCAACCATGCTGGCCTGCCAAGCCTCTTGGGCAAAGCCCTGCCTTTTGTGTATCCTTCTGGAGATTTTATTCATTCAACAAGTAGTTCTCAAGGACCTAGTTCATGAAGCTGCTGTGCTGGAGCCTGAACTCAGGGAGGCTGAGGCAGCTCAGACTCAAAGGCCCACTACCTGCCTAGTGAGTGCCCGGCATGCTCTCCACCTCCAGCTCCTGCAGCTCACCTTATCACAGCTGGGCCCCCCCCCCCACTGTCCCTCCTAAGCCTGGGCACAGGGGGTCATGGCAGCTTCAGCTCCACACTCAAAAGTCAGCCCAGGAGCCTGCTGCTTCCAGTGCAGTTCTGACCATACCTCTCTTTTTAGTACTTGTGCACTTCCTGGCTCATTTTACCTTCCAAGCTGGCCCTGTGACTGAGGGTGCTTTTGCAGCCAAATTGCTTAGGTATGAATCTGTGCAACGGGGATAAGAATAGTGTCAACTTTGTCAGGTTGTCATGAGGTTTAAACGAATTAACTTATGTCAAGTACTTAGCACAAGGTAGCTGCTCCATGAATGAGAACCTGCCCCTGAATCACCAGATTCCAGCTTCCTGTCAGGGATACCCACTTCTTCCTCTGGGACTTAGCTATTGCTGCTCACCCACACACCTCCCTGCTTCTCTGCCTGTCTGCCCTACCACCCTGCCCCCCATGATGTCTATGACTCTCCTCTGTAGCATTCTCTGCCTGCCACCCAAGACTTTTTCCACTGCAATGGAAAATATCTGATATTAAAACATATCAGATATTGACTACCTGGGGGACTAGTTTCTGGCTAAGACGTATAGTAGTCTGACTCTCTAGGCTGTCAACCATGGAGAAGATCCCTTCCCAGTATCAGTGGAAAAACTTTGGCTTGACCTGGTATTAAGTTGAACCTGAAACCAAAATGGGCTGGATTTTTGTTGCTGTTGTTGTTTTAAACTAAAGTTTAAAGTAATATTTTATTTTATTATATAGCCCTATAACCTCCCTTCCCGACTACAGACATCACACATTACAATACAGAATATCGGACACTATAAAAAATATACAAAAGAAAACAATTTCCCCACACCCTCAGAATTGAGAAATAAAGTCTTGATCTTGTGAGTTTATGTATCTACGTGTGAATATATATCACACATGCATGCATGGAAATTATTAACATAACAGAACATTCCATTTTGAAACCTGGTATCCCCCTGACAAGAAGTAGTCTTTTACAATAGTAATACCATTTTAAGGGCTGCATAGCATTCCACCCTATGGTCTTGGTTCACTCGGTTAATTGATTAATTCATTAAGGTATACGTCACTGTGACTAGCATCCTTGCACCTGTATTTTTGTGATTTTACTGTTTTTATTTTTTTAATATATTGACTTGTAAGATCTCTGTTTATAAAAAAAATCAATCTTTTTCTTTCTCTGTCAAATTTGTTTTCAGTTTATTGTATTCTTTTAAATGTTGGGTTTAATGTGCATTTATGTTCAATGTTTTCTTTCATGATATTGTCTTTCTAACTCAATATTATGTAAAATGTTTCCTACTGTTTCATCATCATAGTTTTGTTGTTTACATTAAATTTTTTTGTTGATACATAGAGATGATAAATATTTATGTGGTACACGTGATATTTTGGTGCATGCATACAATGTGTAATAATCAAATCTGTGTAACTGGGATACTCATAATCTCAAACATTTATTATTTTTTGTGTCGAGACTATTTCAAATCTTCTCTTTTAGCAGTTTTGAAATATACTATGAATTATTAACCATACTCTATTTAAAACATTTATTTTTATTCCCAGTACTTATGCGCTTCATTTATTTTTCTTGCTTATTGCACTGACTGAGGAATCCAGCACAGTAGTGTTTAGAAATGGTGATAGTTTACGTACTTTTTAAAATTCCTTTTACAAGAGATCACAGTGGAGCAATCTCAGCTCACTGCAACCTCCACCTCCCATGTTCAAGCAATTCTTGTGCCTCAGCCTCCCGAGTAGCTGGGATTACAGATGCCTGCCACCACGCCCAGCTAATTTTTGTATTTTTAGTAGAGATGAGGTTTTGCCACATTGGCCAGGCTGGTCTTGAACTGCTGGCCTCAAGTGATCCACCTGCCCCAACCTCCCAAAGTGCTGGGATTAGAGGCGTGAGCCACCGTGCCCTACCTAGAATTCCTAATCCCATGAAAAAGGAAAATAATTTCTTAATATTGAAATAGATTATAATTATATATAATATATATTTATATATTATATATATATTTCTATGTATATATTAGGAATAGAAAGAAGGTCCTTTCTATTTCTAATTTCCTAAGATATTTAATGTATACATATGTAACAAACCTGCACGTTGTGTACATGTACCCTAAAATTTAAAGTATAAAAAAGAAAACTCTCCCTTTATAGCTTTAGAAAATTGCACAAGAAAAAAAAGTAAATAAGTTCTGAATTTTGTTCAATATTTTTTCTATACCAACTGGGGTGATGTAATTTTTTTCTGCTTTAACTAGATCAAGTATTCTAACTATATTGATTGAATCCTTTAAGTCCTTATTGAGCTTCTTCTGCTTTTCTATCAAGGATGGGCTGGGTTGTATGAGAAGCTGGGACGTCTGGTTACTTAGAGAAACCGGTTTCATGAGCTACTCCCTCACCAACCCGCTCCCCAGGAAGACCTCCTGCATCTGTTCTCCCCTGCTCAATGCTTCAGGCTCAGGAGTTCCCTTTTCTGAGCTCTGTCTTCTGAGATTCCTCAGAACTTCACCAAGATCTAGTCTTTATGTCTTTTTCCCTCTCTCTCCCTCTCTTCCTTCCTTCCACCAACATGTAGGCAATGCTTTTCAGGAGCCACCCTCAGTGCAGTGCAGGGATGTAGTGGACAAGAACACGGACACTGATGCCTGCCCTCAGGCAGTACACATTGTAGTGCAGGCAGTATTGGCAAGAAGGGTGGCATAGTCTGAATACAGGCTTCACCCTAGGACCAGGGAAACTTGGCAGAAAGCTGTAGACAGGGAGAGGGAGCCTGGGCATGCTCTTCAGGGAGAAGTTAGAATGCCAAGCCACCCTGGAAGCCAGCAGTTGAGGGTCTGAAGGCCCAGTCAGTCACAAATGTCTATCTGTCAAAGGGCTGATGGTGGCGATAAATAGTGTGACTTGACGCAAGATGAGCTGCAGTTTTCCAAGGGCAGCCAGAGAGTAATGTCCAGTTGGAAGTTGGAAGGAAAGCCTGAAGCTTAGCAGAGAGGTCTTGTTGTCACCTGTACCTTTGTTAGTGGATATTAGATGCCATCTGTACTTTTGTGATTCAGTGCATAATGTGTCTTCTTTCTCGGGCAACTTTTACGATTTCCCTATTATCAGTGGATGTGGGCACTTTGATACTCACATGCCTTGGTGTAGTTTCCACTGACGCTTTGCCTTTTGTTGTTGCTGTTGCTGCTATTGTTGTTTTCTGATTGTCTTTTCTCTCTGTGCTACATTGTGGATAGTTTTATTGTCTAAATAAATACTGTAAATTCATTTTAAAATAAGTTTGTCTGTATGTTCACTAATTCCTTCTTCTGCAATATCTGATCTTCTGTTAATCCCATATAGTGTAATTTTCATCTCAAATATTGTAGTTTTCATCTTTAGAAATTTGACTTGGATCTTTTTATATATTTCATGGCCCTGCTTAACTTTTTGAACATATAGAATATAGTTGTATTAGCTGTTTTCATATTCTTGTGTACTAATTGTACATCTGTGTCAATTCTGGGTTTATTTCAATTGATAGATTGTTGCCTCCTCATTATTGAGAATTTATTTGCATGGCTGATAATTTCTGAGTGGATGCCACACATTGTGATTTTTACTTTGTTGGGTGCTGTGTGTTTTTGTATTTCTAGAAACATTCTTGAGGCTTGTTCTGGTGTGAAGTTAATGGAAAGAGTTTGATCCTTTTGGGTCTTGCTTTTAAGATTTTTCAGTAGGACTAGAACAGTGCTCAGTGAAAGGACCAGTTATTCCTCATGAGTGAGGCAAGCCCCTTCTAGGCACTCTACCCAATAGCCCATGAACCACTAGGTTTCCAGTTTGACTGGTGGCATGAGACACTATTCCAGGCCCTGTGTGAGAGCTGGGAACTGTAATGCCTAATTTGGGGGGATGGTTCTTTCCTAAGCTGTGGGTAACCCCCTCATCAGTGTGTGCAAATAAGCACTCAGATGAATACTTGGGACAGACTCTTTGCAGGTCTCCAGAGCTCTCTCTGTGCAGCTCTCTCCTCTGCAGTACCCTGTTCTGCAAACTTTAGCTGCTTTGGTCTCCTTTCATTCTGTTCTCTGTGTCCCTAACCCAGGGAGTCATCCATCAAGTTCCACCTGCATTCCCCTCTGTGCCATCGTCTGGAAACTCTCACAAAGGAGTAATCTGGGGCAGTCACCAGATTCACATTTGGCTCCTGTCTCTTAGGAATAGCTATCCTTTGTTGCCTAACGTTTATAGTCTTGAAAACTGTTGTGTCGCATATTTTTTCTATGTTTGGTTGTTTCATTCTGGAGGAAAAATATGATCCCTGTTACCCCATGTTGGCTAAGAGGAAAAGTGTTGCATGTTCCTTTAAAATCAAATAATTGATATAGCAGAATCTTATGCTGTGCAATGAAAGTAAAAAGAGAGGGAGTAATGGACTGGGAAAAATGCAGGGACCATGCATAGACTACTCATTTAAAACTTATTTATTGAGCACCTACTATGTTCCAGGCACTGAGAAAAGGTGGTAGCTTTGATTAACGTGGTAATGGTGGAGATAAAAAGTGATTGGATAAGAGGTATGTTTTGAAGGTAGAGCCCATATGATTTGCATATATGTAGAGTCCATGGGGTATGAAAAAAAGAGGAGTCAAGGATGATGCTGAGGTTTGTGACCTGAGTAACTGGGAGTATGGCTTTGCCTTTACTGAGATGCAGATGATTATGGAAGGATAAGCTTTTGAGGGGAAGATAACTCACTTTTGGACATATGGAGCCTGAGATGCCTATTCAAAATCCAAGTGGTTATGTGAGGGAGGTAAATTACTATCCATGGGATAGGTTGAACTGGTGTTAAGAGTTTGCAAGTCATCAACATACAGACGTATTTAAAGCCATGAGACTGGAGAAGGAGGTGATGAAGAGAGAAAAGACAAGAAGTCCATTGAAGGACTGAGTTTGGGACACTCCGACATTTAGAGTTGGAGAAGAAGAGGAGGCCTCTTCAAAGAACACTGAGAAGTGGCCAGTGAGGAGGAGGAGAACGAAGGGAGTAGACTCTATTATTTCAAGAAAGATGGCGTGGATAAACTGTTAGATGCTGCTCAGAAACACAATAGAACATGGACAGAGAAGTGACTTGGGATAAATCGTGTTCCTGTCTATCTCTTACTCTGGGACCACCACTGAGCTCGAGACTGCCAGACACTTCTTTCTAAACTCAGCACCCAGCAAAGGACCTGGCACATAGTAGGTGTCTTGGGGATGTGTGTGAGATAGATGAGTGAATGAATGGGCCATGAACTGAAACTTCTAATCTTGGCTATATGATGAACTTGTTCCTTCTCTCTCTGACTTGACTTCTCTAGGAAGGAATTTTCCTCAAAATTCTTTCAATAAACTCCTTGACTAGGCTGGTTTTTCTTTAAAGTCCTGGGCTGGCTGCTCAACTTGTGGATAAGGAGAAAAGAGGCCTACAACTCCACCTTGACTGTGTTTGGACTTTTTACCAAATAATCATGCCTTACTCTAGGTTGTTAAACCACCCTCCTTGAGAATCCCACTGCTCATCTAAGATCTGTTGCCCATCTCTGTTCTCTTTGGTAGGTACATGGTCTGTCATCTTCCTTGCCAAGCCTTTTCTTGTCCTCGCACTTGTTTGGTATCTCCTGTCTGTCCTTGCAGCAGCTATTGCAAACGTTCTGGCCTCCAAAGTCTGCACCTACTGCTGCCTGGTGTCTCTGAAGATGAGATCCCCCCATCCCTCCCATTTCACTTAGAACACTGGGGTTTTGCAAGAGTGAATCCCTTCAACTGTCTTGTGGCCTGTTTCTCAGCAACCCCTTCCCATTGTCCTGGATTTGTCTCCTGTCACTTCCTCTGGTACCTGAACCTTCCCATTCCACCCATGTTTCATGGGCTTCAGCCTCAACTGGAGTGGCTCACAAGCACACATATTTTTATTATCTACTGAATTCCTCCTCAAAACCTTTAAGCTTGCTTTATTATCTTCTTGACATAGAAAATAACAGCAACAGCAAGACAGAGAACCTTTGTCAGCCCCCTATCCTCCTCCAGTTCCCACTCTATCTTTCCTCTTTTTCTTGCTCAGTCTCTTAGAAAGACTGAGCTATGTGCTCTATCTCTTGTCTGTCCCCTCCTACTCCTCGCTTGAAACTTCATGAAACAAGCTCTGTTTGACCACCACTCCTTGACGCTACTCTTGATAAGGTCCCCAGCGAGGCCTCTATTGTTCCACCCAGTGCCCGCTCCAGCTCTCATCTCAGGGGGAAGAAGTACCCGGCATAGAACACTTATCTTCCTGATATGGGAGGGGGGCATTGGCCTTGCAGACAGCTCCCTTCCTGAAAGTTCTGCCTTCCCTGGGAACTCCCTCATGTTTCTCACATCCCCAGCCTCATTCTCCTTCACTCACCCAGCCCCTCAGCTGTCTTTCATGGTTGCAGCTCCCCAGAGCTCTACCCTTAGCTTTTTTCTCTGTTCTCATGATATGGGGATGGACACATCCCCCTGAGAGCTTTACCTGTAATGTAAACCCTGGTGATCATGCGCCCACCTCCAGTCCAGACCCCAGTGAACACTGAGCCATCTGGAGTCCACTGCAGCAGGCCTGGAGAGCCATGTTGAAGGCTTGAGACCAGTCCAGGGCCTTGGGGTTGGAGGGCAATGGGTGGACAGAACTTTGACGCTTTTTGTGGGGACAATCTACTCAGGGCAGAGGCTGCTTGGATGTGATAAAGGAAACAAGGAGTTACGGTTGACACCAGGCTTCCAGCTTGAGTGACTGGGAAGAGGGCAGGCCCCTTTCAGAGGTGGGTAACTTTGAGGAGGAGCTGATTTGACATGATGGTAGCTGGAGCCTTGGGACTTGAGGTTTCCTGGAGAGGGTGTATACATGAGACCCACCAGCCCCACTGCCTTGTTTCCAGCAAGCAGCATGAGGGGGCAGTTTCTGGCAAAGGGGAGGGTGTGCAGGCAGTCAGGCTCAGGGACGGGTCTGTTTCCTGGTACAGAAGGAGCAGGGGTCATGGGGTGGGGGAATCTGCCTTTGTGACAGAACCTTAGAGAGGATGTGAACATATGCTGTGCCCCCAGCACTGGCCTGGCCCTGGATTACAGCCCTTTTGATCTGCCAGCTTCATCTTCAACACCAGCTTTTCCAGGAGGCCAGCCCTGAAACTCTGGTGCGAATGGCTCCGGCTTTGTTTGCATTGCCTGAAACTTTTTGTCTCCATGGTCTGCTGCCTCCAGGGTCCAAGCAGGGACTCAGTGATGCTGGTTCCTTTCCCTCAAGTGCCCTCGTTACTATCCTGGTGCCATAGTTCCGCAGAGAGCACCAGGTGAGCATCTCTGAGGCTGTTTGACGTGCCTGCCATCGCCATGGTGACAGCTTCAGAGGCTGGAACAAGCTTAGGCGGGGGTTGAGGGAGCTCCAGGGACAGCTTCCGGACTGTGGGTCCAGCAGCATGGGCTGTGGGAAATCTGGGGGTCATGCTGACCATTTCTGCCCACACCTGGTAGGGCATGCCAACCAGCCCTGGCAGGGAAGAGCTCCTCCAAGTATCTCCTGACTCTGTGGCAAGAGACACTGTGGGACACAATCTCCTGTCCCTCCTCTAGATTGTTACCTCCTCGGCTGTTCCTTCTCCATCTATTTTGTGGACACCTCATCCTCTGTGCAACTCTGAAATATTGGGGTTCTCCACAACTCTGCCCCAGACCCTCACTCTGTCTCCTCTTTCTTTGTGATCCCACCCACTCTCTCCATTGCTCCCCACATCCACTCCTCTGAGTCCCATTCAATCTCCTTCCCAGATAGTTCCGCACTCTGCCCTCTTGTCTTGGGCTCCATTGGTACTCTTGTCCAGCCTCCTCCCTGCCCCAACCTTCACCCTTGTTCTCCCTCTAATGCAGGCTCCACAGAGCAGCCAGAGGGATTTTTCTGGCACAGAACACTGACTTGTCCCTCTCCTGCTCTGCGCAGAGGAGAGGGCCCTCACTATCAAACTATCAAAGCTGAAACAAAACAAAACAAACAAAAACTGTTTAAGCCATCTTCCTGTGCCTTCGCTTTGCAGATGTCTGGCACATGCTTAAGCTGCCGAGCAGCTCCAAGGCAGCCACTGCCCCAAAGCCCTGGCCCAAGGGAGGAGGTGCGTCTCCCTGGCCCAGAGCAGCTGCTCTCTACCCCACACCTCCCCAAGCCACCCAGCTTTCTGGTTCTCCTCACTGGAGACCACCTCAGAGCTCATGCTCCTTAGGGAAAAGGGAAGCTACTCTGGGTCAGGGAGATGCACTTCCTTGCTTGGGCCAGGGCTTTGGGGCAGTGGCTGCCTTGGAGCTGCTCGGCAGCTTAAATATGTGCCAGACATCTGCAAAGTGAAGGCACAGGAAGATGGCTTAAACAGTTTTTGTTAGTTATGTTTTGTGTTAGCTTTGATAGTTTGTATGTAAAAAAATACTGGGGTAAAATAGAAAAGCAAACGCATTTTGTAGTTTAGCACTGTTTCCATTTACAATTACATATTAGGGTTGGGGGAGTACCCTCATTTTCTTGGGCCCTGGTGCCTGGCATTTAGGGACTGCTGAATCCCACTGCCCTGACTGCCACAGCAGTGCCTGAGGGTGCTGAGGTTGGCCAGGTGGGCCTGGGTTCTAATCCATCCTGTTCACTTGCCACTCTCCCACTCTCTGTGGGTGTCAGGGTCCTCTGTGACCTTCTTCTTGGCCCTCTTCCTGGCAGATAAGTGCTCTGGTTGTACATGGAGGATGACCGAAAAAACCAATGGTGTGAAGAGCTCCCCAGCCAATAATCACAACCATCATGCACCTCCTGCCATCAAGGCCAATGGCAAAGATGACCACAGGACAAGCAGCAGGTGAGTCTGCATGGTATCAGGGAAGGTACAGAGGCTGCTACTTCTTCCCATCTCTGCCTCATTGTCACAGAGCAAGCAATCTTTGTCTCCAGGACAGCCTCTAAAAAGAACATGGGATTTCTAAGCATGACCCAGGAGGGGAGACAAGTCATGCCCTGAGAACCCTGGGTCAATTCTGCTCTTTTTTCTGCAGGCCACACTCTGCAGCTGACGATGACACCTCCTCAGAACTGCAGAGGCTGGCAGACGTGGATGCCCCACAGCAGGGAAGGAGTGGCTTCCGCAGGTGGGTCCCACCACTACCCTGCTGCTTCCCCTTCCTGTGCATGGAGCCTGTCAGGGTGGCTACCACTGCCCTCCTCTTCACGGTCCCACCAGTCCTGTCCACCAAGACCTCCAAGGAGCACTGTCACTGGTAGCCAAATTTAATTCCGTCCTCCTGAGGTCTGGGCAAACCCCAAGGCAGGCAAGCTCAGAGGGGCCAGAAGAGGCCTCCCTTCACATTTGGCTGTCTCAGCATCAGGGAGCGATATCCTTCCCGGTAGAGAGACCTAGGTAGAGGACCCAAGGCCTCTCTGTCCCAGAGTCAGAGGCTCCATAGGGAAAGCAGGAAGCTCAGGGCAAGCTTTACTCATGATAGTTCCTGCCTTAACACCACCTCCAACTTTCCCTGAAGACCTCCTGCTTGCTCTTCGCACCATCAACTGAGATGGCACTTCCTATAGGAAGTCTTCCCAGGACAGCAGTCTCCCCCTGGACTGCATTCAGGGTCATGCCTGAGCCCCAGCCCCCTGCCCTATGGCCTCTACCCCAGCTTTTAGCACACGGGAAATCATGGTCTGGCCTGTTTGTAGGTTTCACTGTCCTTCTTTCATCTTCCTTAGCAGACAGTGAGCTCTTGGGGACTGGTGCTTTCTGAACAGCATGAGTCTTGGCTCTGGCTCATACTCTTTTTCTCTCACCTCTAGGATAGTTCGCCTGGTGGGGATCATCAGAGAATGGGCCAACAAGAATTTCCGAGAGGAGGAACCTAGGCCTGACTCATTCCTCGAGCGTTTTCGTGGGCCTGAACTCCAGACTGTGACCACACAGGAGGGGGATGGCAAAGGCGACAAGGATGGCGAGGACAAAGGCACCAAGTACAGCTGTTCAGCCTATGGGACTCAAATGGGCTTTAAGCATGCAATGGAAGAGCTCACTGGGGTTTCTATGCTACTGCTAGGGGCTATGACAAGCCCTGCTGTAGTAAAAAGAGTGGTGGGCAAGGGTGATTTGCAATGTTTTCACCTCCAGAATATTTCCATTGTTTCCCCAACAGCCAGTGGCCTACTTGCCATGAGAACCTCTGGTGTCTTTTCTCGCCTTAGTTGCCTCTTGCCAGATGTCCTCTTGCTGCACATGAATGTATAGCCCAGTTCCAGTGGTCAGGAAATACTGAGAGGGTGCATTCAGGGAGTGCCCTGGAGGGGATGCCAATCTCATCTCCACTGTGGGCAAGGAAGTGGGTCTTTGAAGAGATCATGTAGAGGGATGGAGGAGAAGCGCTGAATGATGGAGCAGGATAGCATGGGGAGGGCAGAGAAGGCAGAGCTGGAGGGTTTGTCTTTTGAGGAATGAGAAGGCAACTGCAGATGTCTGGCCAAGCTGACATTCCCCACCTCTGGCTAGTGGAGAGAAAGCAGGACACAACATCCCTTGTCAAAGCAGGACACAACATCTGGGGAAGTGATTTGGAGGCTGGAGGCCAATGACCAAAAAGGGAGGGTGAGGTGGGCAGGAAGCTCATGGTGCTCACTCACCTGGAGCACCTCTCTCTAGGGAGGGATGTGGGAATAGGCCTAAGCCCCAATTATCATCCTGTGGAAATCCCTTCCCAGGCCCTGAGACCCACCACTACTGAAAGCTCTGCCCCTTGACATGCCCTCTGGGCAAGGGGCCTGTAACGTGCATGGGAACCAATGGACCTATCTAGGTTCAGAATGAGAAGATGGGTGCCCCCGCCCATCTGAGTTCCACTCAGATGTCCAGTACCAGGTTGTAGTTCCCTGAAAAATGTGGCCCTCAGCCAACCCATCTTTCACCCCACATATACCCTTCGGCAGTGCTTTTGCTTTCTCAGGCACTTCTGGTTTCTGGGAGCTGGGGTGCTATCACACTGGGGGACCTGATCCCCAAACCTTGCCTTTGTCTGTCTTCTCAGGAAGAAATTTGAACTATTTGTCTTGGACCCAGCTGGGGATTGGTACTACTGCTGGCTATTTGTCATTGCCATGCCCGTCCTTTACAACTGGTGCCTGCTGGTGGCCAGGTGAGCAGGGTGGGGCCCAGGAGGGGTGGCCAAAGCAACCCAGTCTTCAGACCCCGGGATTGACGGCGCAGCAGTCCCTGGATACCAATGGCACCTCCAACTTCTCTGTTAACCCCAACCCTCTCCCCATTTAATATGCCATGAAGATTTCTTGTCTGTCCTGTGTCTGGGACAACTACAGTGGTTCCACACACCTAGGGTGCATCCTCCACATTTGCAACAAACATGCTTGATAGCAAACTAGGATTTGGTGATGCCATTCCCTCCTCACAAACCCTTAAGTGGCTCCCCATTGTCCACAGGAGGAAGTTCAAGGTCTAAGCATGGCCTTCAAACTCCTCTGGACCTGACCTTTTTCTCTTGCTACACCTTCTGGATACACCCCAGCCCCAGCATTCACCACTCTTGGATCAGAACATGCTGTTTCCTCTAGAGAAAATTCCCTTTCCCTTCCATTTTCCACCTATGGAGATTCTTCTCCTTGCAGGCTAAGTTCAAAAGCCACTATCTACATGTAGCTTTCCTTGGCAGCATTCCCCATCCTACTCCGTCCCAATCCCAGTCATTCATTCAGCAAGGATTTGACTGAGCACCTCATGTGTGCTCAGTGCTGGGGATAATGTGATGAGCACAACAACCATGGTCTCTGCTCTCCTGGAGCTCTCAGGCTAGTGGCGGACAGTGACTGTAAACCTGAAATGAAACAAATGACCAGAATGATGCCAGGGCCTGGTGGCTAGAGAAAGGGCAGTCAGGATCAGCGTCTCTGAGGAGGTGATGCCTTAGCTCGTGGGAGGGAGGCAGCCAATTAGATACTTGAGGATGGTGGAGGGAGCATTCTGGGCAGAAGAAACAGCAAGTATGAAAACCCTGTCTCGGGATGGCCTAGTGTGGCTGGAGGCTGTGAGTGAGCCATCACTGGCATGGGCCAGCTCTGCAGTCTCAGTGGGAAGGGGAGGGGGCTGGAGTTTGAGTCTGAATGTGACCAAGTAGTCAGACTTAACGGCTCTCCCCTTTGACTAGTACACTCACTGGACAATCATCCTGGGCTGTGTCCCTGACTCTGCTCTCTCCCCAGTCCTCTCCCTACTCAGTTGCCAAATCCTGCCACTTCCTTTTAAAAAGTTCTGCAACCTCCAAACTTTCTCCATTCCCACTACTATTCTCCCTCTCACGTGTATTGGCTAGTGCTGTTTATTGGGTGCTGAATAAGATGTATGTTGAAGAGATGAGCATGGAGATGGTTCAGTTGTGTGCTGTAGTTTATTCTTCCAATGACTTGTTCATTCATTCAACTCACAGCCATTGAGTGCTCAAATCCTGTTGCCCTAGGTCAGGCATGGGGCATGCCGTAATGACTAAGAGGGGTCCCTGCCTTCCTGGAGCTCACAGTTCAGAGGGTGAGACAGAAAATTAATGGTTAGTGGTGCTGTCTATGTAGTGATGTTATGTAATGAGGAGGGGTGGGGCAGAAGTTACTTGTAGATAAATATCTCTTGGCATCAGGCTGACTGTGACTAAATGATGCCCCTGGTAGCCATCCCAAGCCCTGCACACAGTGAACACTCAGTTTGGGGCCTCCAAGGGACCTTTGGCTGGCTTTGGGGGTGAAGCTTAGCCCTGTCCTCCCGCAGAGCCTGCTTCAGTGACCTACAGAAAGGCTACTACCTGGTGTGGCTGGTGCTGGATTATGTCTCAGATGTGGTCTACATTGCGGACCTCTTCATCCGATTGCGCACAGGTCAGTGAGCAACTGGGATGCAGGTAAATCCGAAGGCCTGAGTCCAAATTTTTAGGAAGCCCACTGGACATGGTGTTGGACTAAATTGCTTGGGTGGGACTCTGGTAGGTGAGTACCCTTCTTTGAACCTCATGGTCCCACATGCATAGAGAGGTTTTGATCTCGGGGTGTTCTCTTAGAGTCCTTCTGGCCAGCCCTGGTATGTGAGCTATATCCTTCCTTGGGAAGGAAGTTTCAGTGAGCAGTAGTTTCCTTGCCTAGAGATATTAGCCTATAGGGAAGGATATATATATATATATGTATATGTATATATATATGTATATATATATGTATATATATACATATATATGTGTATATATATATACACATATATATGTATATATATGCACATATATATGTATATATATACCCTGAGGGCAGAGATGACATGCTGGCTTTCATCTCTACTAGGTTTCCTGGAGCAGGGGCTGCTGGTCAAAGATACCAAGAAACTGCGAGACAACTACATCCACACCCTGCAGTTCAAGCTGGATGTGGCTTCCATCATCCCCACTGACCTGATCTATTTTGCTGTGGACATCCACAGCCCTGAGGTGCGCTTCAACCGCCTGCTGCACTTTGCCCGCATGTTTGAGTTCTTTGACCGGACAGAGACACGCACCAACTACCCTAACATCTTCCGCATCAGCAACCTTGTCCTCTACATCTTGGTCATCATCCACTGGAATGCCTGCATCTATTATGCCATCTCCAAATCCATAGGCTTTGGGGTCGACACCTGGGTTTACCCAAACATCACTGACCCTGAGTATGGCTACCTGGCTAGGGAATACATCTATTGCCTTTACTGGTCCACACTGACTCTCACTACCATTGGGGAGACACCACCCCCTGTAAAGGATGAGGAGTACCTATTTGTCATCTTTGACTTCCTGATTGGCGTCCTCATCTTTGCCACCATCGTGGGAAATGTGGGCTCCATGATCTCCAACATGAATGCCACCCGGGCAGAGTTCCAGGCTAAGATCGATGCCGTGAAACACTACATGCAGTTCCGAAAGGTCAGCAAGGGGATGGAAGCCAAGGTCATTAGGTGGTTTGACTACTTGTGGACCAATAAGAAGACAGTGGATGAGCGAGAAATTCTCAAGAATCTGCCAGCCAAGCTCAGGGCTGAGATAGCCATCAATGTCCACTTGTCCACACTCAAGAAAGTGCGCATCTTCCATGATTGTGAGGCTGGCCTGCTGGTAGAGCTGGTACTGAAACTCCGTCCTCAGGTCTTCAGTCCTGGGGATTACATTTGCCGCAAAGGGGACATCGGCAAGGAGATGTACATCATTAAGGAGGGCAAACTGGCAGTGGTGGCTGATGATGGTGTGACTCAGTATGCTCTGCTGTCGGCTGGAAGCTGCTTTGGCGAGATCAGTATCCTTAACATTAAGGGCAGTAAAATGGGCAATCGACGCACAGCTAATATCCGCAGCCTGGGCTACTCAGATCTCTTCTGCTTGTCCAAGGATGATCTTATGGAAGCTGTGACTGAGTACCCTGATGCCAAGAAAGTCCTAGAAGAGAGGGGTCGGGAGATCCTCATGAAGGAGGGACTGCTGGATGAGAACGAAGTGGCAACCAGCATGGAGGTCGACGTGCAGGAGAAGCTAGGGCAGCTGGAGACCAACATGGAAACCTTGTACACTCGCTTTGGCCGCCTGCTGGCTGAGTACACGGGGGCCCAGCAGAAGCTCAAGCAGCGCATCACAGTTCTGGAAACCAAGATGAAACAGAACAATGAAGATGACTACCTGTCTGATGGGATGAACAGCCCTGAGCTGGCTGCTGCTGACGAGCCATAAGACCTGGGGCCCAACTGCCTCTCCAGCATTGGCCTTGGCCTTGATCCCAGAAGCTAGAGGAGCTATTTAGATCTCCGGATTTACATGCATTACCCTCATGTTCCCTGAATTCTCCCAAAAGCCTCTCTGACCCTGGGTTTTTGGCCTAAACATCCAAGATTCCGCCTCCAAGTTTAGCCCAAGTTTGTGGAGAGTACAGACTGCGTTGGCTGGGCTTCCGAGAGCTTCGGCCTGCCTAAGTCTGAGGAAGGGAGAAGGGGGCAGCTGTCTGCCAGGAGTCTGGCTCTTTTGCTCATAGCGACCCCTCCCTTGGTTCTGGCCCCCGCTTTTTCTAACATGTCTTCTGAATGCTTCCTTTTTCCCTGCACACGCATGTACTTCGAGCACCGACTATAGACATTTAGATCAGGTACCCAGTGTCTGTCTCCCACGACAGGCCAAGGGATGTGATAGTGTTGTTGGGAGGGGGTAGAAGGGTGCCCACTCAGGGTTATTCCTCCCCCATCAGATGCTCCAGCTCCTGCTCTGTAGATTGATCTGTCTGTCTGCTAGCCAGGATGGGATCTCTGCAGTCTTCTGTGGACCAAGGAGATAGACCCGGCTTCTGGTCCATTCCAGGGCAGGGAGTGAGGAGCAAGGCAACTGGCATTTGTCCACCTGGAGACAGAGGTAGCTGGCAGCTCTGGCCATCCCTCCCCTATGAAGAGCATTCCTAAAGAGGCCCTGAAAACTGCTGGTGGTGGGGAGACTCTTCAAGTTAATATCTGCATTAGAGGCACCTATGAGTTAAAAAATTCCTTTGAACTATCTGTGGTTATTGCTCAACTCTGCTGTTCACATTCTCTCCCTCCCTTCATTAATCCCTCTCTTTTCACCATATGGTTGTCCCTCAGTATTCATCAGGGATTGCTTTCAGGAGTCCCCATGGATACCAAAATTTGTGGATGTTCAAGTCCCTGATACAAAATGACGTCGTATTTGAATATAACCTATGCACATCCTCCCATACTTTAAGTCATCTCTCGATTATTTGTAACACCTAATACAATGTCAGTGCTATGTAAATAGCTGTTATATTGTATCTTTTCTTTGTATTATTTTGATCTGTTATTTTTTTCCTGCATATTTTTAATCTGCCATTGGTTGAACCTGCAGATGTGAAACGCAAGGATATGAAGGAAAGACTACTTTTCTTTGCCCCTATCCAGAACTCTTTCGGTCTGAAATACACTCTCCCACCTCTCCCTGCCTGCCTAAGCCTTATGGGTCCTTCAGGGCTTACCTCAGGCACCACGTTCTCGCAGAAGGCCCACTTGACTGCAACCACTCCCACACTAGTCAATTATCTCCTCTGTAGGCTCCCACAGCGCAGAGCCTCTCTGTCCTGGTTTTGTAATGTGCGGTCAGTTTTAGTGGACTTGGTTTCCCCTCCTGACTGTGGACAAGGCCAAGACAGTCTACCTCATGTGTCTATTTGGAGCCTCAGTGACATAGCTGGCACTGAGGAGCATTCAGAGAACATTTATTCATTGGGGGAGTAAGTGAACACATGAATGAGTGAATGAATGGATGAATGAGCAAAGAAACACAGCGGACCAAAACTCTCATGCTTCTCCCTGACAGCAGTCATGCCTTGACAGAAGCATTGGCTCTGCTGGGGGAGTTGGGAAAGATCTCCTGGAGTATCAGGTCTTTCAGCTGGGCATTCTAACACGATCAGGAGCCTAAAGGAAAAGTACTAATTAGTGGGCAAGAAAATCCAGGTGCAGACTCAGAGGCCTTCCTGTTCACATGCACACCACTTATTTATTCATGTATTTCTTGTGGTGAAATACACACAAAATTTACCATCGTAATCACTTGTAAGTGTACAGTTCAGTAGTGTTAAGTATATTCACATTTTTGTGAAAACAATCTTGAGAATTTTTCACCTTGCAAAACTGAAACTTTGTCCCCAGTAAAAATTCCCCATTGCTCCTTCTACCCAGCCCCTGGAAGCAACCATTCTACTTTCTGTCTCTATAAATTTAACTTCTCTAGGGACCTCATATAAGTGCTATCATACAGTATTTGTCCTTTGTGTCTGGCTTATTTTACTCAGCATAACATCCTCAAGACTAATCCATGTTGTAGCATGTGTCAGAATTTCTTTCCTTTTTAAGGCCAGATAATATTTGATTGTATAGATCACCACATTTTGCTTAGTCATTCATTTCTTGATGAACACCTGGGTCGTTTCCACCATTTGACTATGGTGAATATTCCTGTATCCATGAGTATACAAATAGCTCTTTGAGACCCCGTTTTCAGTTTTTTGGGCATATACTCAGAAATGAAATTGCTGGATCACTTAGTAATTCTATTTTTAATTGTTTGAAGAACCATTTTCTTTTCTGTGTGTCACCAAAACAGTGACATCATTTTACATTCCTACCAGCAATGCACAAGGGTTCCAATTTCTCTACATTCTCCCCATCACTTAGTTTCTGTGTTTTTTGTAGCTATCCTAATGGGTGTCAGGTGAATCTTACTGTTGCTTTGATTTTCATTTCTCTAATGAGTGGTGATTTTGAGCATATTTTCACAAGCTTATTGGCCGTTTGTATATCTTTTTTGGAGAAATGTCTATTCAAGTTCTTTGGCTATTTTTTAATTGGAGTGTCAAGTTGTAGAAGTTCTTTATATATTCTGGATATTAAACCCTTATCAGCTATGATTTGTAACTATTTTCCTTACTGTCTACGTTGCTTTTCTACGGTGTGACCATGTGGATTGTGCCCCTTGGTATGCAGAAGTGTTTAATTTTGTTGTAATTCAATTCATCTGCTTTTGCTTCTGTTGCCTGTGCTTTTGGCATTACCATTCCTTTTTATGTGGATTCATCCTTCTGGCCAGGCTTCTTTTACATTTAGTGTAGTTTCTTGACCTCTTCCCTAGCTTAGAGGAAGAAACCTTAACCAGGGGAAGACTCACCTGGACGGATCTGTAACATGACACATGCCTAGGTCCTGGTCCCTGAAAGTTGCAGAAGGAGAGAGATGCATTCATGATGGAGCAGTGCTTTGTGTACACCCCCCTTTGGGTATTGGGCTTGGAGAAAAAGCTCTAAACCCCTTTGCCTCAAGAGAACCCCACGCAACAGGAGGAGTCTTCGGAGACCTAGCCAGCTCCTTGCCAATAACCTCATTGCTAAGGTTGCACTGAGTTCAGTTTTTACCGTGTCTTGGAACCAGGACAAAATGTAATTTTTGCAGGCGTAAGATGGTACTGGGGCCAGAAACAGGGGGATGACTGCATTGAAATTTTTTGCCTTGATTTCAGCAAGAAATCTTCAGTGTTCTCCCTGGAGCCTGGTTCACCATCAGCCCAGCCCCAACAGGTGCCTGATTTCCAGCCCACATCATGGGATGGACATTGTGTCTTGGATTTGGTTTTCCCCAGGGCAAGGCAGGCACCTTCTCTGGACCACATGGGGAGCTCATTGGTTCAAGACACAGACTCCAGGGCTCAGCTCCCACCCTCTTCCAGTTTTCTTTTCCCCAGATATCCTTGGGCCCACTCTCTCATAACTTTTTGCCATGTCTCGAATGTCTATGTTCTCTTCAGCTTTCAGGTATTTTCTTTTATTTTTTAAATAAAATTAAATCCAAATTTTATTAAGGATTTCAAGTTACATACTTCAAATTTCTACAATGGAATGGAATCATTTTGGAACTGGAAAAGTGGCATAAACACTGACATCCCTTGAAACTACAATTTTATAAAGAAAATTCTGCAAACCACATCCCCATTATGTAACAAGACTAGGCATTATCTACACCTTCACTTTGGCAAT